>NC_000002.12:1525151-1828181 GCF_000001405.40 Homo sapiens | reverse complement strand
GTGCTGAGTAGCCATAGTTTTTACACAACACAGGTAAACATTCAACCAACGCGCCCTGAGATCTGTGTGGTCCTGTTTTAGAGATGAGGGAACTGACTCGGAGGGCAAGCCACGCTCCCGGATGCATTGCCAGTAGGGAGAGACGCTGGGGCTGCTCCAGGGCTGCTGGGTCTCATTTGTGGACACACCCGTGCGATCCAGGACAAGACTCTCAGGGCGCAGGGCGTCCACAGCAAGCATGCAGCTCATCTACTAGGATTCTGGTTTTGATCTCAGGACAGATCACTAGCTGGTGTCTGGAGGTGTGGGGGAAGTACAGTGAGGGGACCCTCCCCAGCTGTCCTCTCTAGGGGGGCGCCCTGCCTCTGGATCCCCAGGAGGGTAGTTCCTCGTCTGCCAATTGTGTGGAGGGGAGGGGTCCTCGCTCTCCCTGTCATGGACAAGGACTGGCCACCCTGTCCAGAGACCAGATATATAGACAGGGCACACTCAGGAGGTTCCAGTTGCTCTGCACTGAAGTCTCTGATGATGATTCCAAATTCCACATCATCAGGGAATAAATATTTTGTGTGTCAGCAATGCTGATCCCTGCCGTAGACAGAGCCCTGGGGCCGTGTCACCTCAGAATGTTCCTCCAGGACTCTCCTGGCGCTCCCTGGATGCTCCCCTTTTCCCAACCAGAGAGGTCCCCTCAACTCTCTGAGATCCCCTTCTAGGCAGAGGGTGGCGGGAATGAGGACCACATTGCCAGGGGCTCCTCCAGGCCCGGTGGGAGCTTTCTGTTTGACCCAGGCATGTTTCAATGGCATACCTTGTTTTATAACACAGGAAGAAAGTTCTCCTGAGCTCTGGGTCCCTCTGTGATCTGCAGGAGGTGGAAGGGAGGGTGGCCCCAGCCCAGGAGTAAATGCAGCACAAGGGAGGGAGACAGAGAGCATTTCCATCCAGGGCTGAACCCTGCCGTGCCCCAGCTCCTACGAAGCCCCATGCCCCCATTCTGGGCTGGCAGCCCCTCACTATCAGCCCTTCAGTCATCTGGCCAGGTCACCACCTCAGGGAAAAGAGAGGAAATGTTGCTGCGCTGTGTCCAGGCCGTGATCTCTAGTCCTGGAGGCCAGGCAGGTTGACCCATCCAGAGCCCTGCAGGATGGGGAGGGGTCTGGGGCACCAGCAGGGGTGGGGATTGCTAAAGTGAGATCCTCGCCAGGATGCGCCTCCTCCTGCATCTGCTCTGGAGAAAGCAGGACTCAGTCAGTGAGCCCCACCCCACCCCACCACCTGCTCTCATGAGGAACCTCACTTCTGAGAATTACATTCCCGACCCCCACCCCATGCTCCCCCTGCCCCCACGCCACTCCTGTGGAAAACTGGCCTTACTGAACCACTTTACAAGGAAGCCTTCAGGGACTTGACTTCTCTGACCTTTGGAGTCAGCTCCCTGCTCTGCCTCAGGCCCAGACACCCTCCAAGGGGAGCCCTCCGCTTTCCCCGACGCCGGCCCTGCACTGACCCGGTACCCGGTGCTGCGTCCTAAAAGCACCTCAGACCCTTTGCTTCTTTTCCTTTAATCTCCATCTTTTAGTGTTTGACGGGAAGCAATTGGGAGGGAAAGAGTCAGATTCAACATCTGTCTCGAACTGTGAATCCCAAAGGGCCCTGTGAATAGCAGCAGGGAGAGGTGACATCTGGTCAACCTCCTCTGCCTGAAACAACCCAGTGTTCTGGCCCAGCGCTGACCAGGGTGGAGCGCGACCCTGCTTTGTTTTTGCAGGAAGATTCCCTCCTGAAGCACTCCCACATTCGCCCGCCCCCCAGCCCTCCCCAGGACCTGGCAAGCATTCAGCAGATGCTGAATGAAAGCACTGAGCTTCAGCAGGGCCCTCTGCGCCAGCGCAGGAAGCCGAACTGTGTCCCATGCCCGAGCACCGTGCCGGTCTTCTAGTTTGTTCTCCAAAGTGGCACAAACAAAGCAGCTTAAACCCAGGCCCTGTCATTAGCTCAGTTTTCCCATGGTGGAAGCCCAGGCTGGCCTAAGGGGGTCCTCTGCAGGTGGCGTCCCCCCTGGAGCTCACAGTCCAACTCACAGCTCATGCGGGTTCCTGGCAGAACTCAGCTCCTGAGCTTGCAGCTGTCAGGCCCGACTGTCCTGCTGGACGTTGGGCAGAGTCGTCCTCCGCGGATGAGGCCCCCAGGTCCTGGCCACACAGCCGGTGGCCTCACTGCTTGGCAGCTGGGCTGGGGTCTCATAGGATGTCACCCCATCATGGGGGCAATGACTATACTGTGTTCACAGGACCATCCACACTCAAGGACAGAGGCCCACGCACGGCAGGTGCACACGGGGAGACTTTGGGGCCACCTTAGCATTCTGCCCACTGGAAGGGGACTATCCAGCCACTGCGCTAGGATCTTCAGAGAAATAAAAATTTCAAGACAGTCTCTGTCCCAAGAAACTTAGCCTGTTATAATTTTATAGGGAAAACCAATATACAAACAAAAAATTAACAGTACAAACAAATAGGATCATTCTTATATCCAATAAAGAGATGGGGAACCTGATCTTTTAAAAGCGGGTTCCCATATGTGAATTAATCTCAATTAAACAAACAAAAAACTTTGACGTTCTCATAATTAGTGTGAAGCTAAGACTGTAATTCCAATCTTTTGATTTCTCCAAATAATTTCTAATAAACATAATATTACTTGATTCTTAAGGGAAGAGTAAGTAGGTTTTCAGGAGTATGCCAACTTTTTAATGGAATTATGTTATAACATGTAAATTCTACCAATGTATCTGTTTTCTGTAACTGAACTAATTTCTGTCTCCTCCTCTACTGTATGGTGAGAGCTTGCTCGCCATAACTAGGTCGCTGTGGTGCCTCCCCCCCATCTTCATCCCAGGTGCACCTTTGGGGCAGGTGGCAGCTCCTGGGGGGCCCCTTTCCCTGCCAAAGCACCAGCCTCATGGGCAGCTCCTCCACCTTCCCGGCTCCCAGCCCTGAGGCCTCTCTGTGTCTGTCGCCATCAGGAAGGCAGGGGAGTGGCGTGTCTGAGGTCTCTTTCCCCAGCTCCATGTTGCTCTCAGGGGAAAGGGAGAAAGTCTGGCTCTCAGGCCACTCTCTGAGGACCCACAGGCATCCAAACCCCTTACTCCTCTCCCTCCTGTCCTCTCCCTTCTCTGTCTCCTCCCTGGAGATTCCTCCACCGCTACCTGATGGGGATGCATCCTTCCAAATCTATGGCTGCTGCCAGGAGTTCCTCCTATCTCTGGGATGTGTCATCCACAAAGCGAAGCCTTTGAAACGCAAATGCCTTTTTCTCTGATTTTCGCTTCTAACAGCTGTTCCTTGAAGCACCAAATGCTAGCCAAAATGGTGGTAAAATGCATAAGAAGAACAAATTATGCATCAGCCGGGATACTGCGGAGTCCTCCCCCTCTCTCTCCTCTGGATGACTCAATATGCATCAGCCGGGATACTGCGGAGTCCTCCTCCACTCTCTCCTCTCGACAACTCGCTGCACGGATCCATCCCTGAGTGCTGGTCAGTGCTCCCCAAAGGAGCCGCAGAGGGCGGCGTCCCGGCGCCACCCTCGCATGGCCTGGCCGGGGTGTCACAGGCTGGCCCCTGAGTTCTCACAGGGCCCAGGGCACAAACTTCAGGACGAGAGCAGCTCAAATGCAGAGGCCCATGCCCCTCTCCTCCCTGTGCTCAGCCTTCTCTGGGATCCGAGCTCTCCGTCCAGGCTGGCGCTGACGTCAGACATGTTCTGGCCTCTATCCTGCCAGCCTTCTCAGCACTCTGGGTTGGAGGGAACATTCCAGGAAGGCAGTATTTCCCAGAGGACAGAGCACCGCCCTGCTCTGCTGGGCACAAAATTACCTAACCCTAGAGAGACGTGGAGAAAATACCAAACTGAATCTACATTACAGATTGTTGGAAGAATTGGTTGGGGTCATGTATCTAAAATGCTTAATGCAGGCTCCTAAGCATAGGAATATGTTTAGTAAGTCTAGTCTGCTTTATTAGCTATTATTTAAATTTGTTCCATAGCAAGAATCACTCTCTGTTTAGAATCCAAACTAAAAACGTTCCCCAACCCCCATGGAGAGGGCTTGGCACGTTCCCTAAAAAGTCACTGAGCATCCCACATCACCTCTGCCCGGCGGCCCCGCTGGGGGGGGAGGCGCGGCCTCATCCCATGGGTCGTGCCAGGGACGGCGAGGCCCAGGCCAACACTGTGCCACGTAATGGTCACTGGACACCTGAGACTACTCAGCTCTTGAAGTTTGGCTCCTGTGACAGAGAACTTTTAAAAATTGTTAGATTTCAGTAAATATAAATGTAAATTTGACCACACGGGACGAGGGCCGCCACCACTGGCAGTGCAGGGCTGAACACGCCTCCAGCCACGGATCTTCCTACAGGGACCCAGCCTCATCGCTGCTCGTGCCAGGAGCCTGACCCACCTGCAGGGCTGAACATGCGGCCAGCCACGGGTCTTCCTACAGGCACTCAGCCTCATCGCTGCTCCTCCCAGGAGCACGACCCACCTGCAGGGCTGAACATGCAGCCAGCTGAGGGTCTTCCTGCAGGCACCCAGCCTCGTCACTGCTTCTCCCAGGAGCCTGACCCAAGCCCCGCCTGCAGCCTTCGCTTCCGTCCTGGGGGAGCTGCTCAGAGGCTGCCCTCCAGCGTCAACCACACCCACTCCAGCCCACTGCCTGCTCCCTCCTCCAGGACCCCGGAGCCGAAGCCCTGAGCCAGATAGGGTGGACCTGAGTGCCCCAAGTGGAGAGAAGGCTACAACTACAGCTGCCACAGCTATATCTATGACAATGAAGGTTGCAGCCACAACCACAGCAACAACAGCCTCACAGCCACAGCTCTGACAACAGCAGCAACAGCCCTCACTACCACAACCACCACGACTATAACAGCCAGCACCACCAGCTGGGTGCCCCTGCTGGGTCTGCCTGGGGAGGCCAAGCTGCCACAGGGCTGTGCAGCAGGACAGGTGTCTCCTCATTGAGGATCTTTTCCTCCCACGTGTCGATGCCATTTGAGGAGCTTAGGGCAAAAGCTCACATTTGCAGAAGAGTTATGGTTCACATGTTAAAAAGAAAACGAGGTGCAATAAGGTCCCTTTCACAGGTGTAGGGGCCAGGCCATCAACATATCCCTTCAGGAGACACAGCCAAGCCACAGCAGTGATAACGTTAACAACCGAGGCTCCTGAGAGGCAAGCAAAAGGAGAAACAAAACTAAACATTTCCCTTCTGCTAGGATTACACTCAGTCCTCAGCAGCAAGCAGCTGCTCCTGAGAAAGAGAAACCCTCCAGGAGAGGAGGGTTTCACTGTGGACACAGCAGCCCTGGTGAGGCAGTGGCTCCTTCACAGGAGAGGAGGGTTTCACCGTGGACACAGCAGCAGCCATGAGGCGGTGGCTTCTGACTGCCAGGGACCCAGATATCCGGGTCCTGCACCTCAGCCCCTGACACTCGGAGACCACCTCAGGGTGAGTTTGCTACCACAACAGCCATCCTGTCCCTGGAGGAAGGAAGGGGACCCTCTCGAAGGACACAGGCTGTAGGCCACACTTCTGCCTCCACCCTCAGATCCATGTGGTCCCAGGGCCAGCCCTCGCCATCCTGTGGCAGCCAAGTGCCTGCTGAGCACGCAGGAGCATCCCTGGGGAAGAGGGGCTGACAGTGGACACACCCTGCGCTCTCCAGGAAACAGACCCAACCCACACAAAGATGGCAGACACCTTGCAGAAAGGTGCACGTGTGTTCCTCAATACTGGGTTTATTAGGCATCTCTATTGGGAATCCTAGCCAAGCTCTGCAGACTGAAATCACATATATCTCCACTAAATCTTAAAACACTACTAAAATGACCCACTCTCCTCTTATAAACCCACAAATATAATGCAACTAAATAACTAAATAAGGAAGGGAAGTGCAGACCATCCCATCCACAAAGCACTGGGAGCCGCCCAGCCCAAGCACACATGGCTCAGGCCTCAGCTCCCTGCAGAGGAGCTGTTGGGGAGGGAGAGGATGGGGGTGGAGAGAAAGAGTGAAGAAAGAACCCAGAAAAAGAGGAGTGAAGAGCATGCAGAACCTCCATAGAAAAGAGGCTGGGACCTAGAGTGGGGATTCAGAGTTGGTCGGAAAACAGAGGAGTAGTTGAATTGTCTAAGAGGGGTTCGACTCCCGGATGCCCTGCCACAGGCCTCCTTCTCCCCGGCAGAAGGATAAGCTAGAACAGAAGCTCTGGAGCTAGTGCTAGGAAGAGCTGGAAACAGGATGAGCCGTTGTACTGAAGATGGGAACGTCAAGTGAGATGGACAGGCCCCAAGGCCTTGGTCCCGTGTGGCTCCGGGAATCCAGCGGCTCCTCCTGCTCCTCTGCCTTCTCCACTCCCCGCCACTCCAGACAGAGCAGGGGCCTCTTCTCTAGAACCAACAGATTCAAGATAAAGGGCCTCCAGGCACCAATGTCTGGGATGTATGCGTGAACAGCCAAGGACTCCGGCCACTGAAGGCAAGCAGTAAACAACATGGCAGAAACCAAGCAAACAAACCAGCCTTACCAGGGGGCAAAAGAAGCTCAGAGGAAGCAGAAACATTTCTGGAAAGAGGAGCAATCTTTTTAAAAACCTATAATTTGTCATCAGACAGAAAAGAACAGAAAGAACATTAAAATATATTGTATTCATAACCCAAGAAACATTCAGAGAACACGAATATCTATTTTAAAAAATAAATAAAAAGTTTACTTTGAAAGTTAAAATGTAAAATTGAGGTAATGTCCCATAAATTATAAAGAGATGAGAAAAGAAGATAAAAGATTTTGTTAAAAAAAAATAAAGAATTCAGGAGAGTTAGTAATCAACTAATAGGAGTTTCTGAAGAAGTAGCGAGAGTAGAGCAAATGGAAGAAAGAAAATTCCCAAAGAAAGAAAACAAGGAAAATCCCCATGGCAGAGATCTTGAGTTTTCAGATATAAAGGCCTCGTTGAGTAGCCACGCAATCATGAAATGGTTCTATGTCGTCCGGGGCTCTACCTGAGAAGCAGGACCAGTAGGATTTATATATGGACGGGTTCATCACAAGGAACTGGCTGACACCATCTGGGACCGGCTCCACAAGTCCAAAATCTGTAGGGCAGACAGGCAGCCTAGAAACTCTTGTTCAGGAGAAGTTCCATTCCACAGGGAGAATTTCTTCTTCCTCGGGGAAACCTTAGTTATATTCTTAAGGTCTTTTGACTGCTTGAGTCCGGCCCACTGAGAGTATTGAGAATAATCTCCTTACTTAAAGTCAGCTAGGCCAAGTGTGGTGGCTCACACCTGTAATCCCAGTATTTAGGGAGGAGGACGCAGGAGGATCACTTGAGCCCAAGAGTTTAAGACCAACCTGGGCAACATGGCAAGACATCATCTCTACAAAAAATTTAAAAATTAACCAGGCATGGTGGTACATGGCTGTGGTCATAGCTATTTGGGAGGCTGAGGAGTGAGAATTGCTTGAGCCCAAGAGTTGGAGGCTGCAGTGAGTATGATCATGCCACTGAACTCCAGCCTAGGTAACAACAGCAAAACCCTGTCTCAACAACAACAACAACAACAACAAAAAGCCAACTGATGGTAGATGTTAGTCACTCTACAAAATACCTTCGCAGCAACACTTAGATAAGTATTTGATTAAACAACTGGATGCTGTGTCCTCTCCATGTTGACATATAAAACTGTCATAGCCAACCACACAGAGGTTCATCATCATGAAATTTTGAGAACCTGGAGTGGGGATACAGAGAAAGAGAGGGACAAACAGAGACAAAGTGAGAGACAAAAGAAAAGGAAGCTAAGAGATGTACTCAACAGCAATGCTGGAAACAAGAATCAAATAGAACAATGCCTTCAAAACTCTTAGGAAAATGATTGCACACTCAGTATTCTATACTCAACCAAACTATCAATTTGGAATGCAAAAGCAGCAAGCCCCATCCAATGGGTGACCAAGCCCCAGCCCTTCTTACTCCTCTTGAGTGGGTGCTCTCTTCTGAACCCATTGCTGCCTCAGGCTGTACTCCCTCATTCCTCCCCCAGGCCCCTCTGCCAGCTTCCTCGCTGGCCCCCCCCCACTGCCCTCTGCCCTCTGCAAGCATCCTCCAGGCTGCTGCCAGTGAGCTCTCTACCAAGCAAACTCTACTGTGTGGTTGCCAGGATTACATGCTTCCAATCCTTTGTCATTGCCTAGAAGCTAAATCCATTCTCCTCTGTAAGGCACTTGAGATCTTCCCTAATAAGCTCTTACCCATCCCTCCAGCTCCCTGCCTCTCTGCCCCTTGGTTGCACCCAGACCTAAATTCAAAGCTGAAGACATGCTGCTCAGGCTTCTTTGGCCCTTCCACTGCTCCTTGTCCTCTTCAAACAAATGTCTGTCTTTAAATACCCATGCGGACTCCACCTCCCTCTGTAATGCTGCAGAGCATCACATCATCGGACCATGTGCATCCCTGTAGGGCATGTGTATTCACAGGGGCCTCTGCCCGAACTGCACTGGCAGGGCCCGAGTGTAGCATCTGTCACTCACGGGTGCATGGAGAGAGGCTGCAGGAGGAGGAGTGGAGGGTGAGGCTGGTGCTGGATGGCCTGGGTATAAACTCAGCCCTGCCTTTTCTGACTGTATGGTCTGGGGCAAGTTAGCTGTTCTGCGTCTCGATTCTCTCCTCTGTAAAATGGGATGGTCATAGATTGTTTGAGCAGTGGGCCAAGTCTGAAGAGCATGCCAGCATGTGATAAGTAAAGCATTTACAGCAGCTCACCACTGCTGTTAGCATTGTCATGACCCTCCTGTTAGGACTGTGCTTGAGGACAGGAGGTAAGTGTTGCTGATGAGTGAATAGAGATAGGACGTTTGATGACCTATGGAAGTGGCTCTTCAAAACGTCTCTTCTCAGGCCTTCTTCTCCTAACAGTGTTTTGATTGTCACTGCCGAATAGCAGTGGCTCCAGAATCCATCCCTTGGGCAGGAGGCAGGTGGACTCCCTGGGCTGCAGGAATGAGCTGTGTGGGTAGCTGCCATCCCTCAGGCTTTGAGAGGGACCTTTGTTTCCTGAGGCAGGTGGACATGCACCCCAGTGGGAGGGACCTGGTCTGGGAGCTGGGAGCTGGGGGCCATCTGGGTGGTCACACGGCCACCCACAGCTGCACTTTCTGCACCACCTGCCTGTGTGGCTGTGGCCGAGGCGTCCACCTGCCACAGAGGTCACTGTTCTAGAAACGCTTCCCTCTCTCCATGGTTTGAGAGCACCCTGTTTGGCACAGAATATTTTTAGGGGAAAAACCTCCAAATTCTGGATCTTGGCTTGAGAAGGGACCACGATGCCATTGCTTCCCACTGAGATGGAAGCAGATCTGATACACAGTCAGAGGCAGAAATGTCACGTGGCTCCAAGAACACCCTCCTGCCCTTCCTCACATATGCTGGGGCCAGAGTCCGGGAAGCGAACCACAGGAGAGCTGCTCTCGTGGCGACCGGGGCAAATGCAGGACAGGCTGTGGCTGCTGCACCAAATCCCTGTTTGCTTATTGAGGAGATGCTCCGTCATCATGAGTCAATCAGTGACAAGAATAGGATTAAAATACACAGTAACAGTGTACACCTGGAGTGTATTGTGTCTCATATAAATTACATATTATATAGTTAGAGTATTAAAATAGTAGCAGTGGAATAGGGAATAGTAAAATAAATAAAATGTTATTAGAGTGAAACTCACTGTGAAGGAAACTGTTTGCCCCTGGCTGTGTGGAGCTGATGTTCAGAGGATACTGAATCGCAGACAGCACCTGGCTGGGCTCTTCCCACCCGCAGCTCTTTGTCGTGAGTTCTCATCCTAGCACCTTCCAGCTGCAACAAAGCTTCTACACACACTCCCACCTCCTCTCAAATTACTTATTTTTCTTCCCAATCTGTGTGTCTTGTTAACCATATCCCCCTTCGAAAGTTTCACTTATTTAGTTATTTCCAACTGTAATGTTCTCCAGGAAAAGGCCCTTCTAGCTGATGTCCTGATAAAAAATGTCAGGGCCTCCCGGAGCTCGGTTTGAAGCCCTTCTAAAGCTTTCGCTGGAACCTTCATCTGGAATCCCTGGTGCTGACGCCTGGTGCCAGACGTCTGGGGCCTGGGGCAAGCGGGTGGAGCAGCCGCCTAACTACTTGCTGCCCGGAACCTCCCCGCACTGAAACTTGGTGACTTCCAAACCTACACTCAGCAGCACTTGACTTTAATTGGAGAAGCGTTTCTGTAACAGGCCGCTGGGTCTCAGGTTCAGAACTAACGTGTGAGTAAAATAGTAAGCACCCTCTTTATAATTTACACCCGGGACCAGCCGTGGGCTGACCTCCTTGGCTGAGCCAGGTGTGTGGACTTTCCCGAGAGCCCGGGACCAGCACCGCCCCCAGGCCACCGCTAGATGGCACTGTCACCGCACCAGGGCCGCCACCACCCCCCAGGGCCGCGCTGGGCCTGCTCCCAGGGTTCTCTTCCAAATTGGACCTGAGCTGGCAGTGCAGTCACCGGATTGGAATTGGCAGCACCGACACAGCCGCGTTTGGACAGAATGCATCATTCTTCAGGCCCGTCTTTGTTTCCTAATTTAGTTTCCCAAACTCTTGCTGAAGGCTCCTGCTCCTTAAATAACACCATTATTTGTCATTCCCAGCAGGCAGTTTTATTAACTGAGAGTGAAGAGAAGCAGCGTGAGACTGTGGGCAAAGCCGGTGCTGAACCGCAGTGTGGGTCCAGGAATGTGGACTCTGCAGTTTCCGGCCGTGTGGCGCCCCTATCCCCCCACCCATGGGGGACTTGCCTCCCTGCACCGGTGGCCTCTGCTTCCTGGAGCCGTCGGTCCTCTGGGTGGTTCTCTCCCATGCACTTAATTAACCGCACATAACTTAGTTCTGTTCCTTTATTTTCAAGGTAGGAGAAGCCAGGATGGGGAGATCCCTAATAGATATGACTAAATACACTTAATAAGGAACTTTGTAATCAAGTCATGAGAAAATGGGCCTTTTTGACATAAGAGTGGACAAGTACCCCAGTGCCCACCTCCCAGCAGGAGCCACCTTCTGACCACACTGCATGATTTCAGGAGCTGAGGCACCCATGGGGAGCTGAGGACAAGGTGGCCGTGTGCAGCCCCTCTGGAGCACGGCGTCTGCAGGGACCCCTGGGTGCTGCCGACAACAGGGGTCCACCCTGGGACGGAACCAACTGGCAGGACCCCGGGGTCCTCTCGTCTACCTCTCACCCTACAATGCAGGCCCCAGGCCCCCAGCCGGGCAGTGAGGCCCTGTGCATACACTGGGGCATAGGAACGGGACAGGGCCACCCCCTGGGGGGCCACAGCTGTCACTGTGCGCTCACTCAGTGGCCTTGAAAGAAGCGCCTGAAGCGAGAGAACATGGGTGACGGGGTTTCCCTGAAGTCAAGTCAAAGCAGCCAACGTGCACCATGTCCATCCTCATTTTATGCGCCTTCGTCTTGGCGTAGCCTCAGCAGCTGCTTTTGGCTGTGGCTTTTAAGCTGTGAAAGTATTTGCTGGGAATGTCCTTGGCTCCTCACGCAGCACCTCCTCCCCGTTAGGCTGGTTTCTCTGCTGGATCTAAAACAGGAGGGAGGAAGCATCGTGAGTGGCGTGGGGGGGCTTGAGCGGCTCCTCCCTCTCTCCTCTGGGGGTGCCCACCGGGGCCCAAAGCTTCTGGGAACCCGGCGGAGAGCTCTGCTCCTGAGCCAGGAATTGCCAGGCACCACACAACTGCTATCCGCGGGGCCTGTCCGGTTTCCCCAAGTGCTTCTGCTTCATTCGCTAATCCATACAGCGTAGCTCAGAATGATCGCTTGCCTTGGGTCCCCAAACACTACCTGAGCTGGAAAGTGCTTGTGTGATGTGTTAGTAATGGATAATACAAAATTTTTAACATGGGACTTTAAGCCATCAAAATTTCTGTTTTATTTCTTAACAACAACAACAAAAAGGCTGAATGTGGTGGTTCATACCTGTAATCCTAGCACTTTGGGAGGCTGAGGCAGGAGGGTCGCTTGAGATCAGGAGTTCGAGACCAGCCTGGGCAACATGGTGAGACCTAGTTTCTATTAAAATATTTTTAAAAGAAAAAAAAGAGATAACTGTGCCATGGGGCGTTCCATTGGTGATGAAGCGTGCTGATGCACAGGGAGCCACGGAGTTTCTCGGGGCGGTGCCGTGTGCCTCTCACCTGGATGCCTGGAGCCACTCCCCAGTCTAAGGGTTTGAATGCAGGAAAAGCCATCTATGGCTAAGAAGAGACAAAAAATAATTCTAAACTAGAAAAGATAAACTACAGGACAAAGGAGAGATGGGCCAGGCAGCCCTGGGACACTGGCCTGACCGACTGTCTGGTGCGGAGAGGCCGGGAGTTCTGGGGGCAGGGCATGGGGAAGGGGTGGCTGTTAGGATTCCATGGAGGTGTACCCAGGGGGGTGCTCCCCCACACTCTTCCCTCCTCAGAATCAGAGTGGGAAAGCAGCTCGGCCTCTCGGCCCCTCTTGCTTCCTGACAACTGAGAGGCAGGACACTGTCCTTCCTATTTTATTCACGCAACAGACATCCCTCTAGGGCCCGTGGTTTCCCAGGCAGGAACCGTGATTCTGAGTGGAGAGGGTGGAAAGGACACGGGGATGACCCTGCTGGGGTAGAGCTGACAGCATCATGAGGCAAGAGCCACTGAAGAAGCAAATGCACCCCCTCATGACGAGTGGGAGCAGGGAGGGACCCCAGCGACAGAGAGGATGGGGAAGGGGCCTGTTGATGCTGCTCAGCGAAGGTGGCAGAGACATCCGCACCAACACAGCCAGGCTCTGGGAGCTGCGTCACCAAGCCCAGCCGCAGAGGGGCCTCACCTCGGGCTCTCAACCATGTGCCCCAGAGAGCCAGGCCTGTGGCGGCCGGAGCTCACTGAGCTGATTCCACAGGACGGAACCTCACCTGTTCTCCCAGGCCTGGCTATCCTGACATCTGCCTTTCATGGTTCTGGTTTAATATCCTTTCTCTATATTCAACCTTCAAAATATCCCTATGAGGTGGGAAATTTTGTTTGCTTTTAAATTCCCATTTTACAAATGAAACACCCGAGCTTAGAAAGGTCACTAGAATAAGTCAGCAGCAGAAGCAGGACTTAGCAGAGAAAGTCTGACTTCCAAGCCTGTACTTCACTTCTCCCTGGAGCTCCTAGGTTGTAGGTAACAAGAATCCCCAAGAAGCAAGCCTGGAGCAGAGCCAGGGAAACGAGGTTCCACTCTCCACCCCACCACTAAGGAGCTGTTCGTTCATGGGTGAATGCTCTCCGCCAGGCCTGCACCTACCATTCTGCAAGCATTTAGTGCACTGTGGGAAAAAGAAAGTGAGACCTGCCCTAAAGAACTTAACTGAGCAGATCTTTAAAAATTCTGCGGCAAGACCCATAAAAGAGAAAGAGGCTGGGGAGCTCCGCACCCCCAGTGAGGTGGAGGCTGGGGGCAGTTTCTGCAAAAGCCGAATCCTAAAGGAAAAATCACTGACATGATGTCAGTCTGTTTCCATTTTCTATGCTGTGCATTTTTACTAAACATGTCCCATCTGCAAAGGCTCCTGGACACCGGGATACACATAGCAATGTGGTGGGCATTCCGAGGAACCACCCTCAGACCAGCAGAAGAGGAAAAGATAACCAAGGATGGGAACCGCCCATGTCCACGTCCCGGGAGGCTGCGCTCCAGGGCGCAGGGGATTCGAGGAAGGCAGCGCTGTGGTGGGCCAGAGCCTGGGCCTGGAGGGCCTCCTGGTGCAGGCCGGGCCCTGCTTTGTGGACAAAACAGTAAAGAGTTGGGAGGTCAGTTGGATGGGGACAGGGCGGGACAGCAAACTCAAGTGGGAGTGCCAGGGGCGTTCACCTAGCGGCAGAGAAGATCGCTGGCCTGGGGAATTCGTGAGTGGACAGCGGGAGGCAGCACGTGTGAGAAGAGCCCGTCGCAAAGGCCATCTAGGACAGCGGCCCCCAACCTTTTGGCACAAGGGACCGGTTTCATGGAAGCTAATTTTTCTTTCTTTTTTTTTTTTTTTTGGGGACGGAGTCTCGCTCTGTCGCCCAGGCTGGAGTGCAGTGGCGCGATCTCGGCTCACTGCAAGCTCCGCCTCCCGGGTTCGCGCCATTCTCCTGCCTCAGCCTCCCGAGTAGCTGGGACTACAGGCGCCCGCTACCACGCCCGGCTAATTTTTTGTATTTCTAGTACAGACGGGGTTTCACCGTGTTAGCCAGGATGGTCTCGATCTCCTGACCGCGTGATCCGCCCGCCTCGGCCTCCCAAAGTGCTGGGATTACAGGCGTGAGCCACCGCGCCCGGCCGGAAGCTAATTTTTCTACAGAAAAGGGGTGGGATGGTTTCTGGATGAAACCGTTCCACCTGGGATCACCAGGATTAACTTCTAAGGAGCCCGCAGCCCGGACCCCCTCGCAGGCGCAGTTCTCAGTAGCGTTTGCGCTCCTGGGAGAATCGAATCCCGCCGCTGACGTGTCGGGAGGCGGAGCTCAGGTGAGAATGCTCGCCCGCCCACTGCCCACCTCCACCTGTACGGCCCGGTTCCTCACAGGCCACGGCCGGGAGTTTGGGGACCCCTGCTCTAGGAAATATTCCAGCATCGGCAGCTGCTCTCAGAGAAGCTGCTGGAAGCTCTCCTGGGGGAGTGGGGGCAATCACAGCTGTGCCCCTGGGGCCATTTCTCAGCTGTGGGATGGAACGGATGGGACCCAGGCTGAGGCCCAGGGGCCTCGCTGAGGGAGAAAGAAGCACAGACCTGGACTGAAGTGATGAAGAGAAGGGAGGGGGTTCAGGCGCAAACAGCAGAGGCTGCTCGCTGGGAGGACGGCAAGGAGGAGGAGGCGTGCCTTTGTGGCCCTCCCTCTCTCCCCCCCACCTGCAGCTCCTGGCCCCTCAATGCCATTCGCAAACACAGGGAAAGTCGAAAGGGCTGCGGAGGTTCAGACGGCGGAAGGCCAGAGAGGTTCAGCGGGGGAAAGATGGGAGCTGCTCCCTGCATTTGTGAGGATCATACTGAGCCGGGCTGGGCCACACGCACCGTGGACCGACCAGGCGTCACCCTTGTCCTACAGTCACAGTCTTAGGACCTCTGCAGGAGGCCCTCACCCCAGCCCTCCTCTCATCTTAACCCAGGGCGGCAGCTGCATTCAAGAGTCTTTTTTTTTTTTTTTTTTTTTGAGACGGAGTCCTGCTCTGTCACCCAGGCTGGAGTGCAGCAGTGCGATCTCGGCTCACTGCAACCTCTGCCTCCCGGGTTCAAGAGATTCTCCTGCCTCAGCCTCCCAAGTAGCTGGGATTATAGGCACCTGCCACCACGCCCAGCTAATTTTTGTATTTTTAGTAGAGACAGGGTTTCACCATGTTGGCCAGGCTGGTCTGGAACTCCTGACCTCATGATCTGTCCGCCTCGGCCTCACAAAGTGCTAGGATTACAGGCATGAACCACCGCGCCCGGCTAAGAGTCTTCTCTTAACTTGGAAGTCCTGCAAAATCCTGCCGCAGGCCTCTTTGAGGGCTCAGTCTGCACCTTCCAGAGCCTGGGTGCACTCACACTCACCCTGGGCCTCCACTCACTGAGCCATCACAAAGTGCATTCAGACATTTTATGCTTTCAGAAGTCGTCACTGGGCACCTATTCCATCTCCAGCACTCTCCCATCATGGGGATACAGAGCAGTGAACAAAAAAGTGCATTTTAATCCTTGCCCTCAAGAATACACATTCTTTTCATTAAACTTCACAAACACAGTCAATTCAATATTTTATTCTCATTTCATAAGTGAGCAAACAGGACTGCCTAAGTCTTTCCTAGCCAGTTCCACGTCTTATGTGCGTTAGAGCATCAGGGGGTGCGGTGTGAGGTCCAGTGGGCCTCCTGGTCTCACAAAGGACTTGCCAGATGTAGTCACCTGACTGCAGAGTCTACCTGGATGCGGGGGCCAAAGCGCAGACACACCTGCAGGAAGATGTGTGTGACAGCCACAGTGTGTCCAGTGGCAGGAAGGGGAAAAGTGGCGTTAACATCCAAGCATCCTATTTTAGGAGAGCCTTAACAGATCTTTTGAGAACTTCTTATTTTACAAATGAAAATATCCAGCTCGCCTTCAGAAGCAGATTTACGGATAAGCTAGGGAAGCAGAAGTGTCAGCCCCCACCCCAGCCGGATTTGCAGGGCGTCCTGCTGGGATCTGATGGGGAGGCAGGAGAAGACCCAGGAGGGTGCCCCGGAGTGGGGACGACTGCCAGGTTGTTGCCCAGGCCCCATCAGGGAGGACTGAAGAGGAGCCTGTTCCCTCCGGAACGCGAGGGGTTCGTTCACGCCCCACACTAAAGACAGCTTGAGTAGCACAGGGATTTCCGGTGTAAACAGCAGCAGGCAGGGTGAGAGGATCCATCAGAAGCAGCAGTGCCAATGTCTAGTAACAAATAAATGAACAAAAAAACAGCAAAGGGAACCACGAGCCAGGACCCCCTCAGGGACTGTCCGGATTCCTGGGGATGCAGTCAGGGCAAGCAGGAGAAGCCAGGGCGCCCACCGTGCCCACCCTGTCAGGCCACCCAGTTCCCAGAGGCCTCTCTGCTCCTGGGGCTTCCCGTGCGGCTTGCCCTGGGATGGGATAGGACGCGGGAGCTGATGATGCTGGAGCTGATGACGCCAGAGCTGATGACGCCAGAGCTGATGATGCTGGAGCTGATGACGCTGGGGTTAAAGTCCCCGCTGCTCCTTCTCCCACTGAACCTAGGAACATCATCAGCAAACACAGCAGTTCACAGCCACAGAGTTGTGGTATGAGCAACAAATACTGGTGATTGTCTTAGACGTTCCAGGGCTGCAAAAACAAATACCATACCTTGGGCAGCATAGAAACCAGAAATTTATTCCTCCAAGTTCTGGAGACTGGAAGTCCGAGACCGAGGCACCAGCAGATTCGGCATCTGGCAACTGCTGCTCTCTGGTTGGTGGACGACGCCTTCTCACTCTGTCCTCACATGGGAGAAGGGGTTAAGGAGCTGTCTGGGTCCCTGTTATAAGGGCACGGATCCCATCACGAGGCCTCCTCACTTCCCATACGCCCCTTCTCCTAACACCATCCCGGTGGGGGTCAGGATTTCAGTGCACGAGTTTTCAGGGGACACAGTCAGGCAACAGCAATGATTATTTAGAATTTTATGAATATTCTATTATAATTATGAGATGCAAACATCACATCAAAAAAATAACAACTTAGACCTGTGGTGTGGATGAAGAATACTGGAAATATTTTTATACAAAGATAGGATTTCCCCAAAAACAACCACTAATATCCCCAGTTGAAAATGTATTACGATCAAGTTCTTCTGCTATGAATTTTCCTGTTTTCTTAAATTTTAAAAGAAAATGTATTACAAAAATAATATTTAGAAAGCTTAATTATATTAATGCAGATATTAGAGATATTTCTAATAATGATGTAATCTGCCTGCACTAGTAAAGAGTGTTTCTAGATATATCACTAACACATCATCACACCACTTACGGACACGGTCCATCTAACACTTCATATACAGGTGAAATACAATATTATGTATAGAGAGAATAAACACATATGTCATATACATATATAAAACATTATAGGCGGGGTGCGGTGGCTCATGCCTGTAATCCTAGCACTTTGGGAGGCCAAGGCGGGCAGATCACCTGAGGTCAGGAGTTGAAGACCAGCCTGGCCAATATGGTGAAACCCTGTCTCTACTAAAAATACAAAAATTAGCCAGGTGTGGTGGCACACACCTGTAATCCCAGAGGCTATAATTCTGTAATCGGGAGGCTGAGGCGGGAGAATCACTGGAACCCAGGAGGCAGAGGCTGCAGTGAGCCGACATCGGGCCACTGCACTCCAGCCTGGGTGACAGAGCAAGACCCTCTCAAAAAAAAAAAAAAAAAGCGTTATATATAGAAGTTTTTCACCTCACCCATAGTTAAGTGCCAGATGGCCCCTGGCCTTTAGCACAGTGAGGACTCCAGTTGACCAGCACGTCCAGGAGCCCCTGGAAGGGAGGGAAGGCCCCTCGGAGACTGAGGAGTTGTGAGGAAGCCGAGGCACGGGACTGCATGGAAGAGGCGCTCCGCACACAGGACACGCCATCTTCAGCAAACACCCAACAGGACAGAAAAGGAGGCAGAGGTGCCTTCCTGCCCCGGAGGCTGCCAGCCACATCTGCCACATACACTGTGAAGAGCTGAGACGCATCCTGACGTCGACAAACCAGTGGCTGAGAAAAGTGAAGAGACACCTGGAAAGTTTGAAAACAGACTGAATAGCTGCTGATACTAGAAAACTGGCTAAAAATTGTAAGTGAGATAAGGAGATTGCAGTTATGTTTTCACCTTTGAGACTGGGGAAGCAGGAGGGGCACAGGTGACTAGCCTTGAGAGATAACAGCTGAATTTGGGGTGAGTTCATTATTCTGCTGTCTCTACTTTTGTATATTTGAAATTAACTTTTAAACCCAACCTTTCTATGAGCTTGATGCTTTCCATAATAAAGATTTTTAAGCAATATTATCACTCTACAAAAGTTCCAAAAAGCTCTGAAAGTTATACAATGAAGGGCAGATTTCCTCTGCTCTCAGAGCCCCAGCTCCCAAGACCCCCCGCCAAGAGGCAGCCCCAGCCGAGCACCCATGATCAGTGCTCACCACATGCATGAGTGCACACACATGCACCCCATGTGTGCATAACTGTCATACTGTATGCATTGGTCTTTTTGCTTTTTCTCATTTTCAGACAGCCTTTTGCTGGCAACCAACCTAATAATGCTATTCTACGCCTTGCTTACCACCACTTCCCTGCAGGGCTGGGACATTAGACAGTTGACTAATGGCCGTCCTGTGTCTTGTCCACAGCTTGTCAGGATGCCCGAGAGCCACGTCAGCGATGAAGAAGGCAAAGCTTTCTGGAGAGCAGATGCTGACCATCAAACAGCGGGCCAGCAACGGTGAGCACCCCTCCAGCCCTCGTGGCACCCATGGTCAGGAAGGCCCAGCGGGCACGGCCATGCCAGCTGTGTGTCCTTTGACAGTTACAGCTCACTTTTCTTAGAAAGCAGGGGCAGAGATAATTCTGGCCCTCTCATCTATAAAGCGAAGCAACTTGAGAAAAAGCAGTCTTTCTCAAAACCGTCTCCCACCTTCACCGATTTCACTGCTCACCGGAATCATGAGCCCAAGTCCTGAGGGTCTCTCCAGCACTGGACGATTTACTCCCTGGAACCCCAGTGTGCCCACATTTCTGCCTGTGTCCCTCAGGCCCTCATCCAGGGTTTCTCCACCCAGGAGCAGCTTTGGGGCCACCCCAGGCCACAGATAACAAGGATGGCACCCCCTCCCCTGTCGCCCTCACTCTCTGCATGTCTGGTGCCTGATTTTCTTGATTCCACCTGCAAATCTGTTTTGTTCTGAGGGTCTCTCTTGTCACCAACCAGCACAGGTGTGTAGAGAGTTCTGCAGAGGAAAACTGGGGGCCTCTGGAGGAGCAGGAGAGAGGAGAGCCACTTAAGCCCTTAGAAACATCCACAGTCCACCCTCATGATCTGGGGACTCTATTTGCGAGGTCACCTCCCTGCCGAAATTAATTTGTAGACGCAGGCAATGATCTCAGTGCTTTTGTAGTTAGTCCTGTGCACTCGCAGAGCAGCTGAAGTGTCTGGTGTTCCTAAGGGCAGGGGGCTGTGATGTGCCTCACAGAGAAAACACACGCTAGCCAAGCTCCCTTCAGACAGGAGTCATGGTTGTGACTGTTGGCTGGGAGTTTCTATGTTAAGGAATCCACAGTATCTATTAAATAGGTTGTCTTTAAATGGGAGCACACATAAAACAGGTGTATTCGTGCATTCTCACACTGCTATGAAGAAATACCCGAGACTGGGTAATTTATAAAGGAAAGAGGATTAATCAACTCACAGCTCCACATGGCTGGGGAGGTCTCAGGAAACCTACAATCATGGTGCAAAGGGAAGCAAATGTGTCCTTCTTCACATGGCGGCAGGAGAGAGAAGTGCAGAGCAAAGTGGGAAAAGCCCTAATAAAACCTCCAGATCTCATGAGAACTCAGTATCAGGAACAGCATGGAGGTAACCACCCCCATGATTCAATTACCTCCCACCAGGTCCCTCCCACGACACGTGGAGGTTATGGGAACTATAATTCAAGATGAGATTTGGGTGGGGACACAGCCAAACCATATTAACAGGGTTTTTTATTGATCGATTGACAAAAATGGGACCAGAGGGTGGCAGGAGCTTGGCCCTTTGTTTCCAAAAGCAGTGATTCTGCTCTCAGCCTGTGTGCAGTAACTTTATAGCACATGGCTCCTGGGAATAATGAGATCAGCTGTAACCTGTAGCCATTGAGCAGACTGGTCCCCTTCACAGCAGAAGCCCAGCCTCCCCTTCTCAGCTTTCACTTGCAAGATGCACCCCTAATTTTGTATTTCTAAATGGAGCCTGCAAACCTCTTCAAGCACCACAAAGCACGGATGCCCTGGGCTGAAGGCTCCCAGACCTATGATGCACAGATCCACCCTACAAAGCTGAACCTGGGCAGAACCTGGCACCCTCCTGCTGTACCTTTACCAAAGGGCACCTCCTCCCCAAATCCACCAAGAGTGAGCCACACCTGAGCAGCTCCCAAGCATGCAGGCATGAAGCCCCTGGCCACAGCCACGGGGGTCTCCTCTCATCTGACTGTTATTGGTGGTCCTGAGGACAGCATGAGAGACGCCTGAACGTCCCACGTGTGTGTACCTGCAGGACTCCCTCTGCCAGCAGCCAGTACAAACTATTCCTCAACATGTGGCCCATTGTTCACCAGAAAGGTCATCAGCTTCTTGACATTGGTCCTCAAGGTCTGGGGCTCCTGGAGGCATCCTGTCCCCCAGGCTGCTCCTGTCTCCCAGGCTGCTCCTGTCAGTTTCTGCCTTCCAGAATACCCTGACCCACCCTCACAACCTCTCCCTGTGGATGCAGTCCCAAGCAGCCAGTGTAAGGACCCCGCTTTTGAGACACCAGGATAGCCAACTTTCGCTTTCTAGTTATTACGGAGCAGTGCTCCTTGCCAGAAAGAAAACATTCCCTAAGCCCCATCTGCATGCCGGGCGCTTTTCAAAATACTTAGAGGGCATTTCACCCCCGAATAACCCTGGATTAAAGTGGAAATCCTTAGACAATTGATCCGAGTCCACGTGCCTTTGTTCCCCATTAATGAAGGAAGTGGCGGTTAGGTTAGGTAGGCCAGTTCAAAACAGAAAAGGAAAGAAAATACGGAGAGAACAGATCTGCCAATCCTAGAGGAGGGGCCATTCACACCTGGGCTGGTCCACCTGGGCGGCGGTGGGCAGATCCCTGAGGTGGCCATCTCTTCATCGGTGGGCCTGAGTCGGCATTGAGGGCACTAGACATTCCTATTACTGCTGCACACAAGGAGTTAATTCACAAAAACAGGTGCTAACTCGGAGGGATAAAGATAAGCAGTTGGTCTGTGACTCTAAACTAGAGGAACCAACAACTGGGTGTCATCCCACCAGAAAGCAGCCGGGACACGGGCATTCCAGGGCCACCGTCCGCCCGCTGGGCCCAGCTGCTGCTGCTGGGCAGCCTTCAGCCAGGTCGCTGCATTTCACCCAAGTTTCTAGACACACAGTTCGTGTTGTGCTAAGTTTTAGGACAAACAGTTCCCCTTGCTGCAGATCCTAATGCACGCACGTCCATGGGTAAAAAAGAGGAGCTGCAGGTCACTGGGAGAACAGGTGGTGGAAGTGGGTCTTCCTAAGTCCAAGTGTGTGCTGATGCCTGGGGCTGTCGATTCCTGACACTGTTTGCACCAAACTGAGATAGTTCTTTCTTACCCCCAGAGCACAGTTGTGTGCCCAGGCATCATTTCCATGTCTGTGTAGCTAATCCAGGAAGGGTCCAGGGACCTTTCCTGCTGCTCATCAGGGGACAGAGGCACAGCATCCAATTCCTGCGGCTCTTCAGGGGACAGAGGCACAGCATCCAATTCCTGATGCTCTTCAGGGGACAGAGGCACAGCATCCAATTCCTGATGCTGTGGTACCATTCTTTGCATCTGAAGCTCTGTGTTCCTGTTGCCCTTGCTGTAGATGTGGAAAAGACAATCCCTCTCTTTTTTTGGACTGGGTCTCGCTCTGTCACCCAGGCTGGAGAGCAGTAGCACCATCTTGGCTTACTGCAACCTCCGCCTCCCAGGGTCAAGCGATCCTCCCACCTCAGCCTCCTGTGTAGCTGGGACTACAGATGTGCACTATCACACTCAGCTAATTTTTGTATTTTTGGTAGAGATGGGGCTTCGCCATGTTGCCCAGGCTGCTCTCAAACTCCTGAGCTCAAGCAATCCACCTCCCTCGGCCTCCCAAAGTGCTGGGATTACAGGTGTAAGCCACTATGCCTGGCCTTAAATATTTTACTATAGATGAGGTCTGACTATGTTGCCCCCTGTGTTGCTCTTGAACTCCTGAGCTCAAGCGATCTGCCCACCTCAGCCTCCCAAAGTGCTGGGATTATAGGCGTGAGCCACCATGCCCGGCCTTCTTTTCTTTCATATCCTGAGTGTAAAGCCTTTCCTGGGGTCATTTTTATACCTTCAGTGTAACAAGAGTGCGCAGCAGCTTCCCTCCATGTGAGGCCCAGACACTGTGTGGGACAGAGAAGCCACCGGAATCCACTGTGAGGCACTGACTCGGCCAAGAAGGACCCTGGCACTGGATTTTAGCGCTTTCTCTTGAGCATTTGTCTGAAAGGGAAGCAGCTATTCTAAATGTCCTTGAGGTTCCCTTCTGGCTCTAAAGTATTTTTCTTTCTTTCTTTTTTAAGTTTAGGGATGAGCCTGCTCTCATGTCTCTGCCCAACAAGGATCACCTTATTTTCTTTATCCGTGGAGTGATCTCATCACGCATTAGTACTCAGCTCTGCCTGAGCAGCCGGCGTGGCTGTTAGTGAGTCTCCCTTCAGAACCCTTTTGCAGAAGTTCACTGTATGCCTCTTAGCACCTTGGCACCTTGGCTGAAGTTGTACCATCAGTGGCTTTTTGGCGGGTAGTGGGGGCAGGGGCAGTGTTTAGGAGAGAAGGAAATAAGATAATGCTTTTTCTTTCCTTTTACTATCACAGCAGAAAGCAAGCTAGGGAAAGGAGCTCTAACCTCCATCAAGCCCTGAAAACATGAAGCGCTTTGTCAGGAACTTCACCTACTTATTTCGCTTAATATTCCTGAGAGCTCCAAACTGTGGGAACTCACGTTTCTATTCAGCTGTAAGGAAAAGGAAATTCCAGGAGGCATGGAAATTCCACCAAGCCATTAGTGAGAGTGACCAGCGCTGGCTGGGTTCACCATGGGACACTGGTCTCTCAAGAGCTACCAGGATCCTGAAGTAAATCAAAATCTTCCAGGACCACGCTATGCTAATTTGAGTAGGATTTGTTTGCTTCTTTGCTTTGGTGTCCAGTGGGTGGATTTTCTGGCTCTGAGATGCTGCTTTTTGGCTGGGCCCTCCCTGCTCAGGCCAGTTTTTTATAAAGGCAGTTTCTCCTGACAGCTTGCAGGCCAACTGGTGGAATGTATTATAAAACCCTAGTTGTGGCTGGGCGCGGTGGCTCACGCCTGTAATCCCAGCAGTTTGGGAGGCTGAGGTGGGCAGATCACCTGAGGTCAGGAGTTCAAGACCAGCCTGGCCAACATGGTGAAACCCCATCTCTACTAAAAATACCAAAAATTAGCCGGGTGTAGTGGCAGGCACGTATAATCCCAGCTACTCAGGAGGCTGAGACAGGAGAATCGTTTGAATCCGAGAGGTGGAGGTTGCAGTGAGCCAAGGTCACGCCATTGCACTCCAGCCTGGGCAACAAGAGCAAACTCCATCTCAAAACAAACAAACAACAACAACAAAAAAACCCTAGTTCCAGCCTAACCATCCACAAAGTGAGGCTCAGCTCAGAGGCCCCAGCAACCCCAGGGACTGCTTCCTGGGCCAGTCACTGCCCTGCTGCAGGGATAAGGAGAATTCCCACCCAACCCAGAGCTCTCCTCTCCCTGAGGGGGCTTCACGCCGAGGCGCACGTGCCTGGGGGCTCGCAGGATGTCCCAGGAATGTGGCTGTGGACAGCTCTACAGAATCAGTTTGCAGGCCCTCCTCTTCCACATACCCTCGTCCTACAGAATCTCATGGGCCGGGAATGCTCTGTGACCTGCCGGTTCTTCCTGGCACCGTTTCCCTGTCTCCCTCCTCCCCCTTACAAAGGAATGGCATGCTGCACAGAGCCGCAGTGGGCAGCCCCAGGACTGAGACGTTCCCAGGCTCCCACAAAGGGCTGTTGGTGACCACTTGGGCCTGAGGGTGGTCCCCCAGGACAGAGCAGAGCTATGGAAGTAATATCCACCCATCCATCACTCCCAGAACAAAATTAGAGATGAAAGGTTGTCATGGGACCCGTATCAAGACTTTTATTTGGATTTAAAATGACACTGACTTCTGTCAGAACAGTTGACCTGATCTGGCAGATCAATTAGATAACAAAGCCTGATAGGCCAGTTAGTTTGACATTTATCATGAATTCTTCAAACTAAGCATCCCAGTCCAAGGTTTTTGAAAGGCCTCTGCGAGATGGGATTCCTAGGAATGTGCTTGAGAAATTTGCCTGTGACAGCTGTAGAGGGTCGAAGCTTCACCACGTCCAGTGTTCTGAGGGCCTCCTTCACATGGAGGTGTTCTAAAGGCATTTGGATGCTTGCAGTTTAACAGAAGCTTGTGGGGAATGCTTCTGAAATGATACGTTCGTTCATAATTTAGTTGCTTTATGAATTGGGATTTTTTGCATTGGGTATTTTTATCTTGAGGGTATAACTTTTTTTTCGTTTCACTAAAAGCCGCATCTAAGGCCCAATCCCACTGATCCATCACTTTCTCTTACTCTCATCTTTCTAACGTCTTGGTAGAGAGGAGCCTCCACCTCTGTTCTGCTGATGTCAGCAGGGTTTTTGGGGTGCTCTCAGGCCTCGGCCTCTGGTTGATTGTACCCCTTCTGCCCTTCTGTCTGCAAAGCTTGAAAACAGCATCTACCCACTGGGAGTCCTAGGAGGCCTGGATACATTTTCCATTAGTTTTGAGTAAAGATCCATTGTGGTGCTGTGTGGCCAATGAGAACAGCAATCTCAAATCCTGAATTTTCTAGGGTGATTGTGTTTGCCAAACTCCTGCTCTCCTTCTGTGTACACCCAATTGTGTGAGGTCAAGTGGTCACAAATAGAGAGGAATCTCCTTCTCTTTGGCGTTGGCAGTGTAATGTTGCCAGTAACCAGACACAGCCGGCCAGGGAAGCAAGTGTCCAGAATGGCCTTTGTAAATATGGGCATCTGGGCCCTGTGCCCAGCTATGCCAGGACTGATCCAGGTGCCCCAGGGACCTCGGCAGGGCAGCAGTCACCCACCAGGGACACTCAGATGGTCAGGTACACACCTGGCCGAGGTCATCATTCTGGCAGAGTTTACAAATTGGGAATTCTGTTAGTTAGTGCATACTTTTTAATCATTCAGAATGAGATTTTTTATTTGCTAAATGTCGAATATTCAGAGAGCCCTTTTGTGGCCATCTCCCTCCGGCCAGCCCCCATGTCCCTCTCCCACTTCCCACAGCTTCCTGTCGGTGGGTAAGGTGAGGTCATCCTCAGCGTTTGCTGGACGGCATTTGTCGTTACACGTCTGTTGCCCATTTTCCGACCCAGAACCTGACCTGAGTGAGGGCGGGAGGACCTGGCCTTGTTGGTGAACGTACCTGCAGAGCCTGGCTCCAAGCCTGGGGTGTTTGCAGAATGACTGATGCAGACAGCGAGTCGAGAGAGAGAACAAAAGCAGGAGAAAACAGGCCAGGCTCAGCAAATCGGCACTCAGGACCAGGTGGTTTCTGCCTCGATACATCTAAGACCCAGGTTAACTGTCCCTGGGAGCTCGACCCTCAAAGTGCCTGGGAGTCTTCTGTGCGTCTCAATTGTTTGTTCCTTTTTGTAGGGGAACTTAGGTGGGGAAGGGGCGGTGGTAGGGAATAGAAAGACACAGAGATTGTGATGATTTTTTCCTTTCTAATTCAAGAGTCTATTTTCCAAGCAAATTCAATTACGAATATAAAAGGAACAAAGAAAGCTCCCAAAATTCTAACTCTAATATTTTTGTATATAACAGTTTTAACATACTAATATTCATTATTACAGGTATAGAAAATGATGAAGAAATCAAACAGTTAGATGAAGAAATCAAGGAGCTAAATGAATCCAATTCCCAGATGGAAGCCGATATGATTAAACTCAGAACTCAGGTAACAGTTTTTGAAGCCCTCAATTTTAGCTCTAACACGCGCCATTATACCAGAGATACATGGCATGAAATCAGCTTTTAGGAGAGCTGTCGTTTCCTCTTATTTGCTCTTTTATTTCCTTTATTTTTCCACCTTATGATATTGGTCTTCCGCAGACACCATTCCGTGGCAGTGTTCGCTGTAGCAGGGGCCGTGGTTCTCTCGTTTTCAGTCTGCATGTGTGTTTGTGTTTTTTAATAAAGTGCATTTGTGAATAGGCATTTTCAGAGGATCGCCTGTTCCTGCAAACAATGAAGGTTTTCCTTCCAAGATACTTCAGGTCCTCCTGTTATTTAATCACTATATTAAATGTATGGCGACAGCCGATGTTCCCAGAATTTAAAACAAGGAGTGCCTGCCACATAGGACTCCTGGGTGTCTGGGATTTGGGGAAGTGGCCCCAGTGACTTGCAGCTGCAGAGCCTGGGGATGGAGAGAGAGCAGTGGCAGCTGGCAGAGCAGCTGTGGTCACCTAACCCCCTCCATGCCCACAAGCAGCCCACAGGGTAAACGTCCTCAGCCTCATCTTAAACATACAGCTTCTAAGATGGAGAGGCAGCTTCCTCAGCCAAGCCGAAGCCACAGAGGCCAGGCTGGACCCTGTCTGACCATGAGCCTTGTGCCTGGCATCCCCCACCTTGCTGTGTTAGGGTCCCGCCGAAGTACACTCTGGGAGTGGAATTTATTTGCTGACCACCCGACCCTCACATTGCCCACAGGGTGAGCAGAGGTGTCCCTTCCTCTTAGAAATGAGGTCTCCATTCTGGCCCCTCCCCAGCAGGCCACGGTGTGATGAGGTTCTCGGGGGATGCTGACCAGCCTCCATGAAGGTTGCTCGGTTTGCTGGGAATGAGCCCCGAGAACTGGATGGAGATGAGGATGGTGTCACCGCCAGCCATCTACGTGATGATGCTCTCCTCCTAACACACTCCGAGGGCTCCCTTATTATCCCCGCTCTGTAAATGCAGAGGTTGAGGCTGGGGAAGGTTGAGGGCCTTTCCCATAGTCAGCCGGGTGTGGTCAACGGCTCTGCTCAACAGGTGGTTTCTACCCACTGGACACAGTTTTCCCAAGGATGGAGACATCCTCTGGGGCTGGGGCCCCACCAAGCAACCGAAAGGGATTTCCAGGCCCCCCGTGAGTACCAAGGATGAGGCCAAGGGTGGGAACTCCCCACCAGGCCATGTGGCTGCTGCCTGGGTGTTTTGATGCCAACCTACTTCCCCAGAGGGCATCACTGCCTTGATCTCACAGACCTGGTAGCCCCAGGGGCTGTGTTCAGGTCTTCCCAGAGTCTCGCATTGGCCTGGCTGGGGCTCACCCAACACAGGTTGGAATTTCCCTTAAGACTTACCTGAACGTTAGGCTTGGGGAATGGAGTAACAGCCTGTGGCATTCCTCACCCCCGGGACCAGCCGAGGCCATGGAGGCAGCATCTTGGACTGTATAGGAGACTCCATGGCTGCCAGAGCACTCAGGAGCTGCTGTTTCTGGGAGAGAGTAGGAGGTGACCAAGTCAGCAAAGATTGTTTAATTGGGACAGATCAAAAATTCACCCTTGAGTATTACTCCGTTCTCACACTGCTAATAAATACTTGAGACTGGGTAGTTTATAAAGGAAATGCGTTTAATGGACTCACAGTTCCACATGGCTGGGGAGGCCTCAGGAAATTTACAATCATGGCAGAAGGTAAAGAGGAAGCAAGGCACCTTCTTCACAAGGTGGCAGGAAGGAGAAGTGCAAGCAGAGGAAATGCCAGACACTCATAAAACCATCAGATCTTGTGAGACTCACTCACTATCATGAGGACAGCATGGGGGAACGCCCCCATGATTTAATTACCTCCACCTGGTCCTGCCCTTCACAGGTGGGAATTATAGGGATTATAATTCGAGGTGAGATTTGGGTGGGGACACAGAGCCAAACCATATCAAGTTGTATTCTGTTTATGAGGGTGACAAGCCTGAAAATCTTAATTTATTTCCTCCTTTGAATGGCACCTTTTGGGGCACTCTCTGATGAGGCAGAATGCCCTTGTCTGTCCAGGGTGTTGAGTCCATGGTCTACTGGGGCAACCCAATTCCAATAGGATGCCATTCAGGAAGGGGGTTCTTCCCACTTTCCAAAACCCCTCCTTCTGCAGTGAAGGCCTGCTGCTCCGTGGCTGTCCATGAGGGATAGACGGCAGCTCTGATGCCAGCTGTGGATGAAGTACTGGGGCTGGGGCTCAGCCGAGGGCTGAGTAGGCTTAGAGGTCATGCCGCCTGGATCTGAGCCCTAAAGAACAACGCATGTGCCTACGCAGGCTGCTTAGAGTAGGAACCCCAGGCACGCTCTGCACCTGCACGGGCGTGGCCTCCCCCTCAGGAAACACTCAGGTCTGTGTCTGTTCTCACTGGCTCCTTTGTGCCTTTATCTCTGAGATGAGTAGTTGCTCCTAACAGCATCTATTTGGACCTGATGTCAAAAATGAATGTGAAGAGTTCACATTTATTCTCACTGACTCGGCTGATGAGAGAGGTGACTTCCCAGATGTGCCCAGGGATGGACCTTCCTCTATTCTAGAAGGGATGGGAATGCGCTGAGCCGGAGTCCCCCAGCTCTGCAGCTCTCAGGGTCGGATGATGAGCTCCAGCCCAGAAGTTGTTCTGTGAGCACCAGGCCTGAGCTCAGAGACAGGCAGCTGCTGACTCAGGCAGCTTAGAGCCTGATGTTCTTTAAACAGGTTAGATCTGGAGCAAAACTTACCAGAAAACAATGTGCGCCCACAGCCAGGAGCCCTCCTTGCTGCCTGTGCCTCGGCCACTGCCCGGGGAGTATGGAGGAGGAACGTGGGGCAGGCCAGCTCTCCAGGGCATAAAGCGGCCCTGCCTGATGGCCTCGGCCTTCCTGCAGCAGCCTTCATGCCCCTTGCATTTTCCTTTAGAAGGTCCTGACTTTCCCGTGCCTCTCAGGCCCGCACACCCTCAGGGAGCATGGCCAGGAAGGGGAACTGGCCCAGACCCCGTGTTTTCTTGTCCACTCTGACCCAAGAGAAAGGCAGACTTCTCCCAGTGCGTCATGACATGTTCAAGACACACTGACACGAGGATGCAGACCTGTGCACAGAGCCCAAGCCAGAGATGACACAGGGCTGCAGGCCTGTCCCAAGCCCAAGCCATGAGATAACTGAGAAGTGGGTGCCCACGGCCTGATGTTCTCTCTGGAATGGGAGCGGAGGAAAGAACGGTAGGGTCAGTGCTCAGGCCTACAGCCCGGTGATGAGGGTCCTGCACAGGGAGAGGTCCAGATTTAAATCTGATAAAGAACAAATCCAAGAGAAGGAAAAAGGAAACTCCGTCCAAGCCTTTAAATTTCACACCTGTGCCGGATGGGGAAGACCGCCACGCCTGTGCCGGATGGAGGGAGACCGCCGCGCCTGTGCCGGATGGAGGGAGACCGCCGCGCCTGTGCCGGAGAAGAGGGAGACCGCCGCGCCTGTGCCGGATGGAGGGAGACCGCCGCGCCTGTGCCGGATGGAGGGAGACCGCCGCGCCTGTGCCGGAGAAGAGGGAGACCGCCGCGCCTGTGCCGGATGGAGGGAGACCGCCGCGCCTGTGCCGGAGAAGGGGGAGACCGCCGCGCCTGTGCCGGATGGGGGGAGACCGCCGCGCCTGTGCCGGATGGGGGGAGACCGCCGCGCCTGTGCCGGAGAAGGGGGAGACCGCCGCGCCTGTGCCGGAGAAGGGGGAGACCGCCGCGCCTGTGCCGGAGAAGGGGGAGACCGCCGCGCCTGTGCCGGATGGGGGGAGACCGCCGCGCCTGTGCCGGATGCAGGAAAGGCCTCTCCTGCCACTCTCTGCGGAAGGGGTTGCTTGTTACCTCTCAAGCCCAGGAGTGTTCTTACTAAAACTTGGAAAGGTATTTTTCACTGTTCAGTTGTAAGAATTCAAATTAGGACAAACGCAATTTTATTTAATTGAGAAGATGAGGTTTCCAATTTGGAATGTGTTTAAATGCTATTTGAGGTCCAATTAGTGCGACCAACACAATTCCTATGTGGCTGAAAAATCCATTCTTATGCTTGGCAGCTTGAAAAGAAGAGTCTGCGTCGGGGTCTTCACCTCACACAAACGCAATCAGAAGTCCGGGCCCCTGGCCGGGCACAGTGGCTCACGCCTGTAATCCCAGCACTTTGGGAGGCCGAGGCGGGCAGATCACGAGGTCAGGAAATCGAGACCATCCTGGCTAACACGGTGAAACCCCGTCTCTACTAAAAATACAAAAAAGCCTAGCGTGGTGGCGGGCGCCTGTAGTCCCAGGTACTCGGGAGGCTGAGGCAGGAGAATGGCGTGAACCCAGGAGGTGGAGCTTGCAGAGAGCCAAGATCGCGCCATGGGCGGGAAAAGAAAAAAAAAGAAGTCCGGACACCGGTCCCTTCCCAGTCTCTAATGCAGGCTTCCTCTGGGGGTGGCCCAGCACCAGCAGAACGGCCGAGGTGCCTGTGGGGTCTGCGTTTCCCCAACCCCATTCAACTGGATTCAGTGTGGCCTCAGCTTCAAGGGCTGAAGCACCCAAGCTGGACACACCCAAGCCTTGGTTCTGGACTCCACGATTCCCCAGACGCATCTCATCCGATTCAACTCAGTTCACACCAGAGCCCGGAGCAGAGACAAGAAAAGCTTGCCCTCGGCCCCAGGGGACACCCAGAAGTTGCTTGTTATCAGAATCCGGAAAAAAACAAAACTGCCGCTGAGGAGGAGAGAGCAGGGGACTCAAGTGCAGGGCACGGCCTGGGCAAGCGGCATTTGTGTGAACCACATGAGTGCTGAGAGCCGGAGTTCGAGACCCCACCGTGGGGGCCTGGAGCAAGGAGCCCGAGGAGAGACGGCGGGAGTCCTGCAGACACGGGAGGTGGAGGAGGGAAAGGAGCACTCCAGGCACAGGAAACAGCAGGAGCAGAAGGAGGATGGCTCGGAGCCGGCTGGGAGGCTGGGATGCTGCCCCCCGTGGCCCAAACAGCAGGCATTTGTCAGGGAGGTGGGGATGGGGGTATTTGAGTATAAAAGGGAGCTCGTGTTTTCAGGACAGGCTATTCACAAGAAACCCCCCAGCTCCTGGTGCGAGGGCCCAGATGGACCAGAGTGAACAGCCCTGTGCAGCTTGACTTCTAAGATTGGCAGGTCAGTTAATCCCACAGCCTGCACCACTTTCAGAAGATGGCTGTTCTCCCTGGGGCTAAGCCTCTCTGTGATCCAGCCTCCCTGGTCAGCACGGGCATGGGCAGGAGGCAGTCCTCCCTGCACGAGGACACTTTCCTTGGGGTTACACCCTTCCACCACCCCACTGCTAACGCCTTGGGATTCCCACCCATTTTACACTTCTTCCGGAAATGTTTTCTAAACACATCACGCCATCAAGGTACTTAGTCTAGACCAGGGATTGGCAAACATTTTCTATAAAGGACCAGATGGCAAATATTTTAGGCTTCTGGACCACGCAGCTGTGTTGCAGTGTGACAGCCTCAAAACACGTGTGAGTGTGACCCTGTTTCAACACAGCGTCACGTGGTGCTGCAGTCGGAATTTAATAGCTCTTATATGTTACAAAATGCTGTTATTCTTTTGTTTTTGTTTTTTTTCTTACCACTAAAAAATGCAAACGCCATTCTTAGCTTAGTCTTAGCTTTCAATGTCAGGCCCCAGGCTAGATTTGACCTTTCTCTACTCCAGGTGTGGTCAGAGACTGCGCAATCTAAGAAACGCTGAGGTCTGGAAAGACAGAGGGTGTGGACAAGTCTGTAAAAATGCGGGTTTGGGCCTAGACTGGCCATCAGGCTGCTGCTGATGCAGGAACTTTCTTGGGAAGATCCGGGAATGCACTGCTTCCTAGCAGCCTGAAAAACCTTTGATGTTTCTTAAACAATCAAAAACAGAACCCACCTTCGTCAGAGGGCTCCCTGCTTTACCACAGGCAACTCGATGTTTCTGGAAATGCAGACTCAGGTCCGCCAGCGCACATCATTGATGACGGCCGAGGTGGCCGGCCCAGCTCCCAGCCAGGCCCCCACACCCACTCGCGACACAGGCCCCTCCCTGCGTAAGCACCTGTGATCAGGGATGCCTTCTGAGTGCCAGGAACCATGTACTGTGGCTGCTGTGGGTTGGGTTTGGAAGGGAGACACCGGCCTCTGTGCCCCTCCCCAGCCTGCTCAGCCCCATCCTCGGAGGAGGCCTGGCGTATGAGGGCCTGGGCGGAGCCCCTACATCACCTTTCTCAGCAGTGCTGTCTCCCATGACCGCCGCAGCGTGCTGGCCAGCTCCAAGACGTTCTGAGAGGGCTCCCCTTTACTCTGGGCCCCTAAGGCTGGGTCAGAGGCCCCAGGAATAACAAATGTCTTCTCACTGCAAACATGCCTCACATCTCAGTGTGAGTTGATGTTGTGGGCAAGGAGCATTACTCCCATTTTCCAGAAAAAGAGCCCACAGTTTGTCTGGCTAGGATAGTAAGGAACGGGCAGCAGTGACCCTGAGACACTCAGCTTCTTGCCACCCTGGAGGAAGGCTCAGGGAAGCAAACGTGTGTCCACGTGCAAGAAGCCCGGGGCCCTTCGTGTGTGGGCTGGAGATGCAGGAGATTCAGGGGCCACGGGGGATGCACTTGAGGGAGGTGAGGCTGCAAGACCTGGCAGATACCCGTCGGTTCTGGTTTTGGGTCTCCAGACATTCTCTCTGACCCTGGACGGGGCTCACCAAGCAGCCTGGTTCAGGAGATTATCATTTTGGCCAGGGCTTTGATGGGATGTTTGTTCAAACTGCATATTTTGTTCCACAGCTAAGCAGATTTAACACAATGAGATTTGTTCCATTTTGAGAAAAGCAAAGCATTTATAAGCATGGGAGCCCCGCCACCCCCATCCCAGCCACAGACCCGGGTAGCACGGGAAGGAACAGCCTAACTCCTGAGTCTCACAGAGATTCCTGAACATAGGAAGATATCTCTGCCTCTGCAGAAGGGGCTAGACTTTCCAGCAGAGAACATAAGTTGAAGGAGGAATGGATCTAAAATGTGTCCCCAAGAATTTTGCTGGGGACAATGAGACAGGGTGCCGCCCCTGCCTTGGTCACCCCACAGGCTGCTTCTCCGCTAAGCCGGGGGAGCAGTTGGACTTCCGTTTACTCTGGGCCCCTAAGACCAGATCACAGGCCCCAGGAATAACAAATGTCTTCTCACTGCAGACACACTGCACAGCTCAGTGTGAGTTCATAATGCAAGGAGCATTATTCCCATTTTCCAGAAAAAGAGCCCACACTTTGCCTGGCTAGGATAGTGGAATAGCCAGAAGCACCTCTGAGATGCTCAACCAGAGGCGAGCTGGGCTGGGCTCATCCAGGAGGGCCCGCTGAGGGCCAGCGATGGCGAGGCCTCTGCAGGGTTCCCTGAGCACAGACAGGAGGGGCCGAGGGGCCTGTAGCAGCCACCGTCTAGGAAAGCCACCAGATGCAAAGGGCAGGAGCCGCCCTCTGCTCAGGGAAACTGCAGAGGTGCCCATCCTGCTGCTGGCCTTCCCCCTGCGTGTACCTTTTTAAAAACCTCGGGACCTGGGCCATGACGCCTCATTCTAGATTAGATTCCGTCATAGAAAACCTACGTCTGCTTACACTGACATCATCTCTAGTAAGGTCCCAGCCACAGCTGCCACCAGCTGTGAGTGCAGGCACGTGGCCACCCAGGAAGGGCTACAGAACGCTCTGGAAGACAAGCACCGGGCACGCAGCCCTTCGAGGCCCACCCAGGAGTCGTGGGAGGGCAGGCATCCACTCCTGAGCCTGCAAGGGGGCGGCTGGGAGGGGAACATTAATTTGATAAATAACCCCAAAGAACACGAATGAGAAGGTCACCCAGGACGTGCATGGAAATAAATCTGTGTGATTTCAGTGTGTTCTCCACAGGGGACCGTCCCTGCAGGAATGGTGGGGGCTGCGATTCCTTCCAAGGAGAAGGCCGGCCCTCCCCACTTCATCCTGGAGGGCGCCTCTGAGGTGCTTCAGTTTTCTAACAGAGGGTCTGGGCCTGAGGCTGGTGACTGGGAGAACCCGGGATTTGACCCAGTACAGCCAAGGGAGGGCCAGAACATAGGAGAAGGCAGGGCCGACAGGGAGAGGAGGAGAGACTCTCGTGAGAGGACTTAGGAATGACACGTCAGGGAAGGAGAGGAGCGGGCAGGCCAGGCAAGCCAGCCCTGGACTCTGCGGGTCGGCCCGGTCTTCCAGGAAGAAGCCCCAGATCATGCACGGCAGAGGCACCCTTGGGTGCCCAAGGCAGACACCCCCATGGGCAGGGCAGCTCCCCGCCTGCTGCGTGTGAAGCTAGTCCTGTGCGGTTATAGGCAGAGGCCCTGAACTCAAGCCCCTTGACCTTGGTGATACTTAAATTATCTCTGGAATATGCGAGGAAGGGTCCGTGGTGGGCCTTTTTCCTTAGAGAAATGCAGGAAGACCACCCTGTGGGCACAGTGCCAGCCTGGTGCCATCTGAAGACACAGTGACACCTCCACACAGAAATGAGCATTGGAGGACTTAGCTGTGGCAGAATTTTATTCAGGCTAGAAAGGAGAAGTATTCGCATCAAGCCCCCTACACACTGCAGTCCCATCAGGCCGGCTGAGAGAACAGGATCGCGCAGGGAAACAGTCTCAGCTCCCCAGTTGTCAAGTGCAATGAATCCAAAGCATAGGCAGCAGGTCCTTCAATGACAAGCTATCACCACGGAAGCCTTTTTCTTTTCCTTTTTTTTTTTTTTTTTGTGAGACGGAATCTCGGTCTGTCACCCAGGCTGGAGTGCAATGGTGTGATCTCAGCTCACTGCAACCTCCGCCTCTCGGGTTCAAGCTATTCTCATGTCTCAGTCTCCCGAGTAGCTGGGATTACAGGCGCACGCCACCACGCCCAGCTAATTTTTGTATTTTTAGTAGAGACAGGGTTTAACCACGTTGGCCAGGCTGGTCTTGAATTCCTGACCTCAAGTGACCTGCCTGTCTTGGCCTCCCAAAATGCTGGGATTCCAGGCGTGAGCCACGGCGCCCGGCCCGAAGCCTTTCTCCTTCAGCGAGAGGCCCCTTCTTCGCACCCAGTAGACTGTGGCCCCCGGCAACGACCACGCGCTCCTAGGTCCTCCTGGTGTTACATGTCACGCACACTTGTGCGTTTCAGATTACCACGATGGAGAGCAACCTGAAGACCATCGAAGAGGAGAACAAAGTGATTGAGCAGCAGAACGAGTCTCTCCTCCACGAGCTGGCGAACCTGAGCCAGTCTCTGATCCACAGCCTGGCTAACATCCAGCTGCCGCACATGGTAAGTGACTGAGCACGCAAGGCAGGAATGTGGAGTCCTCCACAGCGCACAGCCTAAAGTAGATGCCGTTTTTATCGTTATTTTCATGGTTCTTCAGCCTTTGGCAAATGTTTGTGGTTACCACCCCGAAACCATACCATTAACTGCTAGAAACATGGGCGGGGCTGACCCCAGAAACTTAAGTGTGCTCTGAGCCGGCCTTTGAAATAGTATAAAACCAGGGGCACTATGCTATGATACTATTTTATGCTTTTGTAAATATACTATTAAGAAAATAAAAGTTGTATATGAACTACTATTTAATATCTCGTAGGATCCAATCAATGAACAAAATTTTGATGCTTACGTGACTACTTTGACGGAAATGTATACAAATCAAGATCGTTATCAGAGTCCAGAAAATAAAGCCCTACTGGAAAATATAAAGCAGGCTGTGAGAGGAATTCAGGTCTGAACAGCTGCTGTAGTGATGAAACTCTTGCTTAAAAAGGATGCCTCTTGTTTTTTGCTGCTGTAACTTACCAGAAAGTGTTCTATATTTATTTCTGTTTGAATTTGAAACAGTGTTATGCTTACAAGACTTCATAATGATTTTATGTCTTGCTTTAAAGATAGTACCTGCAGAATAGTTTTTGAATACACCCACATTTTGTACGTTTCCATGTAAGCTGACATAGTGTTCTGCCATGTAATGTTTATAGCTGCTGATGTATGCACATTTGGGGGTATATCTATTTCTGAAGAGGTAAGCTGATCAAAATAAATAGAGTGTAAATTCTTTTTAATGCTTTAGTGATTAAATGTTTTAGTATTTTGAACTGAAATGGACACACAAACACACACACGCACACACAGACCCACAGCTTTGAATGATCATGTTGTGGCTGAGCAGCCGCTTTTTAGACGTTATCATTTTGCCTCATGTTGGAGGACTTTATGGAATTTAAGAAATACATTTTGTGTGCATATTGTTTCATAGCAAGAATTCGTTGCAAAAATGCTTTATTTTTGAACAATGCTTGGAAATATTATGTGACTTTTTTGTTTGTTTGTTTTAGGAGGATGGTGTATGGTGGGGGCAATAAATGAGGTTTTTTGCATTCCAAGGAAATGGCATATGGATTAACTGTAAGAAATGAAATAAGTAATTTATTGTAAGACAACATCAAGCCATGGAAACTTGGCAGAAGATTCAAAGCAGCTTAAACAGCACTTTTAAATTAACTCCTAAGCGTTACATGGTTGTGACTATGGAAACTCCAGTTAAGACAGGATCTTATCAGAGGTGGACAACGTGAAGATTTCCTTTTCCATTTTCAATAAACTTTGGAACAACCTTCTCGTATCTCCCCTAGAGTTTCGTGCCCCTCTGAACTGTCTGTTATTGCAATGTAGTTTATCAACAGAATTTGTGTGTTTTCGATTTAAGCTAAAAGATAATTTAAGAACATTTATTTCCCCTTTTCACTTTAAAAAATTATGATTATTCCTATTATTGTTATGAACCTTCTTATTTTACATTTGAGGGATAAAGGCAAATGATTTGTGAGTCTTCTAGTTACTGGACCGAGTTTTCTGCTGGATCTGGTGGGAAGGCAGCTCGGTAAAGTTTCCCTCCTGCTCCCCCCGCCCGACTTTGACTCTGAATCAGCATTTGGTCCTATTCAGAGGACTCTTACCACGACGTTTCTGTTCTACACTTGGGTGGAGACCAGTTGACCATAGAGCATTTGCAGAGCCTCATTGTTTGATTTCTTGTGACTATTCTAAGAATGAATGCAATCAGATTTTAAAAGTAACTAAATATACTTCAGCACTTTTTTGCTTTAAACTAGATCATCTTAGACTTGTTTATACCTTCCAGATTTGATTGTTTTACTCCCAATGACTGCACTATATGTATGCATAAGACCACTTTTGAGCGCTGTGTTCCCCCTTCTGAGTAGTCCTTTGACGACGTGTTGTGTTTTCTGATGTTGACTTGAGTTCCATTTAGTAGCATCTCTTCCTTCCATGTCTTGATGTTATGCAGGAAGTACAGACGTACTTTAAATTTTTGTTATGAAATAAAAAAAAGATGGGTTTTGTAAAAATAAAAAAAAAATATTTTTAGCAGAACAGGACTTACAGGGTCATTGTCCCCACAATGTGCCAGTCGACTATTTGCACTTACCTTGTCCTATATATCCGTACGGAGGTGTGCAATTCCTCGTGTCAGTAGCCTTGTGACACTGAACCTGGATGGATTATAGAGGAGCCCTCACGGCTGATCAATAATGTTGCAAAGGGAGACTACAGGGATCTCACGACGAATATTCTGATACAATACTCAACCTCGGTATATATATATGTGTATAAATATATGTATATCCCAGCGGCACTTTATACTGTTCACTGTACAAAAGCTTACAGTTTTCCACAAGGACTTTAATAACTAGCTGGGAAAAGACGATGTAATTATTTCGGGGCTCTGCGGAACCTTCTCTGTACAGCGCCCCCTTTCTGTTGTGCTATTGGTTGCAGCTGCCATGCTCAGAATGCGTTTTGAGAGCTGAAGCAAGGTGCTTGCAGTCACCTGAGGCCGTCCGTGTGGCCCAGGGCCCCAGCTGCCTTTAGGGCCCCCATTGTTCATAACAGCATATGCATTTCCCCACCGCGTTGTGTCTGCAGCTTCTTTGCCAATATAGTAATGCTTTTAGTAGAGTACTAGATAGTATCAGTTTTGGATTCTTATTGTTATCACCTATGTACAATGGAAAGGGATTTTAAGCACAAACCTGCTGCTCATCTAACGTTGGTACATAATCTCAAATCAAAAGTTATCTGTGACTATTATATAGGGATCACAAAAGTGTCACATATTAGAATGCTGACCTTTCATATGGATTATTGTGAGTCATCAGAGTTTATTATAACTTATTGTTCATATTCATTTCTAAGTTAATTTAAGTAATCATTTATTAAGACAGAATTTTGTATAAACTATTTATTGTGCTCTCTGTGGAACTGAAGTTTGATTTATTTTTGTACTACACGGCATGGGTTTGTTGACACTTTAATTTTGCTATAAATGTGTGGAATCACAAGTTGCTGTGATACTTCATTTTTAAATTGTGAACTTTGTACAAATTTTGTCATGCTGGATGTTAACACATCTTACTCTAAATAAACAAGGTGTTGCCACATTTGTAGCACGAAGGATCTCTAACCCGGGTCTGCGTCTTCACTTGAGTCTGGGAAATGCTGTCTGGGGTCCCGTGGGATCCACTCGAACCCTTTCACTCCAACTTAGTTGCTTTTAACATTTTTACCAGTTTGATTCTCAACTCCGAGGCATATAGAAGTCAATGACTTTTAGAAAACTATGTGAGTGTCTCGGCATCCCCACTGGGCCGTCCTTTTCCCATTTGCTGTCGCTCCTGCCCCTCGCTGGGCTAGGCCATCTGAGAGCGAGCCTGGACGGAGGACACGGTGCCTCCCAGCACAGGGCTCCCCTGGGCAGGGAATTCTCCACCAGCAGCCCTGCAGCCACCACACTTGGGGGCATTGCCGTTGTGCATGCGTCAGCATCTCAGCGCGCCCAGGCAGGGCGGTCACGTCCTTTGTAGAGCCTTTCTTCTGGAATCCAGTCGAGGAGGCGCGCTGCTCCCAGCTGGTCCATCCCTGTCCCTGTCCCTGTCCCTGTCACCTCCTTATTACTGAGCAGACTCTCAGCCTGCCTGTCTCCCAGAGGAGGTGCACTGCTCCCAGCTGCTCCGTCCCTGTCCCTGTTCCTGTCCCTGTCACCTCTTATTACTGAGCAGTTTCTCGGCCTGCCTGTCTCCCAGAACACAGACAGTTTTCAACTGCCCAGGGCCATTGTTTTACAAAATGTCCCAAACTGGCTGCCACCTCCTGACTGATTCGGGTTAACTGGGAGACGTGTCCTTCTCCAGTTTCACGTCAGGGGAGCAGAAGGACAGGCAGCCCATCGTTGGTTACCTGGGTGTTGAAAGATGATGCCTTCTTACTTCCATGCTGTTGGCAAGGATCCCGGCAGCAAGTCACCCATAAACTTAAATTGCCCTTCAAATATAATTTAACAATGAATTACCCACTTTCACATCAACTATATTAGTTAATGTCATGGTTTAAAATTCCAAAAATACCCTCCTCTCATAGACACAATCACCCAAAATATAAAATTTGAGAAAGGGACTCTGATAATCTTAGTTAAATTTCATAATTTATTCCCAGTGGTGCCTTCAGCTGCTTCACGATTCAAGGTCCTCTGAGCACTTCTTATAAGCTAGTGTGTTCGGATGGCTCATTTGCAACAGCACTGCTTCCTGGAAGCACTGGTGATTGCAGTGAGTCCCCCTCCAGTCCTTGGTAGAGTCCTCAGAGCTGACAGAAGAGAGAGGCGACTCTCACTCCTACCACCCTGCATCTCTGTCTCTCTAGACCCGCAGGGTGGAAGAAGCTCTGTCAAAGGCTGTCTTTAGGAACAAGCCGAGTTAATGATGTGCTGGCTCAGGCCTGTCTGTTAGGATTATTAAAAGCTATTTGTCCATAGGAACAGTTTGCCTGAGAATTGATGTAAATATTTTAGAAAGCAATTTCACAATATTTTCAAAAATCTTAGAAAATTTATATTTTGCCTCAATCTCAGTCTATACTAGAAATACCAAAACAATTACAAATGTACCAAAATCAATAAAAACAACCCTAAAGTCCTATTACAGAGGAATGATTAAGCAATTCATGATCCATGAATTTTATGGAGTACTAGAGAGCTCTTAAAATAATGGCTATAAAAACCTTGTAATAAGGGGATTATGATAAAGTAGATGAAGAGTACAGAAAAAAATTACAAATGCATGAAGGGGCATTTGTTATCAACAAAAAGAGTTGGACTCTGTAAAATATTTGAAGAGATTTATTCTGAGCCAAATATGAGTGGCCATGGTCCACGACACAGCCCTCAGGAGGTGCTGAGAACATGTGCCCAAGGTGGTCAGGGCACAGATTGATTTTATACATTTTAGGGAGGCATGAGACATCAATCAAATACATTTAAGAAATACTTTGGTTTGGTCCAGAAAGGTGGGACAACTCAAAGTGGGGGCTTCCAGGCTATCGGTGAATTTAAACATTTTCTGGTTGACAATTGGTTGAGTTTGTCTAAAGACCTGGGATTGATAGAAAGGGAATGTTCAGGTTAAGATAAAGACTGTGGAAACCAAAGTTCTTGTGAAGTCTTATAGTGGCTCCCCTTAGAGACAATAGATGACTAATGTTTCCTATCAGATTTTATTTTTTTTATTTATTTATTTTTTTGAGACGGAGTCTCACATTATTGCCCAGGCTGGAGTGCAATGGCACAATCTCGGCTCACTGCAGCCTCCGCCTTCTGGGTTCACGCAATTATCCTGCCTCAGCCTCCCAAGTAGCTGGGATTACAGGTGCACACCATCACATCGGCTAATTTTTTGTATTTTTAGTAGAGACGGGCTTTCACCACGTTGGCCAGACTGATCGTGAACTCCTGACCTTGTGATCCTCCCACCTCAGCCTCCCAAAGTGCTGAGATTGGCACGTGAGCCACCTCGCCCGGCCTTCCTATTCGGATCTTAGTTAATCTCTTCAGGATTGAGAAGGCCTGGAAGAAAAAGATCCAGTTATGTTAACAGAGATTCTTTACAGATGCAAAATTTCCCCCTACAAAGAACAGCTTTGCAGGGCCATTTCAAAATATGGCAAAGATACATGTTTTGGGGTAAAATATTTTGATTTTCTTCCTTGTCTTGTAATGTTATGCCAGAGTCAGGTTGGAAAAGTAAGTCATGATATACAGGTTAAATAAAACCCATCTGATGAGAATTTATAGTTTGCAGGGCGTGACTCCCCAGACCCCTTCAATAGGAATTTGGGCAAGATAAAAAAAATCAGAGTTTAGTCCTCAGCCTTAGCAAAATAAACTTCTGAATTGGTTGAGACCTGTCTCAGATACTTACTGGTTTACACAACACAGCTGGGTAATGAGGCAGAGCTCAGGGTCTTAAGGGAGAAGCAATTTAAGTACATGAAGATAATCAGGCTTTCATCCTTTGTATTTCACTTACTATGACACACACAAGTTATCAGTCACTGTTCAGACACTGGGTCAAGTGGGAAACGACACAAAGAAAACATCCCATCCTAATAAATGTAGTTGGCATAGACCTCCTTGTATAATAATAAAACAGGCACATGGCAGCCCCTGAGCACCCTCATTTTCAGTATCAAATAGAGTGGCCTAAGGGGAAGCCTCACTGTTGGTCCTAATGAGGCCTCCCCTGTGTGAGGCCAAATGTGGGGCATGCTGGACTTTCCTCTGGATGGAGTCACCTCTGGTCTCTGACCCCATCCTTGCATCCTAGTTTCTTCTCATCCTCTTCTTGCTTTTTAATTAAATGAGTTTTTTCTTTCTAGAGCATTGTTTGTGTCCCTTCAGTTTCTTCGAATCTTCGTTGAGCAAGGTAAGATAAGGAAATAAAGAAGGATCAGTATTACCCACAAACACAGGGATGTGTGTGCAGATGGCCAGATAAAGGTGGGAAATTAATCAGAGAAGGAAAGAAGAGGGAGGGGCCGGTGATGGAATCAGGAAATTGAGAATTCCATCTTAGGGCCCGAAAGAGAGATAATCGAAGGTAAATCATGGCTTCAATACTTAGGGCCCAACAACTGTCCCCGCCTTCCACCACAGCTTTGTTTTCTGGCCGAATGCGGTGGGTGCCCGGCCTTCCTTAGGATCCGTCCCTCCCCTCGGAGGCCAGCAGCCTTGCCCAGCAACAGCAGAGAACCATGCTCTTTCCACAGGCCGCCAACAAAACATGTGAAGCATCTGATAAAAACCATGAGCGATCATAGCGTTTCCCTTTTCTAAGGAACAAATTGTTTCCTTCTCATGTGTGAGATACAAACAGCAGGCATTCAACTCATTTGCCCTCTTTGATATGTGGGGAACAAAACCACCCAAGACCGTCTGGGGAGAGAGCCAGAGACATGCCATCGTTAAACATCTCGTATGGGTCAGCCCCAAGCGAGGTGTCTTACACAGTTATCCCCACAGAAGGGGCCTCCTGACACCTGAACAGCATCCGCCCCAGGACCCAGCTTTGTCAGGTATGTCTGACGGCGGAGGCCTTTCCCCACGACCCAGCTTTGTCAGGCATGTCTGACAGCAGAGGTGTTCCTGAGAAGTGTCTCACCGCAATGAGACGGGTCATGGAGAAGCCCAATCCTCTCCTCATCTTTTCCCAAAGAGAGAATCTCTGCCCCTCTACCCAGGAGGGGACCCTGTTGGAGTGAACAGGATTCTGTCTCCCTCCTATACTAGGAGTGACCTCTTTAAAGAGAGATGTGGCCTAAGAGTATTAGAATCCAAATAAGATGTCACCTATCCAGAAAAGAAGGTTTAAAAAGAATACGGCGTTGTCATGTCCCAAGATCTTCAGAACTTAGGAGCTAGTTTAAAGTTATTTACATAGAATTTAGTGCAGAGGTTAATCGGGGGATATAGAAGTCTAGATGGAGGTTACTGACTTTACAAAGAAACTGAAAAATTGAGGTTGTGACACTACCTTAAAATGAGATCATAATTCAGGCACCATGTGTCTCCCCCCAGACGGTTTACAAAACCTCATCAAGCTGGGAAGGCCACCCTCAAAATTACTCGGGAGCCTCAAATTGTTTCCTTAGTAGGGTGTAAATAAGCAAAGACTGCCCAAATGACAACAGACAGAGGCTGCTTATCCCGAGCTCCTCAGAGTTAGGAAGCCGACCACCATCACCTGCATTTTCGCAGAGACTCCGGCAGGCTGGGCGTGGGAGCTTCCCGGGGAAGGGAAGGCACCCGGTGAGCCCCGATGGAGGCTGCTGGCCTGGGAGCTGGGGCGGCAAATGGAATCGGGGCGTCCCGTGTGAGTGTCGGGGGAGCACGTTTGTCTTTCTCCGTCTGTCCTCAATGGGACGTCAGGGCAGAAGTCGGGGCAGCTGTGAGTTGTTAAGCTCTGACCAGCTGGGGCTGATTGTTACGGCACTGTTGCTCAGCTTTCTGGATCGTCACTAGGGACAGCGATCAGGACTCCTGCACGTCTGATTTGCAGATAGCAGGCGGGCATCCTGGGCTGCTCCTTGCCGGTAAGGGCTTGGTTTCCTGTGCTGGTTGTGGGTCTGATGTCTGCTTTTACATGTGGTCGGTCCATTGTCCGCTTGTATTTTCATCTCTCAGTCGTAGGCATCTTTCAACGTTGCAAAAATTAGAATGAAGAAATAAAGCATTTTCTGTGTTAGAATTAGGCATATTTAGCATTTTAAGAATTGAAATATTTAAGAGAATCTGATCAATTAAAGTGATGCCTCAGCCGTGAGACTAAAATTTCAATTGTGTATTTTTGTTATTGGTGTAATTGTGATCCCTCCACGCGTGCACCCAGGCTCATTAAAAAAAACACAGCCCCGCTGCTTATCAGCTTTACTGTCAAAAAAAAAATACAAGGATGCAACAGACAGTGGAGCTTTTAGGGGAATGTGAGCACGTCGCACTTGTAAAATCTGTGTGGAAGCTTTAATGATGTTCAGTTCACCACTTCGTGGACGGGACCGAAGGTTAATCAAAGGAACCCTAAATCTCGATTGCTCACACCTGTCGTATTTAAATAAAAGAACACTTTTGTAAGTTGAGCTTTTAAAAGCTTAAGGAAAGTCTGGGTACTATGGCTCATGTCTATAATCCCAGCACTGTGGGAGGCCGAGGCGGGAGATCACCTGAGGTCAGGAGTTCGAGACCAGCCTGGCCAACATGGTGAAACCCCATCTCTACTAAAAATACAAAAATTAGCTGGCTGTGGTGGCTCACGCCTGTAATCTCAGCTACTCAGGAGGCTGAGGCTAGAGAATTGCTTGAGCTAGGGAGGCAGAGGTTGCAGTGAGCCGAGATCATGCCACTGCACTCCTGCCTGGCTGACAGAGGGAGGCTCTGTCTCCAAAAAAAAAAAAAAAATTTTTTTTGAGCAAGGCCTCAAAGAAAGCGAAGCGTGGATTATCTTATTCTCACCTCCTCGGTGCTGGGAAAGACCTGCCTTGACCGAAGTCCGCTCAGACTCCTTAGGCTTTACCTAAGCATTGTCCTCGCCCAGCTGTGGCAAAAATATTATGTTGGTTTAGAGAGAACCCCCACCCTCCACACCTGACCCCCTCCGTAGCTAACTGGGTTCCTCATCTCTCCCCATCCCCAGGTGACACCCGATCCTCCTGCGGCCTTCAGCAAGAGTCCTGTGTGCTGTGAGACCTTTCCTCACTCATCATAAGGTTGCGACCTGGCTGACGCTCCTAGAATGAAACGCAGGTTAACAAGAGAAAAACACAACGCATTTCTTTAATCCAAGTTTTATGTAGCCCCTGAGGCTTCCAAAGGAAGACCCAAAGACCAAGGGGAAACTGAGATTCTGCTCAGACCCCATGAAGATGGGCGGCCATGCAGAAACACGATGGGACAAAGGGAGAGATCGCCCAGCAGGGGCCCCAGCAAGGCCGCTCCGTCCATGTTCCTCTCAGCCTCTCTGGGTAGCACGCTGTGGGGGCTCGGGAATCGATACCCCAAAATGTGGGGCTTTGACGTGTTGAACTGAAGAAACAGCCTCTCCAGGTCTCTCTGATCACCCTCCTCATGTCCCATCTGAATCCCCTGCGTCCCAAAGCACAGGGTGAAGCTGCTCTCTGAGTCTGAACCCACCAAAGAAGGAAACGGTCACCCCTGTCTCTTCCCTGAGTTTTTCTCAGCTGGATTCCTGTCACAGAAAGAAAGACCAAAGTCTCAATCCACCTGGACAGACATGTGTCATAAGCCATTGTCTGCTCTGTGGGCCCAACAGACATTGCCTCAGATCACTGTATATTCTCCAAGCCCATTGAATTTCCTAAAGGGCATTTACTACCCGCTAAACTCATCCACACGCCCCATCTCCCTTTCCCCTAAAAGGGCGGGTGTATCAGCGTCTGTCCCATCACATGGTGAGGCGGCCACTTCCTCACCCCGTGCATGTTCCTATCTGCGTGCCTTTACTCTTATTAATCGTCCTTTCACCAGTAGACTTTTAGCAAACCTTCAGAGGGTAAAAAGGGGGTTTTCCCTTGGCCCCTACAGTTTCTTCCTTCTGTCTACGGGACAGGACCCTTCTGGAATGAGTGTCTTGAAGGGAGAAGGGAGAGAGTGACCTTTCCAGGCTTTTTGGCTTGCTTTTGGGGAGGGGGCCTCTAGTTTCTAGGACCGGCCTAGGGGCATAGGAATTCCAGTTTCTACGACTGCTTTAGGGGAGGCTGAGGAGTGAGAGAGGAGAATGAGAGACCACAGCCTAGCGTCAGAGCCTTTCAGCATCCTGCAACTCAAAGAACACCACAGCCAAGGCGTGTACCTTGGGGTATCATGCTCTGAGCCCCAACATCTGCAAAGGTAGGTGTCATTATCTCCTTAGTGCACCACAGGAAACCAGCTGAGAAAGCCAAATGCTTTGTCCCAAGTCACCGGGCAGGTGTGTGGCAGTGCAGAGAGCCCAGTCTGAGCCCCCTGCACCCTGAGAGCTGCCCCCAGATGAAGAGCCCAGGGGAGCATCTGAGCTCCCTCCAATGCACCACTTCCTTCCGTGAGACATCGGCCCATGCGCGTGAAGGGGACAGGAGGCAGGCGGTCCTGTGGGTGACTCATGGGAAGAACAGCACTGTGACCGCAGCAAGCTTGCAGCTCTCAAAAAAATAAAGAACAAAGGAAAGAAAATTAAAAGTTAGGGCTGAAGGGGGAGCTGGAACTAACATCAGAGGCTTTAAGTGTCTGCCACTGGGCTAGAAGGTGAGGTGGCCCCTCCCTGTGTGACATGGAGCCCAGGACAGGCTCTCCCTGTGTGGGAACTCGTGCAGAGCCTGCGGTCCCCATTCACGGCCCCGCAGGAGCTCACCAGGAGAGACTGCAGCAGCTCATCAGAGTCTGCGCTCTCCTCCTGGGGCAGGTGGGGCTCCAGTTCCCGCACCCCTTCTCCTCAGGTGGAGCCTAAATAGAGCAGTCAGATATCAATCAGGTAACGGCAAACTGGTTTCTAGCTAATGGAACGTTAAGTGGGCAGGACTGCAGTGGAGGGGAGAAAAAAATAAAATCCTTTTCCTCTACCCATCACAGTTTCCACAGCTGCGGCCTTGTAAACTAGACTTGCAAGAAACAGGTTAACATGAGAAAAACAGAAGTTTATTCACACGTGCCTCTCACAGGTACCTACAGCAGCACCCAGTGTTGAGAGTGCCGGGGTGGGTAGGACTAGTGCTTATCCATCATCTCAGACCCAAACAAAGGAAAGGAGTTTTGAGCTTCTGGGTGCAGTTGGCAAATTACAGGAAAGTGAGCAGGGAAAGCAGGTAGGCCAGCCTCTGCTGGTCAGCCTCTGCTGGTGAGCCTCTGCTGGTGAGCCTCTGCTGGTGAGGCTGTGCTGGTGAGGCTCTGCTGGTGAGTCTCTGCTGGTGAGTCTCTGTTGGTGAGGCTCTGCTGGTGAGTCTCTGCTGGTGAGGCTCTGCTGGTGAGTCTCTGCTGGTGAGTCTCTGCTGGTGAGGCTCTGCTGGTGAGTCTCTGCTGGTGATGCTCTGCTGGTGAGTCTCTGCTGGTGAGTCTCTGCTGGTGAGGCTCTGCTGGTGAGTCTCTGCTGGTGATGCTCTGCTGGTGAGGCTCTGCTGGTGAGTCTCTGTTGGTGAGGCTCTGCTGGTGAGGCTCTGCTGGTGAGGCTCTGCTGGTGAGTCTCTGCTGGTGAGTCTCTGCTGGTGAGGCTCTGCTGGTGAGTCTCTGCTGGTGATGCTCTGCTGGTGAGGCTCTGCTGGTGAGTCTCTGTTGGTGAGGCTCTGCTGGTGAGTCTCTGCTGGTGAGGCTCTGCTGGTGAGGCTCTGCTGGTGGTGCTCTGCTGTTGATGCTCTGCTGGTGAGTCTCTGCTGGTGAGGCTCTGCTGGTGAGGCTCTGCTGGTGAGCCTCTGCTGGTGATGCTCTGCTAGTGGTGCTCTGCTGGTGAGGCTCTGCTGGTGAGCCTCTGCTGGTGATGCTCTGCTAGTGGTGCTCTGCTGGTGAGGCTCTGCTGGTGAGTCTCTGTTGGTGAGGCTCTGCTGGTGAGTCTCTGCTGGTGATGCTCTGCTGGTGAGGCTCTGCTGGTGAGTCTCTGCTAGTGATGCTCTGCTGGTGAGTCTCTGTTGGTGAGGCTCTGCTGGTGAGTCTCTGCTGGTGGTGCTCTGCTGGTGAGGCTCTGCTGGTGAGTCTCTGCTGGTGAGTCTCTGCTGGTGAGGCTCTGCTGGTGATGCTCTGCTGGTGAGGCTCTGCTGGTGATGCTCTGCTGGTGAGGCTCTGCTGGTGATGCTCTGCTGCTGAGGCTCTGCTGGTGAGGCTCTGCTGGAGAGTCTCTGCTGGTGATGCTCTGCTGGTGAGTCTCTGCTGGTGATGCTCTGCTGGTGAGTGTCTGCTGGTGATGATCTGCTGGGGATGCTCTGCTGGTGAGTCTCTGCTGGTGAGTCTCTGCTGGTGAGGCTCTGCTGGTGAGTCTCTGCTGGTGAGGCTCTGCTGGTGAGGCTCTGCTGGTGAGGCTCTGCTGGTGATGCTGTGCTGGTGATGCTCTGCTGGTGAGGCTGTGCTGGTGAGGCTGTGCTGGTGAGGCTCTGCTGGTGAGGCTCTGCTGGTGATGCTGTGCTGGTGATGCTCTGCTGGTGAGGCTGTGCTGGTGAGGCTCTGCTGGTGAGGCTCTGCTGGTGATGCTGTGCTGGTGAGGCTCTGCTGGTGAGGCTCTGCTGGTGAGGCTGGCCTGCTGATTCAAACCTGGCTTACTCCCCAGTAGGAATTGCTGAGACTTCTGCTCTTCCTAGTGCAGAAGAGGGAGACATCTTTGACAAATGTAAATTTCCTTCCCAAAAGGAAAACTTGTTCCTGTTTTTAGAGCTTTTTCTGAATCTACTGTGAGGAAAGAAAGTAACTTTTATCTAAGGAATGTGAACCCTTTCAAATTCTTAGGCCCAGAGAGGCTCAAATGAGACAGCAATCAGGACCCAGCACTGCCCTGAGCTGTGTGTCCACCTCTTGAAACCGCTCTCTGTTGCCACAGTAGCCTCCTTACGCCCCAGCAGACACTGTAACCCCTGCCTATAGCTTACCAATGTATCCGCAATCGCTAATCAATGCTATTGCTGCAAACCAATGAGAATTGCTGCAAACCACTTTCCACCAGCCCTTTTCTGTCCCCCTGCTTTTGCTTTTAAAAACCTGCCTATACCATTTAGCATTAGGTATATCTCCTAATGCTATCCCTCCCCACTCCCCCCACCCCACCAACATGTTGTAACAAACCTGCACGTTGTGCACATGTACCCTAAAACTTAAAATATAATAATAACAAAATATAATAATAATAAAATTAAAAAAAAAAAAACCTCCCTATACCAAAGGTGAATGGATCTCCTGGCCAAACCCAGCCAGGTTTGCCTGGGGCTCAGTCCTGAGCATCCCGCCAGGGTTGCCTGGGGCTGAGTACTGAGTGTCTGACCAGGGTTGCCTGGGGCTGAGTCTTCTAGGCTGCTGTCCTTGCTTTGGCTCAGATCAACTCTTTAAATCACATTTTGTGCTTCTGCCTTTTCCTTCCTTTTAGGTCGACAGCTCGTTCACAATGTCCTTTAGCTCAAAATGATCTAGCAAAAGTAGAATACAGAAGTGGCTAAATCTCATGTGCCCCCTTGTTTGTCTTGTGTGTAGAAGGATCTTGACTCCCTGGGTTCCCATTAGGGCAAGTTTAAAATTGGAGCCAATATGCAAATGTCTGTGAAGCTGAAAGAAAGGTCGTTAAAGGACCAGAGACCTCAAAGATGAATTCCCTCCTGCTCATCACAAGAGCGTTCCCTCTGCTGCCACCCTGCCCGTCTTGGTGACATCTGCAACTTCTAACTCTCTTGTGTATGTGGGTCTGACCCTCCCAATTCTAGATGCTCGGAATCTGAGAGCAGATGCCTTAGGAGAATTATACAGAGACAGCAGAGTTTTCACTTTAGAAAAGGCACTCGATATTTGTTAAAAGAGTAAACTTTGGAAAGCTGAAATGACAGTTAAATGCATTGTTAAAAGGAAAACCTTAGCCAAATTAAATTTAACAGAGTTTAATTGAGCAATGGATGATTGGTGAGTCGGGCAGCCTCTTGAGCTAGAGAAGGCTCAGAGACTCCAGCACTCAGCCATGAAGTGGAAGATTTAGGGACACCAAAAGGAAAGTGACAGACAGAAAATGGAGATAACAGCCGGACTGGTTGTGGCTCGGCATTTGCCTTATTTGAACAAGGTTTGAGCAGCTGGCCTCCTCTGATGAGCCAAAACTTGGTGACTGGCATAAGAGTAGGTTACAGCGTACAGAGAAAGGAAGCTCTAGGCTGAACTTAATTTAACAGGAACTCGCAGTCATTTTATCCTCCAAAGTGCTAGATTTTAGTCTCTCAGGAGTGACAGAACACATTGATAACTGGAAGCAAAGCAGATGGAAAACGGTCTACGGAAGAGGTGTTGTCAAGCAAAAGTACCAGAACTTGCCACCCCAAAATAGGCCCATTTGGCATAAAGATGATTTTGAGCTGAAGGACATTGAGAATGAGCAGATGCAGGGAAAACTCTAAAAACAGGGCAAAAGCTTTCCTTTTGTGAGGACAAGTCACCTTTGTAAAAGGTGTCTCTGTCTCCTGTACGAGGACTCTTAAAGTTAGGTCATTCAAGAACCAGAGACCTCAAAGGTGAATTCCCTCCTGTTCTTCACAAGACAGTTTCTGCTCTTGTCAATGGAGAAGGCCAGGCCTCTGTCTGCACAGCAGCCCCGCCCAACAGCTCTCGTTCACACACAGCACTTCTTCTGATCACCTCCTCATAACTTGCCTCCTCCACCCAGAAGCCCTCAACCCTTCTCCTTTGCTGGTATTTAAACTCAGGCTCTGAACACCCCTGGCAAGCACTCATCTCTGGGGGCTCCCCTGTGGAAGCAGAGGCTATAATCTTTGGTTTGCTTTCTCCTAGTAGTCTGCTTTTGCCTGGTCTCACTTGTGTGGTCCAAGCTGGAGAACCTGAGATAAATAGAGACAAAATATTTTTCTTCCCCTGAACTACAGAGAAGATTCTGAGAAGTTTCCCAGGTTTCTAATTGACAACTTTTGGCAGTTTTCTGTCTAACATTAGCTGTTGGTGTGGCTCTTTACCTTTTTAATAAAATCATCTGAAAAAGCAAAAAGTGAAATAGTTTTCCTCAGTATGCCAAGAGAGTTATTGAATACAGAAAACTAATTTGAGCTATAGTTACTAAAAAATAAATTCAATACCTTGATAAAGGCTATTAAAATTAAAACCAATTAAAGGCCGGGTGCCGTGGCTCATGCCGTAATCCCAGTGCTTTGGGAGGGTGGGGTGGGCGGATCACAAGGTCAGGAGTTCAAGACCAGCCTGGCCAATATGGTGAAACCCCACCTCTACTGAAAATATAAAAATTAACCGGACATGGTGGCAGGCGCCTGTAGTCCCAGCTACTCAGGAGGCTGACGCAGGAGAATCTCTTGAACCCAGGAGGTGAAGTTTGCAGTGAGCCGAGATCGCACCACTGCACGCCAGCCTGGGCGACAGAGCGAGGCTCCGTCTCAGAAAAATAAATACATTAATTAATGAATTAAAAATTAATAGTGGTGACTGACAGTATGTCACTTTGTATCTTTAAAAAATAGACACACTCCCAAAAAGTTTGTAACTCGTATTGTAACTGATACTTTCAGTACAAAACGTAATGACAGTAATTCCTACGGAAGGAATTCTGACTGATAGATGATAAACATGTATGAACTTAGGAAACTTGTTTAGATCATATTTAAAGAAATATTGGCTGCATGCGGTGGCTCATGCCGGTAATCCCAGCACTTTGGGAGGCCAAGATGGGTGGATCACCTGAGGTCAGGAGTTTGAGACCAGCCTGGCCAGCATGGTGAAATCCCATCTCTACCAAAAATATGAAAATTAGCCAGGCGTGGTGGTGCATACCTGTAATCCCAACTACTCAGGAGGCTGAGGCAGAAGAATTGCTTGAACCCGGTGGGTGGAGCTTGCAGTGAGCCGAGATCGTGCCACTGCACTCCAGCCTAGGCGACAGAGCGAGACTCCGTCTCAAAAAAAAAAAAAAGAAATATTGATATAGCCATCCTGAATTCTACCCTTAGACATTCTGTTGTCTACAGAGTCGTTTTTCAGGACACGTTCACTTCTGGTGAGTGTGAGTCCATCTTTCTGGAGGTCATTGCAAAGAAGGCAGCCGGGGGAAAGACCACAGGAGCCAAGAAATCAAAGGCCAAGTGGAGGCAGACGCACAGGTCTGGGACTCAGCCTTGGAGGTGAAGCTATTTCTGGATGGGACCGGACATCAGCCCTAAAGAGGGGTGCTGGGTTCCTGTTGGAGCTGGGCAGTGGGGATTGGACATTTGGGTAGAGCACTGTCAGAGGTGTTCAACCCAGAGCGACTCCATCCTGAGTAGGGGCTGGTGAAATGAGGCTGAGACCTACAGGGCTGCATTCCCAGGAGGTGAGGCATTCTCAGTCACGGGAGGAGCTAGGAGGTCGGCAGGACTGGTTTCACAAGATGCAGGTCACAAAGACCCCACTGATAAGACAGGATTGGGGAAAGTAGCCAGCCAAAATCCACCAAAACCAAGATGGCCACAAAAGTGACCTCTGATTGTCCTCACTGCTTATTATAAGCAAATTATAATGCATTAGCATGCAAAAAAAAAACGCCACCAGCACCATGACTGGCTAATTTTCATATTTTTGGTAGAGATGGGATTTCACCATGCTGGCCAGGCTGGTCTCAAACTCCTGACCTCAGGTGATCCACCCACCTTGGCCTCCCAAAGTGCTGGGATTACAGGCATGAGCCACCGCATGCAGCCAATATTTCTTTAAATATGATCTAAACAAGTTTACAGATGCCAGGGCAATGTCTGGAAGTTACCCTATAGGGTCTGAAAAGGGGAGGAACTCTCAGAGCCGGGAATTCCCTGCCCCTTTTCTAGAAAATTCATGAATTATGCACCCCTTGTTTAGCATGTGATCAAGAAATAGCCATAAACATAGCCAGCAGGCAGCCCTCAGGCCCGCTCTGTCTGTGGAGTAGCCATTCTTTGCTTGTTTACTTCTCTAATAAACTTGCTCCACTTCATGGGCTCGCCCCAAATTCTTACTTGCAAGAGATCCAAGAACCCTCTCTTGGGGTCTGGATCCAAACTCCTTTCCAGTAACAACACCACACACAAAAAGGGATGACTTCCTATGGTAGCTCTTAGTAAGAGATGTGTCAAATGCCCCTGATACACTCTTTCTCAACATCTTACATCAATTTCATTGTAGCAACTATTGAAAATATAAGGTCTTCCAGTTGTCCCATATTGTTTTCTATAGTGTTCTTCAAACATGTTACAGTAAATTAAGGTGGTCCTTAAGAATTGGAGGAGACAATGAGGTCAATCGACAAAAGAATCTAAAGTACCACCACCACTGTAACACAGAAGTCTGAATGCAAGAAAGTTGCCACAGTCAAAATGGAGTCAGTGATGTCAAGAAAACCCTAACAAATAGAGCCAGGCAAGGCCATGAGGAGAGGGTGCCCTTGCATGAATGCCTGAACACAAAAAGTATCACAAAAGCCTGCAAAAACCACAGCTGCACACAAAGGCCATTGCAACTGGACACAAGAAACACTTCTGCAAGGATGTCTGCCCACCAACTACCTGGCCAACCTCAGACAGGTGTGTCACCCTTGTCATATATCTTTGTAGGGAAAAAAAAAAACCAGAAAACTTTAGACAAATTAAATTTAACAGTTTCACTGAGTAAAGAGCGGTTCTCAAATCGGGTAGGGACCAGGACAGGCTCAGAGAAACTTGGACACTGCCGGGTGGTCAGAGAAGATTTATGGACAGAAAAAGCCATGTGAGGAACAGAAAACGGAATCAGGCACAGAAACAGCCACATTGGTGACAGCTCGGCATTTGCCTTACTGGGACATGGTTTGAACGTTTGGTTGCCTGGAATTGCCCAAAGCTCGGTAGGGGCAGAAGAGCAGGTGTCTGTTTACACACCCAGCTACTGTGCACAGAGAACCCTTTAAGCTGAGTTTACAATAGGTAAGGCAGCAGTTTCACACTCAACGCAACGTAAGGGCAGCCAAGGGTAATTACCCCGACAAGTATGTAATCCTCCTCCTTTTTTCCTTTAAAAACCTTTGTCCTCCTTTTCCTCCCTGAACATGCACAGAGTTTACTATGGTGTGTGCACTCCCATAGCAATGCTTTATTTCCAGATAAATCTCTTTTCTTTCAGAGAACCTCTCTGTTTGTTTTTATGTTTGTTTTTAGGGTGACAAGTGACAGGAAGGGCTGGGAAATTTGGTACCTTGGCCCTCAGGCAGCATTTGGAAGAGGGCCACCATTTTCTCACATTTACTCAGATCAGTAAATTAAATTTTCTGTTGGAAATATTGATGTTACAATTAAAAATGTATACTTTCTTCTTCTAGGCAGAATAATCATTGTTCCTGAATTTTGAGAGTTGACAGTGATCTCATATGCAGAATATCTATACCCAATAATGAACACTTTTCCCTTTCATTTGACTGTGGACAACATGAAAAAGCTCCTTAAGTACAATAACGCTCAGATGACACAATTTCATTCCTGATTTGAGGGTTGCATTGCAATGTGGAAAAACACTTGGTATAAATAATAAACCATTTGGATTTTTTTTCTCACTTTAACAGAAGTATGTTCCTGGTCCTAGCAGCAACAAAGACAACGAAGAAGCTGATGGGTTGGCCTCAGAAGGATCTAGAGCATCAGGTGACGAATCTTTGCAGGTGTTGCCTGCCCTCCTGGAGGCCGCCCTGCTGGCGCTAACTTCTGGGGACTCTTCCCACTCTCCTGGGCGTCTCTATGCAATGCCTTCGCACCCTGATCTCTTTCCACATGTTTCCAGCGTTGTTATGAGCAGCTTAGCCAGTTACAAAGTACATGAGGCTTCTTGTTGGATGTTCATGGCTGGAGGGTCCCTGGGCCATTCAGCTTAGAGCCTCCACTTGCCTGTTGCTTGTGAATTACGTGTCATTATTTGCTGTAGTGCTCAAAATATGTCCTGGAATTTAATGAACTGTTGGTTCAAAAATGTTCTTAAATGCTTTAGGCTTATCTGATGGAAAGTTGGAAGGATTAGCCTGCAGTCACATTTTTAAAATTCTTTCAGCGCAGCCCAAGCAGAGGGTCCCTTCGCTCTTCAGGCCTGGAAAGTCGTCCTTCAGTCTGGACTTGAATCTTGATCTCGTATTTTCTGATGAAGGGCAGGGTTCAGTTTCTGAGCCCCACCTGATGCTTCCTCTCCTCTCAGCTTTGGTCCTCCGGTTGGAGAGATGGCCTCCAGCCCTTGTCCTTAATGCAGCCTCCACTTCCTGGTGCAAATTGTGTACCAGGCAAGCTCTTCCTGAGACCTGCCACTCATCGAATAATTGGCAAATTGCATTTTTTTTTAACTTAGGATATGCTTATGTGGATTTAAGAGCAGAGTGGCAATGGGCCAATGGAAAAGGGCACTGGCCTCCTGAGGCTTAGAGGGGCTGCTCTGACAAGCAGTGCTGCTCTCCAGGAGAAGCTCTGAGAGTTAAGCCCACAGGCCTCTGTTCATTTATAACATTGCTTGGCACAGTAAGAAATCCCAGTGTAAGGAACTGGAAGCTGGGAGCTCAGTTGTGTTTGTGAATCCACTGCTGGGTGCCCTCGTTCTGGTGTGCTCTGGGTAGAGATGGGCCCAGCCTTGGGGTCCTGAAACAATCAGGGCTAATGGCCACTCTGAGGGCAAGCCTGAAAAAGCAAGGCTTAAGGAGCAAGCAGAGAAACCCCACTGTGAGACATGCTAACTGCTGCAGAAATGGCCTGGAACGTGGATCCTTGGGCTGATCTGATGAGAGGCCAATACAAATTTGATGAAACACTGACACATAAGAGCCCAGGAGCCTGACACTCACAGAGGCTGGGGGCCAGCCATTCACTTAGGCCTCTTTACATGCACTGCCCTTGGCTCCAACGTCAGGCCCTTGGGATCCTGGTGACACCGAGCACCCCTCTGTCAGGTGCCCTCTATGGTCCCCACTTGTGGTTCATCCCAGAACATTCCTCAGGGGCAGCAAGAAGGGAGGGTCCAGTGCATTCCACCCAAGACCAGAGTTCCACCAGTACAAGGGAGGGTCTAGTGTGTTCCACCCAATACCAGAGTTGTACCCAGTGCTAGGGAGGGTCCAGTGCATTCCACCTGAGACCAGAGTTCCACTGCTGCTGTAGAAAGGACCAGAGGCAGGAGGTGCCTCGTGTGAACAGTGGCCACCCTCTTCCTGCAGATTCTATCCAGGGGCCTCTGGGGTGCAGCCTGGGAACATGCACCCTAACCAGCTCCCAGTGCCAGGACAAATACAGTGAGAGGCTGCATTCTTATTACTGAAGATAAGATCCTTCCTCTTTCCCTTTCCCTACAGATATTCTTTCTTTCTTTCTTTTTCTAATGTATGTAAATCTGTTTAATGGCTACAGAAGCCTCTGGCCAGATTCAGGTATCCAGAAAGTTTTCTCAAGGACCCAAGAGCCATCTCCTTGAAAAGTCACCACCAAGGAAGACCACGTCCCTCTCCCTGTTTTCCGGGAGGAGGAGGGCCCAGCTTGTCCCCTGACTCCAAACTGCACAACCTCTGACCCCAGCTGTGGGAAAATGAGAGACTTCTTTCTGTCTTTGCCGTCTGCTCTTGGTTGCTGCTGCTGCTTTCCGCACTTTGGCTGAATGAGTTTTCTGAAACTCAGTTGTTGCCGTTCCCTTCCACATTTGTGGAGAGGTTTGTGAGGCGTGGGTTGGGAGGAGGTGTGTTTCCCGTGACACCTCGCCAACTCGAACTTTAGCACCTTAGCTAGAAGCCCCTATGGTGATGCCAAGCCTGGCCTGGCGCTGCGTCTGTGTGTGTGAGCCCATTAGATGAATTCATGGGGGCCTCCATGGTGATGCCAAGCCTGGCCTGGCACTGCGTCTGTGCTTGTGAACCCATTAGATGTACTCACAGGGTGCTCTGGTACTGTTGGGGCTTCAGTTCACTCGGACCCCACATGGCTCCCTCCCGGTCACACACATCACACAGAGACACAGAGATTAGGGAACCAGCCTCACAGCGCCCAGCTTTGAGTGGTGGATGCAGGATCTGACCTGGCACCCTCCCCCTAAGCAGCTGTGGTCACTGTGACCGCAGCCTCAGTGAGTAGCGTGGCCACCCCAGCCCTGCCTCTGGGACCTCCGGGGCTGAGCGGCGGCTGCCGTCCGAGACCCCCACCAGGCCACCTTCACCAGCACCTTGTCCTCATTGGAACGACTTTGGGCCTCAGACTTGAACTTGAGATGCCCAAAGAAATCTCACTTGTTCGAACTCCACACCAGGTGTCTACCCGCCTCTCCCACCTATTCCTCGAGACCAGGCCCCACAGCCTTCCCCTCTGCCTGGCCTCCTGAGGTGCTGGTTTCCTAGAACATTCTAGCCAGAAGGGCATGCTCACTTCCCCCAGTGGTTTCCAGAGGGGGCTGGGGAGTCTGGGCAGAGGGGAAGAAGAGGGGCCTGGACGGTGGGACACCCAGGCCCCACGCACAAGTGCAAATAAGAAAAATGTGCACTCTCATAAATACAGAATAGAAAAAAATGGTATTCTTGATGTGTGCCTTTCATGTTTTAAAAATTTTGCTTGAATTTATTCACCAATTTTTCTACATTGACCACTCATTCCTGTTCTGGGGAAAAATATTCATAAGCATTGATTTCAAAGGACAGGAAGCTCTGGCCTTGTCTGTACATGAGTGACAGCCATGATCGCTTTAGGGTTGCAGGAGCCCAGACCCAACTCCCACCTGCATACTCTCCAAGAGGGTGGGAAAGCGTGGTCCCCTCTGGCTTTCTTGACAGAAGAAACTGGGTTTGCGGGCAGCAGAGGTGGAAGGAAAGAGCCTGGCAGCGAGTGAGGAGAGTTGTTTCCTCAGCCATTCCCAGCCCTGGCTGTGTTCAGATGCTCAGGGATTAACCCTCACCTCAAAGACACACGCAAGAGCTCGCCCACTTCTCCTGGTCAGACCCACCCAAGAGACACACATCTCACTGGACGGGGTTTCTAGAAGCACAGCTGTTTCCCGCTGTGGCTCTCCAGCGTAGTACCCACCTTACATGAACTATTTCCCTATGGACGTGGGCAAGGTCCACCTTGGGCACCTGGGACTAAGAAGAGGATCACCACCAGGGGGCAGCATCTCACCAGGCACTCACCTGAGCTCTCCTGAGCAGGCCTTTTAGCAGAGAAAGAGCCAGGGTTGCAGCTTCCAAGTCAACCTCGGGAGGGTCAGGAGTCCCACGTGTTTAGCATTGGGGTTTTAAGAGGGAAAGTAGAATAAATTCCTCTGGGCATCTCAACAAATCAGCCCAAGCCAACCAGGTTTTGTAAGAGCAGTCGTGTGAAACATCAACGAAGATTAGGTTAGAATTAATGCAGGTATGAACTTCAGCTCAAAATAATGTAATATTTTAATAGTTTTTTCCCCATTTATTTCTTGGCCCTCAAATCTAGAACCTTTAACTCCCTTTAGGACTCCCAGTGCTATTGATTTCCAACTCCAGTTAGCCAAGATCCCTCACGGGAAGCAACAGAAGCGCCAATCTTTGCCTCAAAATCCACGAAGGGAGATTGGATATGTGCCCAAGGATGTCATGCTGACACAAAACCCCATTTTGGGAGCCTGTAAAAGAGCGAGGATGGGGATTCCTCAGGTTCAGTGGAAATGGAAATGGGGTTCATGGATGGGTCCTGAGTCTTTTTCTTTTTTGAGACAAGGTTTTGCTCTGTCACCCAGGCTGGCTTACGGCAGCGTGATCATAGTTCACTGCAGCCTCTACCTCCTGGGCTCAAGCAGTCCTCCTTCCTCAGCCTCTCAAGTAGCTGAGACCACAGGTGCACACACTGTGCCTAGCTAATTATTATTATTATTAATTATTACTATTTTGAGACGGAGTCTTTCTCTGTCACCCAGGCTGGAGTGCAGTGGCATGATCTCAGCTCACTCAAGCTCCACCTCCCAGGTTCACGCCATTCTCCTGCCTCAGCCTCCTGAGTAGCTGGGACTACAGGCCCCCGCCACCACATCTGGCTAATTTTTTTGTATTTTTAGTAGAGACGGGGTTTCACCGTGTTAGCCAGGATGGTCTTGATCTCCTGACCTCGTGATCCGCCCGCCTCGGCCTCCCAAAGTGCTGGGATTACAGGCGTGAGCCACCGAGCCCGGCCATGCCTAGCTAATTTTTTAACTGTTTTGTAGAGATGGGGTCTCACTCCGTCACCCAGGCTGGAGGGCAATGGCACAGTTTCATAGCTCACTGCAGCCTCAGCCTCCTAGTCTCAAGCAATCCTTCTGCCTCAGCCTTCTGAGTAGCTGGGAGCACAGGTGTGCACCTCCATGCTCAGTTAATTTGTTTTTAAATTTTATGTAGAGGCAGGGTCCCATTATGCTGCCCAGGCTGGTCTGGAACTCCTGACCTCAAGCAATCCTCCCACCCTGGCCTCCCAAAGTGCTAGAATTACAGGTGTGAGCCACTGTGCCCGCCCACCCTGGGCCTTGAAGAATGGGTAGAGCTGCAGAGGGAGCAGCATGAAATAGGAGCATGTCAGCGGTGCTGGCAGATCAGTCACCCAAACTCAAGCCCTCCTGGAAGGGGAAGCAGGCCCAGGCTGTGGAACCGCGGAGAGCCGGATTTGAATCTAGGCACCGCCATTTACCAGCTGCGCCACCTTGGAAGGCTGGTCAACTTTCTCTGGGTTTCCATTTACGTCGTGTGCCAAACACAGGTCATTAGACACGCACAAGGATCATCGAAGAGATTGCCAAATAAGCTCCCTACGCTCTACTCACACCAGCTGCTCACACGGGGACAGCCGTGTGCAAGATACTAAAGGGGGCGCTTAGAAGAGGAGCTCAAAGGTGGCCTGGCGTCAGGGGCTGGAGGGCCTTTGACAGAGGCCGGGACTGAGGCTACAGCATCATCGGAGCGCTGGCCTTGGAAAGAGTGAGTGGTTGCGGATTGGACGGGCTTCTGGAGTGAGTGGCCGTGGATTGGATGGGATGCTGGAGGCAGGGAGGCCAGTCAGGACGCTCTTTTGATACCAAATTGTTTCTCCTCTTACCTGTAAAAAAAAAAAAAAAAAAGTCACCTCCCCCACCTCCCTCTACCCCCACCCCACACTTACTGACTCCGATTTTTTAGGAGAGGGGCTTGGGAAATGCTTTTAACAAACATCCACAGAAAGTCATTCTTACGATTTTTTAGTACATTTGAGAAATACTGCAGAGACGATACAGAGGAAGGAGGTGTGAGTTAACTCAAGCCTGGTGGTGTGGAGAGGCAGAGGGAGGGCCAGGGTGAATAAGAAGGAAGCAGGTGCGGCGGCTTAGTGGTAAGTGCTGGGGGACCAGCACCTGGGAGGCCGCACCAGCCCCACGGAGGGCGTGGGGGGTGGGGCGGGCTCGGACTCTGGGGATCCGGTGCGGCACGTGCCTGCAGGTCCGCCTGAGGCTGGGCCCCACCACAAGTCACACTGTAAGCATCGGCTCTCCAGGGTGGCCCACGGCCCCAGGTAAAGAAAGACGCTCTTATTAGTCAAGACATTCTGAGGGCCGGCCGAGAGGTCACCTCCCAGGAGCAGAGGGCAAAAGCCAGGCCTCCTGCAGGCCCAGCTCCCTAGAAAATCTGCATGACGGGCTCAGCTGGTTTTTCCCCCAGGCAGTGAGACAGAGGAACTCTCCTGTAAGTGAAAGGAAAGGGGTCCCTGGGGCACTGGCCGGTCTGAGACTCAACCCATCCCCCTGGGGCACAGCTGACCCAGAGATGCCTACCTGGTCGGGGGCCGGGACCCCTCTGGGCCATCCCCCATGTGCTCGGCTGTTCTGAGAGCCAGTCCAGGGGACAAGGTGGCAGCCAGGGCAGGAGGGCAGAAGGGCAGGATGGAGTGTGGGGAGGGTCAGCAGCCCATGAGGCAGGGTGGACACCCAAGTCTCTCCCTGCCGTCCCTCCTCAGCGAGCTGCCTGGGCTCAGGCCACTGCGGGCTAAGCCCCTGGCCCCTGCCTGACCCAGACCCTGCCTGATCTGAGCGGGGGGTCCATCCCAGAGTGTCCAGAGCTCAGCAGGGGGACTGGGGGAGAGGCCCCGAAGAGAGGCGCTGCCTGGCTGCTGCACAGCGGGACGGTCTGGGTGGTGGAGGTAGGGAGCTAGAGAAGGAATAAGCTCAGTGGTTAGGTGCACCCCAAATGGCTAAAATACGACAAACAGAAGTGGGACAGAGCCTCAGCAAAGGCTGGGTATCCCCTTCCCTCCAGCAGCCTGTGGTCTCTGCCTGCACCTGCTCCTCTGGGAGCAGCCCACCTGACCTTGAACACCCTGTGGGAAGAGCTGACTTCCAGACAGGCTGGAGGCGCATTCCCTGTGGCTGCTGTAACAAAGAGCTGCAAACTACAGCCTTCAACTACAGGGTTCAGAAGCCTGCAGTCCAAGGTAGGGCTTGGGCGTGCCCTGCTCCCTCTGCAGGCTGGGGAGAATGCTTCCTCCAGGACCTCTTCAGCGGCCTTGTGGCTGGGGATCCCACAGACCCCTGGCCAGGCCTCTGCCTCGGCCTCTCATGGCCTTGGCCTCTGCATCTCTGCCTTCCGTCTTTTCAAAAGGACTCTAGTCACTGGGTTCAGGTCCCGGGGTTCTCTGGTACGAGTTCATCTTGACTACATCTGCAGCAGCCCCGTGTTCCAGCGAGGTCTCACTCCCAGGTATCAGAGGATAGGGCTCTGTGAAAGGAAAACATCTCAGGACCCCAGAATCATAGGCTAAAGGGAAAAGTCAGGCTGGGAACTGCTTAGAGCAAAGCTGCCTCCTGTTCTATTCATGGTCCCCCCTCTGCTCACTGAGATACATGCATATCTGATTGCCTCCTTTGGACAGGCTCATCAGAAACCCAAAAGAATGCAACCACTTTTCTTTTATCTACCTATGACCTGGAAGGCCCTCCCCTGCTTCCAGTTGTCCCACCTTTCTGGACTGAACCAATGTTCACCTTTTTTTAAATTATTATTATTATACTTTAAGTTCTAGGGTGCATGTGCACAACATGCAGGTTTGTTACATATGTATACATGTGCCATGTTGGTTTGCTGCACCCGTTAACTCATCATTTACATTAGGTATATCTCCTAATGTTATCCCTTCCCACTCCCCTTACCCCATGACAGGCCCTGGTGTGTGATGTTCCCCAACATGTGTCCAAGTGTTCTCATTGTTCAATTCCCACCTATGAGTGAGAACATGCTGTTTGGTTTTCTGTCCTTGCGATAGTTTGCTCAGAATGATGATTTCCATCTTCATCCATGTCCTTACAAAGACATGAACTCGTCCTTTTTTATGGCTGCATAGTATTCCATGGTGTATATGTGCCACATTTTCTTAATCCAATCTATCATTGATGGACATTTGGGTTGGTTCCAAGTCTTTGCTATTGTGAATAGTGCCACAATAAACATATGTGTGCATGTGTCTTTATAGCAGCATGATTTATAATCCTTTGGATATATACCCAATAATGGGATGGCTGGGTCAAATGGTATTTCTAGTTCTAGATCCTTGAGGAATCGCCACACTGTCTTCCACAATTGTTGAACTAGTTTACAGTGCCATCAACAGTGTAGTGTTCCTATTTCTCCACATCCTCTCCAGCACCTCTTGTTTCCTGACTTCTTAATGATCAACATTTTAACTGATGCGAGATGGTATCTCATTGTGGTTTTGGTTTGCATTTCTCTAATGACCAGTGATGAGGAGCATTTTTTCATGTGTCTGTTGGCTGCATAAATGTCTTCTTTTGAGAAGTGTCTGTTCATATCCTTTGCCCACTTTTTGATGAGGTTGTTTGATTTTTTTCTTGTAAATTTCTTTAAGTTCTTTGTAGATTCTGGATATTAGCCCTTTGTCAGATGAGGAGGTTGCGAAAATTTTCTCCCATTTTGTAGGTTGCCTGTTCACTCTGATGATAGTTTCTTTTGCTGTGCAGAAGCTCTTTAGTTTAATTAGATCCCATTTGTCAATTTTGGCTTTTGTTGCCATTGCTTTTGGTGTTTTAGTCATGAAGTCCTTGCCCATGCCTATGTCCTGAATGGTATTGCCTAGGTTTTCTTCTAGGGTTTTTATGGTTTTATGTCTAACATTTAAGTCTTTAATCCATCTTGAATTAATTTTTGTATAAGGTGTAAGGAAGGGATCCAGTTTCAGCTTTCTACATATGGCTAGCCAGTTTTCCCAGCACCATTTATTAAATAGGGAATCCTTTCCCCATTTCTTGTTTTTGTCAGGTTTGTCAAAGATTAGATGCTTACAGATGTGTGGTATTATTTCTGAGGGCTCTATTCTGTTCCATTGGTCTATATCTCTGTTTTGGTACCAGTACCATGCTGTTTTGGTGACTGTAGCCTTGTAGTATAGTTTGAAGTCAGGTAGCATGATGCCTCCAGCTTTGTTCTTTTGGCTTAGGATTGTCTTGGCAATGTGGGCTCTTTTTTGATTCCATATGAACTTTAAAGTAGTTTTTTCCAATTCTGCAAAGAAAGTCATTGGTAGCTTGATGGGGATGGCATTGAATCTATAAATTACCTTGGGCAGTATGGTCATTTTCACAATATTGATTCTTCCTATCCATGAGCATGGAATGTTCTTCCATTTGTTTGTGTCCTCTTTTATTTCATTGAGCAGTGGTTTGTAGTTCTCCTTGAAGAGGTCCTTCACATCCCTTCTAAGTTTGATTCCTAGGTATTTTATTCTCTTTGAAGCAACTGTGAATGGGAGTTCACTCATGATTTGGCTCTGTTTGTCTCTTATTGGTGTAGAGGAATGCTTGTGATTTTTGCACATTGATTTTGTATCCTGAGATTTGCTGAAGTTGCTTATCAGCTTAAGGAGATTTGGGGCTGAGACGATGGGGTTTTCTAAATATGCAGTAATGTCATCTGCAAACATGGACAATTTGACTTCCTTTTTCCTAATTGAATACCCTTTATTTCTTTCTCCTGCCTGATTGCCCTGGCCAGAACTTCCAACACTATGTTGAATAGGAGTGGTGAGAGAGGGCATCCCTGTCTTGTGCCAGTTTTCAAAGGGAATGCTTCCAGTTTTTGCCCATTCAGTTGATATTGGCTGTGGGTTTGTCATAAATAGCTCTTATTATTTTGAGATACGTCCCATCAATACCTAGTTTATTGAGAGTTTTTAGCATGAACTGCTGTTGAATTTTGTCAAAGGCCTTTTCTGCATCTATTGAGATAATCATGTGGTTTTTGTCTTTGGTTCTGTTTATATGATGGATTACATTTGTTGATTTGTGTATGTTGAACCAGCCTTGCATCCCAGGGATGAAGCCCACTTGATCATAGTGGATAAGCTTTTTGATGTGCTGCTAGATTTGGTTTGCCAGTACTTTATTGAGGATTTTTGCATCAATGTTCATCAAGGATATTGGTCTAAAATTCTCTTTTTTTGTTGTGTCTCTGCCAGACTTTGGTATCAGGATGATGTTGGCCTCATAAAATGAATTAGGGAGGATTCCCTCTTTTTCTATTGATTGGAATAGTTTCAGAAGGAATGGTACCAGCTCTTTTTTGTACCTCTGGTAGAATTCGGCTGTGAATCCATCTGGTCCTGGACTTTTTTTGGTTGGTAGGCTATTAATTATTGCCTCAATTTCAGAACCTGCTATTGGTCTATTCAGGGATTCAACTTCTTCCTGGTTTAGTCTTGGGAGGGTGTATGTGTCCAGGAATTTATCCGTTTCTTCTAGATTTTCTAGTTTACTTGCGTAGAGGTGTTTATAGTATTCCCTGATGGGAATTTGTATTTCTGTGGGATCGGTGGTGATATCCCCTTTATCATTTTTTATTGGATCTATTTGATTCTTCTCTATTTTCTTCTTTATTAGTCTTGCTAGTAGTCTATCAATTTTGTTGAGCTTTTCAGTAAAAAAGCTCCTGGATTCATTGATTTTTTGAAGGGTTTTTTTATGTCTCTATCTCCATCAGTTCTGCTCTGATCTTAGTTATTTCTTGCCTTCTACTAGCTTTAGAATATGTTTGCTCTTGCTTCTCTAGTTCTTTTAATTGTGATGTTAGGATGTCAATTTTAGATCTTTCCTGCTTTATCTTGTGGGCATTTAGTGCTATAAATTTCCCTCTACACACTGCTTTAAATGTGTCCCAGAGATTCTGGTATATTGTGTCTTTGTTCTTATTGGTTTCAAAGGACATCTTTATTTCGGCCTTCATTTTGTTATGTACCCAGTAGTCATTCAGGAGCAGGTTGTTCAGTTTCCATGTAGTTGAGTGGTTTTGAGTGAGTTTCTTATCTTAATCCTGAGTTCTAGTTTGATTGCACTGTGGTCTGAGAGACAGTTTGTTATAATTTCTGTTCTTTTACATTTTCTGAGGAGTGCTTTACTTCCAACTATGTGGTCAATTTTGGAATAAGTGTGATGTAGTGTTGAGAAGAATGTATATTCTGTTGATTTGGGGTGGAGAGTTCTGTAGATGTCTATTAGGTCCACTTGGTGCAGAGCTGAGTTCCATTTCTGGATATCCTTGTTAACTTTCTGTCGCGTTGATCTGTCTAATGTTGACAGTGGGGTGTTAAAGTCTCCCATTATTATTGTGTGGGAGTCTAAGTCTCTTTTAGGTCTCTAAGGACTTGCTTTATGAATCTGGGTGCTCCTGTATTTGGTGCATATTTATTTAGGATAGTTAGCTCTTCTTGTTGAATTGATCCCTTTACCATTATGTAATGGCCTTCTTTGTCTCTTTTGATCTTTGTTGGTTTAAAGTCTGTTTTATCAGAGACTAGGACTGCAACCCCTGCCTTCTTTTGTTTTCCATTTGCTTGGTAGATCTTCCTCCATCCCTTTATTGTGAGCCTATGTGTGTCTCTGCACGTGAGATGGGTTTCCTGAATACAGCACACTGATGGGTCTTGACTCTATCAAATTTGCCAATCTGTGTCTTTTAATTGGAGCATTTACCCCATTTACATTTAAGGTTAATTTTGTTATGTGTGAATTTGATCCTGTCGTTATGATGTTAGCTGGTTATTTTGCTCGTTAGTTGATGCAGTTTCTTCCTAGCATCGACGGTCTTTACAATTTGGCATGTTTTTGCAGTGGCTGGTACCAGTGTTCCTTTCCATGTTTAGTGCTTCCTTCAGGAGCTCTTTTAGGGCAGGCCTGGTGGTGACAAAATCTCTCAGCATTTGCTTGTCTGTAAGTATTTTATTTCTCCTTCACTTATGAAGCTTAGTTCGACTGGATATGAAATTCTGGGTTGAAAATTCTTTTCTTTAAGAATGTTGAATATTGGCCCCCACTCTCTTCTGGCTTGTAGAGTTTCTGCGAAGAGATCCGCTGTTAGTCTGATGGGCTTCCCTTTGTGGGTAACCCGACCTTTCTCTTTGGCCGCCCTTAACATTTTTTCCTTCATATCAGCTTTGGTGAATCTGACAATTATGTGTCTTGGAGTTGCTCTTCTCGAGGAGTATCTTTGTGGCATTCTCTGTATTTCCTGAATTTGAATGTTGGCCTGCCTTGCTAGGCTGGGGAAGTTCTCCTGGATAATATCCTGAAGAGTGTTTTCCAACTTGGTTCCATTCTCCTCGTCACTTTCAGGTACACCAATCAGACATAGATTTGGTCTTTTCACACAGTCCCATATTTCTTGGAGGCTTTGTTCATTTCTTTTTACTCTTTTTTCTCTAAACTTCTCTTCTCGCTTCATTTCATTCATTTGATCTTCAATCACTGATACCTTTTCTTCCACTTGATCGAATCAGCTGCTGAAGCTTGTGCATGCGTCACGTAGTTCTCATGACATGGTTTTCAGCTCCATCAGGTCATTTAAGGTCTTCTGTATGCTGTTTATTCTAGTTAGCCATTCGTCTAATCTTTTTTCAAGGTTTTTAGCTTCTTTGCGATGGGTTCGAACATCCTCCTTTAGCTCGGAGAAGTTTGTTATTACCGATTGTCTGAAGCCTTCTTCTCTCAACTCGTCAAAGTCATTCTCCATCCAGCTTTGTTCCATTGCTGACAAGGAGCTGCTTTCCTTTGGAGGAGAAGAGGCACTCTGATTTTCAGAATTTTCAGCTTTTCTGCTCTGGTTTCTCCTCATCTTTGTGGTTTTATCTACCTTTGGTCTTTGATGATGGTGATGTACAGATGGGGTTTTGGGGTGGATGTCCTTTCTGTTTGTTAGTTTTCCTTCTAACAGTCAGGACCCTCAGCTGCAGGTCTGTTGGAGTTTGCTAGAGGTCCCCTCCAGACCCTGTTTGCCTGGGTATCACCAGCGGAGGCTGCAGAACAGCAAATATTGCAGAATGGCAAATGTTGCTGCCTTATCCTTCCTCTGGAAGCTTCGTCTCAGAGGGGCACCCGGCTGTATGAGGTGTCGGTCGGCCCCTACTGGGAGGTGTCTCCCAGTTAGGCTACTTGGGGGTCAGGGACCCACTTGGGGAGGCAGTCTGTCTGTTCTCAGATCTCCAGCTCTGTGCTGGGAGAACCACTACTCTCTTCAAAGCTCTCAGACAGGGACGTTTAAGTCTGCAGAAGTTTCTACTGCCTTTTGTTCAGCTATGCCTTGCCTCCAGAGGTGGAGTCTACAGAGGCCTCCTTGAGCTGCAGTGGACTTCACCCAGTTCGAGCTTCCTGGCCACTTTGTTTACCTACTCAAACCTCAGCAATGGTGGACACCCCTCCCCCAGCCTCATTGCCGCCTTGCAGTTCGATCTCAGACTGCTGTGCTAGCAGTGAGCGAGGGTCCGTGGGCATAGGACCCTCCGAGCCAGGCACAGGATATAATCTGTTGTGCCATTTGCTAAGATGGTTGGAAAAGCGCAGTATTAGGGTGGGAGTGTCCTGATTTTTCAGGTACCGTATGTCATGGCTTCCCTTTGCTAGGAAAGGGAATTCCCCAACCTCTTGTGCTTCCTAGGTGAGGCAATGCCCTGCCCTGCTCCATGGGCTGAACCCCCTGTCCGATAAGCCCCAGTGAGATGAACCCAGTACCTCAGTTGGAAATGCAGAAATCACCCGTCTTCTGCGTCGCTCATGCTGGGAGCTGTAGACTGGAGCTGTTTCTATTCGGCTGTCTTGGAACCCAATGTTCATCTTACATGTGTTGATTGATCTCTTATGTCTCCCTAAAATGTATAAAACCAAACTGTGCTCTGACCACCTTGGGCACATGTCGTCAGTGAGAGGTGACAGCGTGCTGGCAGCCCTTGCTCACTCTCAGCACCTCCTTGGCCTTGGCGCCTACTCTGGCCACGCTTGAGGAGCCTTTCAGCCCACCACTGCACTGTGGGAGACCCTCTCTGGGCTAGCCAATGCCGGAGCCGGCTCCCTCTGCTTGTGGGGGGGTGTGGAGGGAGAGGCGCAGGCGGGAACCGGGGCTGTGGGAACCCGGGCTGTGGAAGGCACTCGCAGGCCAGCGCAAGTTCTGGGTGGGCGTGGGCTCAGCGGGCCCCTTACTCGGAGCGGCCAGCAGCACCGCCGGCCCCGGGCAGTGAGGGGCTTAGCACCTGGGTCAGCAGCTGCGGAGGGAGCGCCAGGTCCCCCAGCACTGCCGGCCCGCCCACGCCGCACTTGAATTCTCCCCGGGCCTCAGCCGCCTCCCCACAGGGCAAGGCTCAGGACCTGCAGCCTGCCATGCCCAAGCCCCCCAGCGGTGGGCTCCCGCATGGCCCAAGCTTTCCCAACGGGTGCAGTCCCCTGGTCCGCGGCACCCGGTCCCATCAACTGCCCAAGGGCTGAGGAGAGAAGGCATGTGGCGCAGGACTGGCAGGCAGCTCTGCCAGTGGCCCTGGCGTGGGATCCACTAGGCGAAGCTAGCTGGGCTCCTGAGTCGGGTGGGGACTTGGAGAACTTTTATGTCTAGCCAGAGGATTGTATATGCACCAATCAGCACTCTGTGTCTAGCTTGGGGTTTGTGGATGCACTAATCAGCACTCTGTATCTAGCTAATCTAGTGGGGACTTAGCACCTCTAAAGACAAGAGAAAAACAAGACAAGGCCACATGGCCCCATGCATCCACCACCGGCTTCACACCCCTGCACTCGCAGTGTCTTGATGGGAATGTGGATGTTTTATTTCCTAAAATGCAAGAGCCTGGCCCACAGGTCCTTCATGCTGTTTGAGCTCTTGTGCTTGATGAAGGCTGGCCCAAGGCTCCCACAGGGGAGGGAAGGGGGGACTGATGGTACCAACAGGAAGGAAATTAAGTGGCAATAATAGGACTTCTGTCTCTTCTACCCATGATGTTACTGCTTTGTGCTGTGAAGTGTGGTCTGCATGTAAATTTGAGCAGAGTGTGCCTGAAAACTATTTTGGACCAAAGGAAGTAATGTCATTAAAAATCCTAACAGGAGCTTGTACTGGTTAATCAAAATGCTTTTGGTAATGTGATTCCTAGGTCAAAAGTTTAGAAATGTGAAGTTGAAGTCATTTTAAACACATAAGGCCTAAATTCCCTTTTCCAAGAAGAGCCTGTATCCCTTCCCCCATTATTGAGATGGAAAGTTTAATTCCTTAGAAAGGTCAAGACTGGTAGGGCAGAAGGCTTGTACTAACCTTCATTGTTTATATTTCCAACCCATATACACGCGCAATTGTTTGTAGCCCTTATGTCAGTCCTGGGGGATATTAGTCCCATTTCATAAATGAGGATTCTGAGGTTCTGAGTGGTCAGATTGTTCAACGTCAGGCAGCTGGTAACTGTCAGAGCTGGTTATAAATCCACACTCTTTCCCACTCCAGCCAAGCAACAGAGCTCCCCATACGACAGCCCTGCAGACAATCAGGAAAGCCATGTGCACCTCTGCAAGCTGCAGACGTGGAGGGCTCCCACCTGCCAGGCTTCTGGGGTCTGCACTATGGGGCCAACCCTGAGGTGGTGTTGGACCAAGAGGGAAGGGTAGTCCAATTTCTCCACCCACTGCCCTGGAGCCACACGTCTGGCAGTCCTGGGGCAAAAACCTCCAGGTTTTGACTCTCAGCTGGAATGGAGCCTTTGAAGATGGCGCAGAAATGTACTCAGCTCCTCTGGGTGGAGAGGCTCACTCTTTTGAAGTTGGATTGAATTTAAAAATGAGGGTCCTGGGATTTTGTCATAAAGCAAACACATTCATTCTATAGTGGAGGGTGGGAAACACGTCTGCAGCTCAAGTTCCAAGGGTTATGGGTGCGACAGCTGACATTCTCTGGCTTCCAGGTGATGTGAGCCATATTTACTGTAATTTTGTGCAGAAGCTCCTGACAACTAGAAAACATCCACCAGGGACTGAGTCTGGTTTTGCCAAGTCAACAGTGACTCTGGCCTGCGTGGAAGTGGCCTGTGTACCCACTGTCATTCCTAAAGCAATTAACTTGTTATAAAGGATTATAGGGGCATTTGGGGCAGGACCTAATTATGATTTTCACCCCCTTTAGCCAAACACATGCTGAGCGTCAGATCACATGCTTTTGGCTGCAGAGGAAGTGTCCTTGCCCATGTGGAGGGAGGGTGCTTGTTCACTGCTCAAATTCGCTTCCACCCGGGGCCCTGTGCAGAGTGACACGCCACCGTCTATGCTGTTCCCTGACTGCTCCCCAAAATGTGGGTTTTTTGTTGTTGTTGTTTGTTTTTGTTTGTTTGTTTGTTTGAGACAGAGTTTCGCTCTCGTTACCCAGCTGGAGTGCAGTGGCAGGATCTCGGCTCACTGCAACCTCCGCCTCCCAGGTTCAAGCGATTCTCCTGCCTCAGCTTCCTGAGTAGCTGGGATTGCAGACATGTGTCAACACGCCCGGCTAATTTGGTATTTTTAGTAGTGATGGAGTTTCACCATGTTGGCCAGGCTGGTCTCAAACTCCTGACCTCAGGTGATTTGCCTGCCTCGGCCTCCTAAAGTGCTGGGATTACAGGCATGAGCCACTGTGCTTGGCCAGAGTTTGCATTTTATAAAAATAATTTATTCTTGAGGAGATGGGGGCTTTTGCATCTTTTTCTTTTCTCTTCTTTTCTTTCCTTTTCTTTTCTTTTTGTTTTTTGAGATGGAGTCTTGCTCTGTCACCCAGGCTGGAGGGCAATGGCGCTGTCTCGGCTCACTGCAACCTCCGCCTCCCAGGTTCAAGAGATTCTCCTGCCTCAGTCTCCCCAGTAGCTGGGATTACAGGCGCCCGCCACCATGCCCAGCTAATTTTTGTATTTTTAGTAGACATGGGGTTTCACCATGTTGGCCAGGCTGGTCTTGAACTCCTGACCTCAGGTGATCTACCCACCTCGGCCTCCCACAGTGCTGGGATTCCAGGTGTGAGCCACCGGGCCCGGCCCACATTCTTAGTAAACCTGCTTTCGCTTCACTCTGCCCGCTCGCTCTTGAATTTCTTCCTGCTCCAAGTGAAGAACCCACAAGGCCTCCCAGGCTGAACTCCAGTTTTGGGGGCCTGCGACGTTGGGACTAGCAGCATCCATGGTGCCTGGGCACCCGCCAGCCATGCACATCCTTCCTGAATCAGACATGGCGGGTGGAGCCTCATCCAGGGCTTCACAGGCCCTCAGCTGGCTTTGATGCTTCCCAAGCCCAGGCTGACAACCTCCTGTTTACAAGTCTCTGTTCCTCCTCAAGAAGCCATATTTCACCTCCACAACCAGCCCCTGCTGAGCACAGCGACAGACTTCCAGCAGCCACACAGTGGATGTAAGACTATGTGACATTTTATGTAGAAAACCAATTAGGCTTTGAGGGAGCAGTATGACAGATCACGAATGGAGTTTGAATAAGTACTAATTAAATCCACAAAAAAACAAACTTAATAATAATGGAAATATCTGCTCCAAGCATCCAAAGCCTTAGTTCTTCTCTCTGTGGGGAAGCTCCATCATCATCCATTTACTCCACAGAGACTAATATTTATCAACCCCAGGGCACCCAGAGCCAGCATTGCTCTCCTGTCTCACTGCAACTTTCCTGCCCGTCTACGCAGTCGATCCTCATTTATCTAGCAGCCTGCGGTCAGCAGCCTGCGGTCACTCCTGCTCTTTCCGGCTGGAATTTCTCAGGAAGTTTCTTTTAGCTGAGCCATCTATAAAGTCGACTCTCATTTATCTAGCAGCCTGCGGTCACTCCTGCGCTTTCCAGCTGGAATTTCTCAGGAAGTTTCTTTTAGCTGAGACATGCTCTGCTTTGTTCTCTGTGCTTAGCACACACACAGCCAGGCATGGCGGAATTCTCCCCTGGCACCCAGAGGGCAGAGGCACACTGATCTCATCACCAGCACTGAGCTCTATTGTTTTGAGGTCCTTTTTATTGGAAAAGGAAGGAGAAAGGGGCTGGGAGGAGAAGAGCACGAGGCACCCCGCTAGGGAGACTCCTGCCCAGCGAGGCACCCGCCCAGTGTGTTAGGGGAGGCTGCTGCACCCCTATCGCCTATGGGAGAGATGCCAGCAGGTGAGACTACATTTCGGAAACCACACCTGCTTACCTATCATCTATGCACAGGAGGCCGGCCCTCTCCTGGAATGGCAGCAGGGAAGGAGCAGAACCAGACAACTCTGCCCAATAAGCATGCATTTCCTGTTTTTGCCTGGAGGGCTGTGGAGACAAGAGCTTTAGGTGCCCAGGGTAGGGGACGAAGGAGCCTTGGGAGCACCAGTTCTGAATACTGGAAGACCCCAGAGAGGACAGTCTATGTGCCAGGATGGGGTGGGTGAGATGTTCCCTGCAGTGGGGAAGACTTAGGGTACTTACAAAGAGAGAAAATTTCCTGTGATTTTGAGATAATGGCAGCTCCATGCTAACTGTGGTCCCCGTCACCCTCATATCCTCAGTAAAGATGGGACCCCTTGTTAAGTGGGGGGCTGAATGATGTGGGCACCGTGCGAACAGGAGAGAAGGATCCAGAGGTAACTGGTGCCAGGGGTGCATCCGACTCCTGGGTCCCGCCACCTCCTGGAAATGTCTGGGGACAGGGGGTGCTGAAGAGGTGGAGCGTTTCATTTGGATATAATAAGGAGGGTGACCTGGAGGCTGGGGACCCAGGAGTGTGGGGAGCACAAGAAAAAAAAGAAAAACCATCGTGCAAAGGAATGTGGGCACATGGGCAGCGTGGGCTTTGCTGGAAGGTAGCTGTGCGAGCGGGCACTCCCCTTGTGCCTGCACCTACTGAGGTGCTCTTTCTAGGTGGCTCTGGAGGCCCACAGAACCTGGGGTGGGCTCCATTGAACAGACAGGGAGACCAAGACACAAAGAGCAGAAGCGCCTGCCAAAGACCACATGGCAGAGCTGGGCCCAGAGCCTCTGTCAGCCCTTCCTGCCTCTGCCCCAGGGCAGCAAGCCCCATGAGCCCTCCTGGCCACTGCCTCGTGAATCCACACATTGCATATTTCAGAGCCTGTGTTCCAGGGAACGCACTGGGTGGGGGCCATGGGGTGCATCAGATGCCTGCTCCAGCAGGGCCCACAGTCCAGGGGGGACGCCCCCACCAGCCAGCATGGCAGGAGCTGTCCAGCCACTCACTAACCCGTCAGTTCCCCATCAGCACATTACCTCGTGGTTACCAGCACCTACGCTGATAAAAATCATCAGATCGAACAGTCCAGGTGGGGAGACGGCTGTGTGTGTGAGCAGGTAAGGCACTCAGTGCCGTGATGGTGAGGAAGGGACGGAGACATCATGACGGGCACGGAGGAAGACCAGCTTTCCCCGCAGGTGGGCCAGTGCATGGGAGCCTTCAAAGGACCTGAGGTTACAGCTGAGTCTTGCACGAGGAGGGCTAAGTGCTGGGCATTTGGGGCAACAGTGAGTCCTGGGCCCCAGCAGTTACTTCCGCAGGAGTGGGGAGGCCGGCTGGGGAGGTGGGAGTTGGGAAGATCTGGAGGGCAAGTGATGAACACTGCACAGAGAACCTGGGATGCTGGGTCCTCGGCTGCCCTAACATGGCAGACACTTCACACATGGAAACGCTGGGCTCAGAGCAAGCAGGCATCCCGGGGAGGGGGCGTGGCCTGGGCTGGAGACCCTGGTTCCATTTCACTCCCCTGCTGCCGTCGTGGGGGCTTACTCAGCCCATCTGTGTCTCATGTTCCTCTTCTGCGTAAACAAAACAGTAATTCATTTTCAAGGTTCATGATTGTTGTGAAGATTGAGACAATGATTTTTATTAATTTATTTTATAATTTTTATAGCTTTAACAAACTTTTAATTTTGAAATGATTGCATACTCACAGGAAGCTACAGACACAGAGTGCTTCCCTGCTGTTCACCAGCTTACTTTATCACAGGTGAACCCCCAAATCGGGGCTCATCCCGGGAGGTCACATGGGTTCTTAGTGTCATGCAGGAAGGAATTCAAGAGTGAGAGGACAGGCTGGGCACAGTGGCTCACGCCTGTAATCCCAGCACTTTGGGAGGCCGAGGCAGGTGGATTGCTTGAGGTCAGGATTTTGAGACCAGCCTGGCCAACATGGTGAAATCCCATCTCTACTAAAAATACAAAGATTAGCTGGACGTGGTGGTGCACATCTGTAATCCCAGCTACTCGGGAGGCTGAGGCAGGAGAATCGCTGGAACCCGGGAGGTGGAGGTTGCAGTGAGCTGAGTTCATGCCACTGCACTCCAGCCTGGTGACAGGGCGAGACTCTGTCTCAAAAAAAAAAAAAGAGCAAGAGGACAGAGTGAAATCAGGTTAATCAAGAAAGTAAAGAAATAAATGGGTGGTTACCGCACAGGAATAAAAGGGTGGCTATTTTTATGGTTATTTCTTGATTATATGCCGAACAACAGGTGGATTATTCATGAGTTTTCTGGGAAAAAGGCAGGGAATTCCCCAAGAACTGAGAATTCCTCCCCACTTCAGACCCCATAGGGTAACTTCCAGACGTTGCCATGGCGTCTGTAAACTGTCTTGGTGCTGCCAGGCACGTCATTGAGCATATGCAAATGCATTATGATTAGTGTATAATGAACAGAGGTTTCTTTTGCCACCATCTTGGTTTTGGCTGGCTTCTCTCCCACATCCTGTTTTATGAGCAGGGTCTTTGTGATGTGTCTCTTGTGAAACCTGCCCTGTGACTTCCTAGCTCACCTTCAGTGACAACATTTCACCCGGCCTACAGGGCATGTGCAAGAAGAATGCGCCACAGCTCAGAGCCTGGGGCCAGACACGCATGAGCTCTGGTGTAACACCTGCCTGAGAATCCTGGTGATGGATGCTCTGCTTGCTGTCTCTGTGTCGCTGCCCAGGGCTGCAGAGCCAGTGCACAGATGCGGCCATTCACTTAATGTGGTCATCCAAGCAGCTTCTATCCACGTGGCTTTAAAAACATTTTTTAAATATATATGTTTTATCTTTGTAAAGACAAGGTCTCACTACGTTGCCCAGGCTGGTCTCAAGCTCCAGGACTCAAGTGATTCTCCCATCTTGGTCTCCCAAAATGCTGAGATGACAGGTGTGAGCCGTCACGCTTGGCCTAAGTGTCTTGCATTTAAGACTGTGTTTCCACCTAACTGTGAGTTTCTCAGGGTCTCTGCCCTTCCTTGTCTGTTTTCATTGCCCGCTCACTTCCCTGGAAGCTGGCTGGGTGCTGTGCTCACGCTGGATTTTCCAGGTCCAGTCTCTGCCCTTCCTTGCCTCACCTGTCCTGGGGAACCAACCTCTAATAGGGAATTGCCCAGTCCCCGTTACCGCCTGGCTTCCTCCTGGGTGACCAGGGGATGGCATCAGCCTCAGTGGCTCCACATGCCCTCCCTGCCCTCCCAGCCATCCACCTGCAGCCATGGCCCCTGGCAGCCCCTCCTGCAGTTATAAATCTAGCTAGGTGAGGCTCACACGTTCCTCCCCCCGCCTTCCATGGCCTCCGAGGGTGGGGGCATGGTGGAGATGCTTGGTTGCTTCCCTAACTGCCTCACCTCTCAGTCGCCCAATTAAACTCCCTCCACTGTAACCCTGAAACCCTCTCGGTGCTTCCCCCTCCTGCAGAGGCCTTGGCTAGCCCCAGCGCGGCTCATGGAAGGCAGGAAGCAGACCCTCTCCCCGAGGGTGGACAGAGGGTCGCCCACCTCCGCACACAGCGTGCCAAGGGCCTGGGCTGGGGAGGCCTCTGTCTACACCCAGGACCCCTGTTGGGGAGGGGGTTATTAGCGGGACCCCTCTCCCAGACATGAGCCTTCCACCCTCTGACTTCATCACCTAGGCATGCAGAAAGCCCCTGTTGGCGCCTATCTGAGAAAAATGTGGAATCTAAGTGTGCGGCTTAATTTACATAAAGATCCCATGGGGGAGGAGCAGTGAAGATGTGACTCTCACAAGGTGAGGACCCTCAGGACCCCTCTTCTCTCCACTCCTGGGCATGTCCCGGGTGCCTGACCCGGTGCTCTGGCGGATGGAGGGACCTTTGGACAGAGAAGTGGTGACTCTCCATGCTTAGCATTTAAATTCTAGAATCTCATCTTTCTGTGGCTGAACTGAACACAGTAAATTGTGTTCTGAGCCTGCAGCTGCCTCTCACCGTGGGTCTGCCAGGAGCCTGGTGCCCTGCCCGGCTGTCCTTTGCTGTGGTTGAGCTGACACTGACCGGGAACTCACTGGGAACATGGCTCTGACCCACTCACCTGAGCCTTGTGACATCCAGCAAGGGGGACAAGCCTTTTCCATACGACCTCGGGCCCCAGCATGAGCACCCAGGAGAAGATCTCAGCGCAGCTCCTGCTGTGAGCTGGTCTTCAGACAGCCGCCGCCATGGTCTTCACGGGCCTGCTGTCCTGGCACCCTGCCTGGCATGCTGTAGCACACAGGGCAGTGTGTGCAGAGAAGGGGGCCCGGGACCAAGTGTCTCTTCACTCACTGCGTCTAAGTACTATGTGTGACAACGAAACAGTGTTCCTTGGCACAACTCACACCTGGAAGGAGTGTTTGCTGTGGGACAGATCACAAGACTGGGGGCGGATAACAGGATTGGAAAGTGGCCATCAGAGGGGGTGAGAGTATTTCACCTGGGCCCGGAGAACATGAAGCTTAAGCTGTTGTGCTCCTGCTCAGACAATTCACCCGCAGACGCCGGGCTGGGGAGGTGCGAGGCTTCTGTGGGCCTCTAGAGGGCAGACGCAGGAAGCCGTGAACAAAACACACGGCTGCACATTCAGCTCCACAGGGGAAGAGCTCACCACCAAAACCTCATTCTTTCAGGCCCAAGTCATTGCACTGACCACCCCCTGCCCAGACTCCCCTGCCAATGCCACACACATGCAAACGAATGCTATGCCACTCGGGGGTCTTCAGGGACACATAGGATGGGGTCCATAGGATGGATCCGTGGATGGGGATGGGGAGAAGGGAGGGAAGGAGGGAAGGGATTGGGGGAAGAAGGAGGAAAGAAGAGAAGGGAGGGAGGGAGGGAGGGGGGGAGGGGGGGGAGGGAGGGAGGGGGGGGAGGGAGGGAGGGAGGGGGGAGGGAGGGAGGGAGGGAGGGAGGGAGGGGGGAGGGAGGGAGGGAGGGAGGGAGGGGGGAGGGAGGGAGGGAGGGAGGGGGGGAGGGAGGGGGGGAGGGAGGGAGGGAGGGAGGGGGGAGGAGAAGAATGAACGAAGGAGGGAAAGAAGGAGGGAGGGATGAATGGATGCAAGGATGAGTACATGTATGAATAGGTGAGTTGATGGGTGGATGGATACATTGATTGATGGATAGATTTTTTAAATCGGCTCAAGTGATTGTGGGGCCAGCAGGTCTGAAATCAGGAGCTGAAGCTGCAGCCTTGAGGCAAAATTTCTCCTTTTCTGGGAAACCTCAGGTTTTGCTCTCAATGCCTCCACCTGCTTAGACAGGGCTCACTCACATCATCAAAGGTCACCTCCTCCACCTAAGGTCAACTGATGATAGAGATTAACCACAACCGCAATACCTTCAGAGCAATGTCTAGATGAGTGTGGCCACGTGGACATATAAAAGCAATCACCACAGGTGACTTGGGAGATGCCTGTTGAACTGGAAAGAAAAGCCACCAATTCGTGATGCCCTGAAATGCTCCTGTGGGTGGCAGCAGGTGGGGAGTGTGGATGTCAGGTACAGGCCGCCGTGTCTGAGCGAGGGTGGACTACACACTAGGGAGCCTCTGGGCCACTGGGTGACACTCTGAGAAGTGTCACTTGAAGGTGGCACCAGCGCACTTGGAAGGCATTGAGTATCTGCAGTCACAGGGCCCCTCCTCACGATGGAATGTCCATACCCAGCACTTCCCCTGGAGTTCTGTTGAGATGCTGAAATGACCTCATAATCATTATTATGATGTTTCTGATGATTTCTAAACTTGAGCAAACTTAAAGCAGAGAATGCAGAGGTCTTTTCCAGATGTTTCTAGTCTTTGTCACCCACCCCAGCGAATGTCAGGGCAAACTCAGAACTGCAAGGCTGCCCAAGAGTCCACCTGATCATCTGGGGCTGGGCAGTAATGCACGCAGTGTAGCACATGGTACACTTGTTTTCACCCAACAATGACTGTTCTAGTCCATCCCCGAGGGCTCTTGGCCTTGACAGGGAGCTAGGCATGGAAACCTTGTCCTGGGGCTGTGTGGGGTGGGCTGTAGCACTAGAAGGATATTCACACTGGGAAGACGGTGGGAACCAGGGCCTGGAGGGGTGCACAGAGGGAGCCACCCAACTGAGCAGATTCTAGAAGGTTCAGTAGCAGTTTGCCAGGAAATAAAGTTGAAATAAGTTGATGTCTGGTGTTTGTGGAGAGAAGGGGCTGGAAGAACAGACGCAAAGCCACCGGAGATGGTGGCCCCAAGCCCACCCCATTAGGCAGGGGGCTGAGAGGTGCTTGCATACAGCGGTGGCAGGGTCCGAGCTGCGGCACATTCTCTGTGAGCTTCATTCTCTGTGATGAGCCAGGCAGACCCAAAGGCACATGCCCAGGAGGGGTCTCAGTGGTGGTCCAGGGGCCAGAGCTCTGCCAACAGCCATGTGGAAGGAACAGTGCTCAGCACAAGGAATTAACAGGATCCTGTGACTGCTGTATTTAAGGATGGGGTAGGGATTGAGGTGAGAATGACCTCCAGGTTGGCGGAGGATTGCATTAGAGATTCTGGAGAAAAAGCGCATTTTTTATGGAGAGCGATGTTCTAGTTTCTGACATCATAACATTGGAATTCTTGTGGGACATCGAGGTGGAGATGTCTGGAAAGCATCTGGAAGTGAGTACGGAGCCCCAGAGCGTGCTGCGGGTAGATGTGTGACTCCTTAGTACCTAGGACACCTGGATGGCTTGGAAAGGGTCCCTAGATGACCAAAAAGGTAATTACGCCTTGTGAGCGGGGTGCTTGCTTAAAACGGCAGACACAGCAGCGGGTGCCACTTTCCTAAACACGAGTATCCATGTAAAGCTTGTGTGTTTGAGAAGGAATTGGGTCTTTTCCTCAGGTTCCCGGGACAGAGCTTCCAAAGCCCTTGGAATTTCCCCAGGGACAGGAGCGTGTGTATTCATGATGAGCTCCCAGCCATGTCTGAGCTGACGCTGATGAAGGAACACAGGATGGAGGCTGATCACTAGGACTGACCATGCGATTGTAGGGTGAAGTGTTTGGGCCTTGTGCTGTCAGCCTGACCTCCCTGGAGAGTTCAACCCCATGGACAGTGTGTCATCAGTCCTGCTTGAGCCATAAAACCCTGGTGAAAACTCTGGACACCAAAGCTCAGTAGAGCTTCCCTGTTGGTGATCATGTCCCTGTGCCGGGTGGTGATGGGCCCTGATCCCACAGGCCAGGCACAGAGGCTCTGCATTTGGGACCCTCCCTGACCTCACCTGATGTATTTCATTTGGAGGTTCAGATTGGTATCAATTATAATACAGCTGTATTTGTAACCACAGCACTTTCATCTGTTGTGTGGGTGGTTCCAGCAGGAGATGGAGCTGGAGGGGGTCTCAGAAACCTATGAATCTGTAACCAGTCAGAAGTGTGGATGGCCTGGGGACCACTGGACACACAGGTAGTATTAAAGTGAGGGCAGCCTTACTGAGGTCCATCCACATCTGTAACCTGCGGGGTCTGCTCTAGCTCCAGGTACTTAACAGCAGGACTGTACTGAAGTCTGCCTAGGACTCTGTCTCCTCCTCTGCTGAATATAATGTTTGCAGCTCCCACCCAGCATTCTGCCATTATGGAAATACAGAAGAAGCATTCTCACAAGCATCCCTGTTCTACACAAACTCAAGAGTGACACGTGGTAGGCAGCCTCTAAGATGGTCCCCAGTGGTTCTGTCTCATGTTCCTTACGCTCCCAGTTGATGCTCTGCTGTGGCATGTGCTGGACGCAAGAGCATCTGTGGATGGAATCCAGCAGGAGAGATGGCGTCCAGTGTGAGCTGGAACAACAGGAGGGTGTGGAGAGGATCCAGGAGGAGTGATGGCATCTGCATCTGGACCCACTGGTGTGTGTGCACAGGATCCTGCGGGGTGATGGCTGAACCCACTGGCGTGTGTGCACAGGATCCTGCGGGGTGATGGCTGAACTCACTGGAGTGTGTGCACAGGATCCTGCAGGGGTGATGGCACCCGGAGTCTAATCTGAACCCACTGGAGTGTGTGCACAGGATCCCGCAGGGGCGATGGCACCCGGAGTCTGAAATGAATCCTCTGGAGTGCGTGGACAGGACCCTGCAGGGGTGATGGCATCGGAATCTGAACTAAACCCACTCGAATGTGTGCGCAGGATCCCGCAGGGGCGATGGCACCCGGAGTCTAATCTGAACCCACTGGAGAGTGTGCGCAGGATCCCGCAGGGGCGATGGCATATGGAGTTTCAGCTGGACCTACTCGAGTGTGTGGATAGAATCTTGCAGGAGAGACGACATGTAGAATGTAAACTGGACTGAGTGGAGTGTATGGAGAGAATCCTGCAGGTGAGATGGCGTGTGCAGTGGGAAGCGGACCCACTGGAATCTTTGGGTGGGACCCAAACTCAACCACTGCTATGTGTAGACAGGATCTTTGAGGAGAGATGGCATCTGCAGTGTGAACCGAACCCACTGGAGTGTATGGATAGCATCTTGCAGGAGTGATGACATCTGCAGTGTGATCTGGACTGCCTCGAGTGTGTGGGTAGGATCCTGCAAGAGTGATGGCATGTGGAGTGAGCACTGCATCCACAGGACTGTGTGGACAGCAGCCTTCAGCAGTGATGATGTCTGCTGTGTGAAGTGGAGCACTGTAGTGTGTGGGTAGGGTCCTGCAGGAGAGATGGCAACTGGAGTGTGAACTGCACCCACTTGAGTGAGAGGTTGGGATGCTGCAGGTGGATGGCATTTGGAGTGTGAACTGGACCCACTTGAGTGTATGGGTAGGGTCCTGCAGGAGAGATGGCAACTGGAGTGTGAACTGGACCCACTGTTGTGCCTGGAGAGGATCCTGCAGAAGACAAGGCATCTGCAGTGTAAACTGGGCCACTGGGGTGTGTAGCTAGAATCATGCTGGAGTAACGGCTTCTGGACTGTGAGCTGGCCCCATTAAAGTGTGTGTATAGGATCCTGCAAAAGTGATAGCCTCTGGAGTGTGAATGGGACCCACTGAGGTGTGTGGATAGGATACTGCAGGGGTGATGGTGTCTGCAGTGTGAGCTGCAGCCCTGGGGCATGTGGATAGGACTCTGCAAAGAGACAGCATCTGTGGTGTGAATGGCACCGGTGGAATGTGTAGAGAGGATCCTGCAAAAGTGATGTCCTCTAGAGTGTGAACTGGACCCACTGGAGGGTGTGGACATCGTCCTGCAGGAGAGATGGCATCTAGAGTGTGAATGGCACCTCCGGAGTGTGTGGATAGGAGCCCGCAGGAGAGAGCACATGTAGAGCGTGAACTGGACCCACTGAAATGTGTGGACAGGATTCTGCAGAAGATACGGCATCCGGAGTGTGAAATGCACCACTAGTGTGTGTGCATAGAATCCTGCATAAGTTTTGGCATCTACAGTGTGAACTGGAGTCACTGGAATGTGTGAATAGGATCTTGCAGGAGAGATGTCTGCAGTGTGAGCTGGACCCACTTCTGTGTGTGGATAGTATCCTGCAGGAGAGATGTTGTCTGCAGTGTGAGCTGGGCCCACCGGAGTGTGTGAATAGGATCCTGCAGGAGAAATGGAATCCGGAGTGTGAGCTGCATCCGCTGTAGAGGGTGGATAAAATCCTGCAGGAAAGATGGCATCTGGAATGTCAGCGGGAGCCACCGACCTCTGAGGATGCACCCCGCAGGTGTGATGCGGGGCCAGTTCCAAGGCTGGGTTAGGTTTTACCCTGGCTTCTGTGTTGTACTCTCATTCTCTTCCTCTTTCTTCTAATACCTGCTCTGGGAGGCATCAGGCCATGTCCAGTGTGCAGGCCATGGAGACCCACACGGCAAGGAACTGGAACCCCCTGCCAGCAGCCTCGGGGGTCCAGTCCTTAGATGGTGCCCTGTGGTCAGCAATGCACCTGTGACCTCCGGGCTATGTCTCGTGGTAGTTGCTTTTGTGTTTTAACATAGCAACAGGAAACTAGCCTATTACCCACCAATCCCATTCCAGGCTGCTTTCAAACGCAGCTCAGGCTAGAACACCAGCACGGGGACACAGCTGAGACTTGGGGTTTGCGACGGGAACACGCCCATGCTGTGCCTCTGAATCTGGCACCGTCACCCTGTGGCCTGGGTTCAGCAACTTGGCCTCACCTTCCTTGTCTGTGAAATTCAGACTGGGTCCTTGTGAGATGATTGGAGAGAATGTATGAACTATGTGAGAACGCCACCTTTGTGCGTATCTCACGCAGTGTCTTCCCTCCTTTCCAAAGTCTTCTGCTGTCTCTAGACACACCCGACGTGGGGGGGGGGGGTTCCCTGGGTCTCCTCCTAGGTCTGTCCCAGGAGGGCACGCACTGAAGGCCGCGAGAATCCCGGGGGCTGCATTGCGCCGCGCCAAGGACTCCACACAGGACCTTTCATTTTCCCAACTGTGCTGAGCCAGGCGGCCGGCAGAGAGCAGGTGGCTGACAGGCCCCGGGGAGCCGGACCGCCTGGGTCTAATCTTCCCGCAGACTCCCTTGCTGTGCGCTTTGGGGCTTGGGCCTCAGTTTCCTCAAAAGGAATGAGGGGCTTTTTTGGAACGTTAAATAATTTCCTACGTGGTTGCGGGTAGGGAGAAGGAGAAAGAGAGGAGCGCGCCTGCGCGCCTGGAATCGTGCCCGGATCAGAGCAAGCGCTCTAAAAGTGTTACAAACATTAAGGCGCCAACTAAAAAACCCGTAGTGAGCGCAGGCAGAAACCACGGGTAAGAGAAGTGGAGAAGCTTCGCGTAGGCCCCAGGGTCCCGAGCCCCGAGTCTCGAGCGCAGAATCAGGGGTGCCAATGCTCTCCTCCGCGCCCCCGAGCGCTCGCCTTGGCCATGCGGGCCGCCCCACCGGGATGAGGGCGCTCAGGCCGGACGCTGGGGCCCCGGGTTCTCGCCCCGCCCCGCCCTCGGGGATTCAGAGGGGCCGGGAGGAGCCTCGCGCATGTGCACAGCTGGCGCCCCCCGCCCCCCGCGCACAGCTGGGACGTGGGCCGCGGCCGGGCGGGCGCAGTCGGGAGCCGGCCGTGGTGGCTCCGTGCGTCCGAGCGTCCGTCCGCGCCGTCGGCCATGGCCAAGCGCTCCAGGGGCCCCGGGCGCCGCTGCCTGTTGGCGCTCGTGCTGTTCTGCGCCTGGGGGACGCTGGCCGTGGTGGCCCAGAAGCCGGGCGCAGGGTGTCCGAGCCGCTGCCTGTGCTTCCGCACCACCGTGCGCTGCATGCATCTGCTGCTGGAGGCCGTGCCCGCCGTGGCGCCGCAGACCTCCATCCTGTGAGTGCCGCGGGGGACGCCGGGGGCGCGGGGTCCGGGGCTTCGTGGAGATCCGGGAGCGCAGGGGTGATCGGAGGTGGGGGGCGCGGAGGGTGGAGGGGGCATCGGGCGCGCGGGGGGCCTGGGGACTTGGGACGCAGAAGGGAACCTCCGAAGGGGGACGTGGGGGGACCTGGGCGCGGGGACCCGCTGGGCCTTTGTTCGCCCTGCGGGAGACGCCGAGGGGCGGAACAGAGCGCTGTGCGCGCGGCCTTCGTAGCCGCCTTTGTTCGGAACTCGGAATCCCCGCAGGACTGGGAAGTTGTTGGAGCCTCCGGGGCTCCCCCCGCTCGCCTCCCGCCGCCCCCTCTCATGCTCCGCCGGCCTCCCGCTTCCCCCTGGTTCGCGGCCCCTCCTCCGCTCACCTTTCCCCCGCTCAGGACCCCTCGGTCCCCCTCCGCTCCCCGAGCGCGGCGCAGCCCCCTCCGTCCTCCCAGCCCCCTCCGCCCCGTTCCTCGTCCTGTTCGCTCCCCTCCTCCGCTCCTCTTCCTCCTCCCCTTCCTCCTCCTCCTCCCCTTCCTCCTCCTCCTCCCCTTCCTCCTCCTCCTCCCTTCCCCTCCTCCTCCCCCCCTTCCTTCTCCTCCCCCAGCCTCCGCCCTCTCCCCCTCCCCCGCCCCTTGGAGCGCAGTGCCCACCCCATCCCCCCGCGCCGGGGAAGCCTCCCCAGAGGAGCCTCAGTTCCCGCAGCCGCGGCGCCCCCGCTCCCAGTGCCCCCGCATCTGCCCGGAGCGTCCTCTCCTGGGGTGTCCTGGGGGCCCCGCGCTTCTCAGGGGCTTTTCCTGCGCCCGGAGCGAGCCGGGCGGCCGGGGTTCCCGAGAGGGGCCGCGCGGTAGTCTCGGGGCAGCCCGGGTCTAGATGGAGCCGGGACTCAGAGCGGGTTTCTGCCTCGGGCATTTCTCTTCTTTCGCTTCTAATCCACGCGAGCGTGTTCGCAGTTGCGCTATACGTTTAACCGGATGCGTTGCGTTGGGGTTGACACCCTGTCCTGCGGGCCGTCCCGCGTCACGGTCTCCACAGCAGGAATCCCCATCCCTCCGCCCCGCGGCTCCAGGTACCGAGATGCCGCCAGAGTTCGCTGCAGGCCTCCTGTGTTCTGAAGCGAGTCGGATTCAACATTTTCGGGATCTGTGAACGCGGGCTGCGTTTCAGGCGCCGACTCTAATTTAGTCCTGTAGCGACTTTTCTGCATGCCAAAAATAGTTTTCACGTTTCTTAGCTGAGCCAGAGGACTTTTTGGCACCAGCAAAGAGTCTGCAAAAGTTGTAAAAAAATTGAGTGAACAATTCAGGAAGTGGGCGGCCAGTGCGCCTACCTCCGAAACAAAGTGCTGGGACAGACCACGGCTCCCAGGGGTCGCCGAGTTTGCAGGCTGCTTCCTGGAGGCCCTGGGGCGGGGCGGGGGCCCGAGTTCCTCTCCTCCTCCGCAGAGAGACCAAGGCTTTCTTTCCAGAGCCCGTGAATGGTCAGCCCAGGCCGGACGACTCGGGGGCATCTCACTCAACAGCAGTGGACTTTTAGAATGGAGCCGGGTGAGGTTTCCCTGGGTCTGGATAATGTAATTCTTGCTGAGCCAGTGGAAAAATGGCACCTCAAAGATTTTTCCCATCTGGTCAGTTTCATAAAGCTTGCGGTATGTTTTGCCCCGGAATATTAATTGCTTGTTGAAAATAACATGTTAAAATAAGTGTCGTAGGACACACATGGGGTCCTCTGCTCCGCTTTGCATGGTGTGCTCGTCCACAAACGCCTCACCGAATTTGAAAAAGGAGCTGAGAGTAGACGGGTGACATCATCGTCCACTCGCACAACACTTCCTCATAGGGTACATTTGCATCCATTTCTATCTTAAACTTTCAGGGGTTTTTGCAGTCTTCAGTGATACTTCGAAATGTCGCTGTTGAGTCACGTTGATTCTGTGAGGCAGGTAGACTGGTAGCTGTTAAGTTGATCGAATCCCTTATAGAACTAAACACTTTACTGGAGAAATGAACATACCCATTTTCTGGCGGTGGAAACAGAAGCTCTGGGAGAGAAGCGCAGCTCCTGACGCTATTCCTGTGGCCAAGAGGAGGAGCGTAGCGCTGGTGGCCAGAATGGAGTCCTGGCTGGATGCATTGCAGCCGCGTGATTTTTAGCAAGTCCCGTGTCTCCTGGGAGAACGTGAGGGTGTAGCTGTGCGGACCTAGGCACAGTGGACAGGTGTCATGAGCGAGCGCTAGTGAGTGCAGCCTGGGGAGGCAGGGACTGAGGGAAGAGGGAGACCTATTCTGCGGGGATATCCTGTTGAGGGGTCTCTGGGGGCATGGTCTGGTAGGCTGTTGCTTGAGATGACACAGTTCTACATGATACATGCTACACGTGAAGCAACATTTCATGTCCACTTTCGGCTTTCTCCCAGGACTGTGCTCTCATGTATATGTGATTATTTTCTATTACAATTTTTTGGTAGAAATTGGGAATATACTATATATGAAAATTTAAAAAAAAACCTGCCCCAAAGTTAGTTGGCTCATCCAACCATCACACCGTCCCTTTGCTTTTAGAGACTCACCTCCATCCCAGTCCCCCAAAAGATTAAATCAGAGCCATTGGAAAACATCTTATTGCTCCTTCCCCTCAAATGCTCCAGGAGTGTGTTTAAGCGGGTCTGATACTGGGTTGTTTGATTTGTGGCTTGGGGGCTTTGGAAAACAGTGGAATAAGCCCATCCATGACTCAGTTTGGATCGACCTTTGAGCTCCCTCAGCTGCAAGTGTGAAGGGAGCTCTGGAATGGCAGGAGCCCGCGCCCTGTGCTGCTCGGTCGGCGGTTTGGCCTTGCTGTTGGGTCTCCTGCAGAGCGCCTCCCCTCTGGAGGCCTTACTTAGTTCAGCTGTGTAGAAATGGTTGGTTTTTGAATACAGAATCATTCTGTACCCAACACAATAGAAGTTCATCACAATGGTAGTTCAAAGCTAGTATTAAAGATAAAGTATGCCGTTGTACGCCCCTTCCTTTCCTCCTCTCAACCCCAGGCTTTTTGGGGAGGTCACATTTGAAACATTCTTCTTCACGGTCACGCCGCTAGGGTGCTGGCTGGACACACTGGAGCTAGGCCCTCCACGCCCTCCTCCTGTCCTGCCTTCCTCTCTTCCCTGGAGCCGCCACGGTTGAGGCTATGGTCATGGATTCATCAAAACTAACATCCTCACCACAGTCCAGGCCGCTGCAAAGCCATGAGTTGTCCCAAACTGCAGTTCTGTGACAGAAACCCTGACATTGGAGGGGTCTGGGCATGTGGAGCTTGGGGTGGGCTCAGGGAGGTCGCATTGCAGAGAAACCACAGGCAGGCGCATGGCAGCCAGGGCGGGGCCTCCTCTCCTGCAGAATCTCCAGACAGCTGCTCCTCATTCTCAGTTTTTCTCACCATCTGCTGGGTGTTAGGCCCACGCCGTGTGCTGGGTGTTGGGCCACCCACAGAAAACGAGACCGGAATCTTGCCCTCATGGAATCCCCAGTCCAGTGGGGCCCCCAGAGAGTCAGGGGGCTTCCTGGGAGTGGTAAGATGACCCCAGGTGTGTGCAGTCCTGGTGGGACGGGGTATGGGGAAAGGGCGCACAGTGCTTGGGACCCTGCACTCTTGGTGGTCTGGACTGAGTGGACCAGCCCACCTCCCGGCCTGTGTTCACATGAGCAGAAGGTTCCAGTGTTGCTGCTCTGTGGGTCTCCTCCCGCCTGCAGGCCCCCCAGGCCCTCTGGGGGCTCTGGGAGTCTATGGGCTCATAGTCCATAGGTGGGAGTGGGTGTTTGGGCCTTTTAACTGACTTCCTGTGTCTAGGAGACTGCGTCGCCTGAGTGAGTCACATGGGTCCCGAGGTTCATCCTTGGAGCTTCCCTGACCTCCCTTGGAGAACTGGCTGCCTTTCGGAGAGGACCTCTCCTCCTCACACGCAGATAGAGGTCACAGGGTGTTTGTTGCCTGGCACTCAGGGAGCCGGCTGGCTGGTGCTGCAGAGGGGCCCGCCTGCCGGGGACTCCCTGGCTGTCCACCCTCAGCACTTCCCATGCCCTCCTCCTCCTCTGCACCCTCCTGCTCCCGGGAAGTTCCCTCACATCTGACTGCGTCTTCTGGGAGTACCCGCGGTCCCGGGACGCCAGGCCTCTCCTCCTTTGGGCAGGAGACTGCAGTGGTCCCGGGTGTGAGTGGGAGCCTGGGGCCTCTCCGCCCTATGCGGGATGTGCAGATGCGTCTGCTGGGACAGTCCTGCAGGTGCTAGTGTCAGTGTTTGCCTTCCATAGAACAGATGATGCTCATGTTTGTTGGCACAACAGAGTCAAAGACTTTATTATTGCCACGCAAATACATTTGAAAAGTACCATAGAGATACTTAAAACATTTAGATGTTGATAATTTATCTTTGCAAGGTGGTGGGCGGACCAAACATTTTCTCAGCGTGGGAGCCTGGGAGGCGGCTGATCTTCAGAGCTCTCTGTGTTCTGTGGCCAGAAGAGGAAAATCTTCAGTGTTCAAAATAAGCTTAGAGAGGGCCCATCCCCAAGACAGTGTGTGTTGGGACCTTTCCTGGGATGTCCAGTTTGCCATCCAGGGAGTATGTGAGACCCTTAGGCTCTCACCATGACTTTAACCTTTGAAAACTAGTATGTGACTACATGAGTGCCACGTGTCTGGAAAGTGCTTTCTCTTGTTAGGAAGTCAGAGTAATTGAGCTCTTCTATTGTTAGATCTTGCCTTCCTCCTCTGTGTTTTTTCATATGTCAAGGAAATAGTTGTAAAAAGAAAGCATATCCTTCTCTATGACTCTGAATCCAGGGGCAGCTCCAGGTTCAAGCGTGGCTTGATCCAGGGTCGACATGCTGTGATATTCTATCGTTTTCTCCCCAGCGTGGGTGACTTGGCTTGCTTCTCTGTTGTTCTGACTCAGTTTCCCTAGTTGCTGATGATTGGCAGCTGTATAGTTCCCTTCCGACAGAGCTAAGTCCGGTGAAAAGAGAATGCGTGACTCAGTGCACAAGCAGAAGTTTGGGGAATTGTCTTAACGGACCAGATGGTCTGTGTGGCACGCCAGTTTTCAAGACGTCCATGAGTGGACAGGAGGCCTTGCCACTGGGTCTGGAGCGCATGACTACCTTCCGGGGCCATGGAAGGCATCTGATCTTCCCGGAACACACTGGCCAGAAGCTGATGAGGGCCCCTTACCTGGGGTAAAACTTGGGCCTTTTTAAGCGAAGTGGGTGTTGCATTGTCCGGGCAGCAGCCTCCGTGGCACAGATCCAGGGTTCAAAATTAAGTCTGTAAACAGAACAAAGACAGAATTCCAGTCTGCAGGGCAGACGTCATGAATCTCAAAGCTGGGTAAGAGTTGGAAGATCAGGCTGGGTGTGGTGGCTGATGGCTGTAATCCCAGCACTTTGGGAGGCCAAGGCGGGCAGATTGCCTGAGCTCGGGAGTTCGAAGGCCAGCCTGAGCTACATGGCGAAACCCCTTCTCTACCAGAAATACAATTAGCTGGGCCTGGTGGTGCACACCTGTGGTCACAGCTACTCGGGAGGCTGAGGCATGAGAATCGCTTGAGCCTGGGAGGCGGAGGTTGTAGTGAGATGGGATCATGCCACTGCACTGCAGCCTGGGTGACAGAGCGAGACCTAGTCTCAAAAAAAAAAAAAAGTTTGAAGATCAACTTGCATTATGCTGATTCCCATTGGCTTATTATGAGATAAATACCTTTCTGATTGGAGAATCCAGGTGTTTTTCCTTTGCGCTTGACAGTAAGAAGCTAAAATAGATGCAAATGCATGCAGTCCTGCCCGGCCCACATCAGTGCTCTGGGAGGGGAACTCAGGGCTGGGAATCGAGTGATCTCTCAGGAGTACAGAGATCTTCCCCGCTCCTACTCAGGGCCTGGAGCTGAGAAGCTAATGCTGGCCTCTGGTCTTTAGTGACCAACACGTGAGCTCTCTCGTACTTCCCAACGCCCAGGTTTACTAATTATTTTAATAGTGATAGTTCCATATGCTTTTGGGGTTCAGAAGAAAATGTGATTTATTTAAAAGTACCTTTTTTGAGGGAATTCAATTTAAGAGAAGACCAACTTTACCATGTTTGATGCTTAAATAGCCGATCAGGACATTTTATATGTTAGTGGTATCTCTCTATGTGGGCCAGTAGCTCCTCAGGATCAAGGCTGGATGGTTGAATTGTTAAACTCTGCCTGCTGCCAGACCACCTGCATGTGACTTAGCACACATATGTTAGTGGGTGGCTGCATGCTTCTTTTGATGCTAAAGTAATATAACTGGTTGATAGATATTTTTCTAAATTCATAACACTAGTAATTTTTGTTTTCTTTGTTTTAAAGTTTATTTTGAAAAATAGGCATTAAGGGGGGCATGGAGGCTCACACCTGTAATCCCAGCACTTTGGGAGGCTGAGGTGGGCAGATCACCTGAGGTCAGGAGTTCAAGACCAGCCTGCCCAACATGGCAAAACCCCATCTCTACTAAAAATACAAAAATTAGCCGGGCGTGGTGGCTCACGCCTGTAGTTCCAGCTATCGGGAGGCTGAGGTAGGAGAATCGCTTGAACCTGGGAGGCAGAGGTTGCAGTGAGTTGAGATCGTGCCACTGAACTCCAGCTTGGGGGACAGAGCAAGACTCCATCTCAAAAAAAAAAAGAAAAGAATAGGCATTATGTTTTTCCCCATCTAATTTCTCTTCAGATCCAAAAGGCCACAGCAAAATAGTAAATCTAAAAGATGTCTCAGTGGAATGATTACTCATGCAATGTAAACTGAAGCTGACAAAAACGAACAAAAACCATGAGTAGACTGTCCGCTGTTTCGTGGGTTAGATTATCCTGGCGTAGATACGAGATCAGTCATCACTGCTGTGTTCATTGGTTTCTTTATTCTGGAGGATGTTGCTTTCCCTCCTGTTTCAAGCTAAGAGGATGGGAGACACAGAACTCCAAGGAGACTAGCCCGGAGGCCCGAGGTGAAGAATGGCAGCCGTCCTCCGGGCGTCTGAGGGCCTTGGGTGTTCTGGTGTCTTGTTTATTCCAGATCTGACTGCCTCCTGCGTCATCTGCCCGTGGAAAGCAGGGTTCATGCCCTGCTCCTGTCCAGATGCCCTGCACGTCTGAGCAGCCCGGAGCACCAGGGCAGGGTGTTTACGGGAAAGCAGGCTGCGGTCAGCCCCACACACTCTGTCCTACCGGGCTGTTGTATGCTGAGCCCTGCAGAGCTTTGGAGGCTTTAGGAGGAGCCTTCGGGAGCATCTGTCTTTTGTTCTACAGTTAAATCAGAAGGAGAGGCTTGACCAGTGACTGTTACCTGATTTGACCTTTGTCCACATGAGATAACAAAACTCTTATCAGACATAATTGACATTTTAAAAGGGCACATACTTAAAGTAGGCTTGCTGAGTTTTGACATCCGCCTCCAAGGTGCAAGTAATCCTCCTGCCTTAGCCTCCTACTTTTAGCTACTCCTGAGTAGCTGGGACTATAGGCACGTGCCCCCATGCCTGGATTTTTTTTTTTAAATTTCTTTTTAATTTTTTATTTTGTGGAGATGGAGTCTTGCTATTTGCCCAGGCTGGTCTTCAACTCCTGGCTTCAAGCAGTCCTCCCACCTTGGCCTCTTGAAGCCCTGGGATTACAGCTGTGAGCCATGTGGCTGGCTTGTAATCAGTGATCTTTTATGTTACTATTGTAATTGTTTTGGGGTATTATAAACCACACCCATGTAAGACTACAAACTTAATCTAAATGTTGTGTGTGTTCTGACTGTCCACTGACTGGCCGTCCCTCCATCTCTCCTCCCTTTCCAGGCCTTATTCCCTGAGACACAGCAGTATTGAAATCAGGCCAGTTGATAACCCTACAGTGGCCTTTCAGTGTACTAGTGAAAGGAAGAGTTGCATGTCCCTTACTTTAAATCAAAAGCTATAAATGATTAAGCTTAGTGAGGAAGGCATGTCAAAAGCTGAGATAAGTCAAAAGCTAGGTCTCTTGCATCAGTTAGTTTATGGAGGAAGTTTTAGTGGTTTGGGAAGAAGAGCAAACCAGCCACAACATTCCACTCAGCCAAAGTTTGATCCAGAGCAAGGCCCTAACTCTCTTCATTTCTGTAAAGGCAGAGAGTTAAGGAAGCTGCAGAAGGAACGTTTGGAGCTAGCAGAGATTGGTTCATGAGGTTTAAGGAAAGAAGCCAACTGCATAAGATAAAAGTGCAAGGTGAAGCATCAAATGCTGATGGAGAAGCTGCAGCAAGTTCTCCAGAAGTTCTAGCTAGTATCAGTGATTAAGGTGGCCACATTCAACAACAGATTTTTAATGTGGACAAAGCAGCCTTCTATGGGAAGAAGATGCCATCTAGGACTTCCATAGCTACAGAGGAGAAGTCATTGCCTGGCTTCAAAGCTTCAAAGGACAGGGTGAACTCTTGGTAGGAGCTAATGCAGCTGGTGACTTTAAACTGAAGCCAGTGCTCATTTACCATTCCCCAACCCTAGGGTCTTAAGGACCCTGCCAAATCTACTGTGTTTCTGCTCTACCAATGGAAAAACAAGGCCTGGATGACAGCATATTTGTTTGCCGCATGGTTCTCTGAATATTTTAAGCTCACTGTTGAGACCTACTGCTCGGAAAAAAAGATTATTTTCAAAATACTGCTGCTCGTTTACAATGCATCTCGTCACCCAAGAGCTCTGATGGAGAATGCAAGGGGATTAATGTTGTTTTCATGGCTGCTAACACAAAACATCTATTCTGCAGCCCATGAATTAGGGACTAATTTTGACTTTCAAGTCTTATTATTTAATAAATTCATTCCATAATACTGTAACTGCTATAGATAGCGATTTCTCTGATTAAACTGGGCAAAGTCAACTGAAAACCTTCTGGAAAGGAGTCATCATTTTAGACACCATTAAGAACATTTTTGATTCATGGGGGGGTCAAAACATCAACATGTACAGGAGTTTAGAAGAAGTTGATTCCAACCCTCATGGATGGCTTTGAGGGGTTCAGAGACTTCGTGGAGAAAGTCACAGCAGATGTGGTGGAAATAGCAAGAGAGCTAGAATTAGAAATGGAGTCTGAAGATATGAGAGAATTGCTGCAACTTCATGATAAACTAGAACAGAGGGGGAGTTGTGTCTATGGATGAGCATAAAAAGTGGCTTCTTGAGATGAATTCTACTCCTGGTGAAGATGCTGTGAACATTGTTGAAATGACAACACAGGATCTAGAATATTCCCTAAACCTAGTGGATAAAGCAGTAGCAGGGTTTGACTCCCATTTTTATAGGATAGGCAAATGTGAGCCTTTATTTTTATTTATTTATTTATTGAGAGATGGAGTCTCACTCTGTTGCCAGGCTGGAGTGCAGTGGCACAATCTTGCCTCACTGCAACCTCCGCCTCCCAGGTTCAAGTGATTTTCCTGCTTCAGCCTCCCGAGTAGCTGAGATTACAGCCATGCGCCACCATGCCCAGCTAATTTTTGTATTTTTAGGAGAGACGGGGTTTCACCATGTTGGCCAGAACAGTCTCAGTCTCTTGACCTCGTGATCCGCCCGCCTTGGCCTCCCAAAGTGCTGGGATTAGAGGTGTGAGCCACCATGCCTGGCCGATTGACTTCAATTTTGAAAGAAGTTCTACTGTGGATAAAAAGCTATGAAACAGCATCGCATACTACAGAGAAACCTTTTGGGAAAGGAAGAGCCAATAGATATGGCAAACATCATTGTTGTCTTATTTTCAGAAATTGCCGCAGCTACCCCAGCCTTCAGCAGCCACCACCCTGATCCGTCAGCAGCCAGCAACATAAAAGCAAGGTTCTCTACCAGCCAAAAGAAGAAAACTCTCTGAAGGCTCAGGTGTTTTATAAAATTTTTTTAGCAATAAAATATTTTTTAAAGTATGTATATTTTTTAGATGTAATGCTACTGCATAGTTAATCAGCTATATTATAGTGAAAATAGAACTTTTGTATGTACTGGGAGACCAAAACATTCATGTGAATAACTTTTTTGCAATTTTTAACTTATTTCAGTGATCTGGGCCCAAACCTGAAATATCCGAGCGGTATATTTCTCTCTGGCCCCAAGTTTTGTGATATTGTTGTCCTACATTTTATTTGTACATATGTTATAAACTCCACACTGTACTTCTGTTATTTCATTTAAGCTGTCAGTTATCTTTTTAGAGATTTAGATAAACAGAGACATGTTTTTATTCTTTCCAGTGCTGCTTATTCCTCTGCGTAGGTTCATATTTCAGTCCTTTTACTTCAAGAGCTCTAAAAAAAATGTCTTATAGTGCAGCTCTATTGGTAATCGATTCCTTTAGCTTTTGGATGTTTAAACAGTGCTTTCTTTACCTTGCCTTAATTTTTGAATGATATTTTCCTGAGTAATATTCTGAGTTGGTGATTTTCTCTGACACTGCTTTTTTTTTTTTTTTTTTTGTCATTTGACACAGAATCTTGCTCTGTTGCCCAGGGTGGAGTACAGTGGCACCATCTCGGCTCACTGCAGCCTCCGCCTCCCGGGTTCAAGCGATTCTCCTGCCTCAGCCTCCTCAGTAGCTGGGATTACAGGCGCGCACCGCCACACCTGGCTAATTTTTGTATTTTTAGTAGAAACGGGATTTCACCATGTTGGCCATGCTGGTCTCGAACTCCTGACTACAGGTGATTCACCCGCCTCGGCCTCCCAAAGTGCTGGGATTATATGCGTGAGCCGCACTGCGCCCAGCCGACACCGCTTTAAAAATGTCCTCTCACATTGTTTCCCATGAGGAATCTACTGACACCCATATCGTGTCAGTACAACGTCTGTGTGTTTCTGGCCGCTTTTAAGATTTTCTCCTTATCCCTGGTGTGGAGCAATTGGATTATGATATGCCTTGGTGTGGTTTTCTCTGTGTTTTTTGTGCTTGGGTTTTTAAATTTTGATTTTAATTTTTTATTTAATTTTATTTTTAAATTTTTGGACCTGTGGGTTTACAGATTTCTTCAAATTTGGAAAATCTGGGGGTGTTTCATCTTCAGATATGTTTTCTGTCCCCATCTTTGTCTCCTCTTTTTGAAGATTCCAGTTATACGTGTATTAGGCCACAGCTCTCTCATCCATTGCTTAATTTTTTGTTACTGTGCCTTTTTCTCTATGTGTTTCATTTTGGGTAGTTTCTATTTTTTGTCTTGAAAGTAACAAGTCTTTCTTTCTCAATGTCTGATTTGCTGTTAATTCTACATGTTTTTCAAATCAGACATTGTGATTTTCACCTCTAGAAAATGCGGGTATTAAAAACAAACCTTCCATGACTACTTGGTGTTTTGAACTTGTGGAATAAATACAATTTTAATAATCTGCTAACTCTAACATCTGTGGCAGCTCTGGGTTGGTTTTAATTGAATAATTTAATCTTCTCAATAGGGATTGTAATATCCTTCCTTTCATGCCATATCATTTTTTAAGCAGATTCCAGACAATGGAATTTCACTTTGGTGAGCACTGGATATTTTTGTTTTCTTATAATTATCCTTGAGCTTTGTACTTGGTACAGTTATATGGAAACAGTTTGGTTCTTTAAGGTCTTGCTTTTAAGATGTGTTGGGCAGGATTGGAGCAGTGCTTTACTAAGGCTCATCGTTTTCAACAACTGAGGCAAGGCCCTTCCATGTCCCATACCAACTGCCTGTGAATCATGAGGTTTTCAGTCTGGCTGATGAGAACGGCACTGCTCACTTCTGGCCCAGTGTGTGTGTGACCCTGTGATCCTTCTGGCCCCGTGTGTGTGTGACCCTGTGATCCCTACTCCATTTGGGTGGCTCTTTTCTGGCTGTGGGCAGTTTGTGCAGCTCAGGGCTCAGCTCAGTGCTGGACGCTCTGCAGGCCCCTGGGCCTTTTCTCTCCCTATCCCGGGAGGGCTCAGGCGTCCCATCTCTGTCCTGCCAGGTCTGCTGCCTGGCCTCCCCGGGTTCTCAGCGTTGTCTTCTCTCTTAGGCAATGAGCTGGGGCCGTTTTCTGCTGGCTACATCTGTTTTCCATCACACGGATCAGTGCTTTGTTGGCTGATGCCCAGTAACTTGAAAACAGTTGCTTCATATATTTTGTCAGTTTTTTTGGTTTTTGGTTGTTTCAGACAGAAGAGAAAGTCTTGCCCCTATAATCCCATCTTGTTCTAAAGCAGACATCTCTGAATTCTTCTGCAAGCAGGTGTGGTAAAATAAATAACATCATAAAATAATGACCACATTCACATTCCCAAGCTCATATTTAAGAAAAGATGAAAATGACTCAATCCTGGTGTTCTCCATCTGTCTTTGGAATGCTGTTGCCTTAGTCAGGGCCATTCGGCTTTAGTTGGTGTCCTGAACAATGGCAGAACCTCAGTGCCTTAAAACAGTGTGAGTTCCTGCCCCACTCACACAAAACCCCGTGCAAATGTTCTTGGCTGGGCAGCTCTTCACTGGAGGCTCAGCTCTAAGCCTTGGGATAGCTGCGTGTTTTGTGCCTGAGCTCTGTGGGATGTGTCAGGCCGATCTGTCTCCATTTCGTCTGTGGCTGCCCACTTCTGGCAGAGGCAGAGGTGAGTAGTTGTCACAAGCCAAGCTGTTTAGTCTGGCTTGGTAAGAACATGTTTGCTCTGACATTGACCCAAGGATCCCAGCTGTGCCCCGCCTGAAGCTCCACCATCATCCATCCCTGGCCTCGAAGCTGTCACGGAAGGGGAGAGAGGAGGTTATGTGAAGGCTCTCTGCTCCCACCTGCTCGGAGCTGATGCGCTGTTTCTGCTCCCAGCGCACTGGAGAGACAGCACACGTCTCAACCCAGATGCAAGGGTGCTGGGATGCGGAGGTCAGCTGCCTGTCCAGGAAGCCCAGATGCAAGGGTGCTGGGATGCGGAGGTCAGCTGCATGTCCAGGAAGTGGAAGTGGACCGTGAGCTTCTCAGTTTTTGCCATAGCTGTCCCAAAGTTTAATAGCACACAATTATTGCTCGCTCTCTTAAAACTTCCTCTCACTAGTTCATGTGTGTGTGTGTGTGTGTGTGTGTGTGCGCGCGCGCTCTCAACAGTGTTCTGTTGGCAAGGATGGAGCAGCTCTGCCTGCTTATCACTTTTCAGAGAGGTCTGTGATGTTGATATTCCCTTTGCTTGCTTCTGTGTTCTGGGACTTACAGTGATTTTACCACCTCCCAACCCAGCTTCTAATGTGGGCTGTAGCAAGTACTACCACAGATAGTTTTAAAACTCTCTCCCTCCTCTTCTCACAGGAAGCATTTTGTTATCATTTGGGGATTAAAGGCAGTTTGTTTATGCATCATGGCCCAGTGTGATTATTGCGCTAAGGGTAGAATGGTTTCAGCGACTGGAACCATAGGTCACAGCCGGATTGCTTGTAATCTAGTTGCTTAACTGAAGACTTTTCTCTAAGGGATGGGACAGATTTGGGTTTGACCTCACATGTGCCCTGGGTAATTAGAGAAGTAATGGGTCACCAGTGGAGGCTTAGAAGGAAGCCAGCAGGAATCCCTAATTCTCAGCCTGGATCATTGGCTTCTGGGGACCAGGAGCTGGATGTTTAAGTGGTTTTACTCAGATGTAAACCATGCCTCCTCCCCTGCCTGTGGCTGGGCCGTCCGCCATACCCTGAGCCTGACTGCGGTGCTGCCCTTTAGCCAAGGAGCCCCGGCTCTTCCTGTTTACTTAGCGCAATTCTAAAGTTGTGTATGAATTTGTAAGAGCTTTGGAAAGTTGCCCCACTGCCTTCTCTCCCAGGACCCCTCAACTGCCCATCCCTGTTCACCTCTTGTAGGTGTGGAGTTTGGTTGGGCACACAGAGGGGTATAATCTGCCAGGCCTGTTTGCCACAAGGGCTCAGCAGCTTTTTCTCCACAAGCTGTAAGCTAAGAATTATGATGCCTGCTCTTTTACCCACTAATTGCATCATCCAGCTTTCTTTTACAACATATTTTTAAAATATTTTTATGCAAGTTACACATGTTCATGTTAGAAAAATTTAAAAATAAACAGGAACAAAGTGAAACAAATTACTCACATTGCTGTCATTCAGGAGAAACATTAGCTGGGCTTTGTTCTCAGATGCACACACACAGAAGCATTCAGGCGTGTGTAGTACGTAGCAGTATTTGTCTACCTGTTAATATTTATCTGTCATGTATCTATTTTCAAAAATTGGGTCATGATACATGTTCTGCTCTATAATGCACTTTGTATGGTTTTAAAATCTGGGAATATATTATGATTGTGTGTCTGTTCAATAATTAGAGGCCTCCATCATCATTGTTAATGACCACACAGTATTTGTTTGAAATGACCAAATCTGCCTAACAGAATTTTTATTATGGGTCATTTCTTTGTTTCTACTTTTCTGCTCCTGCAAACAATATTTCCAAAATGTGATTGCATGCATTTTTGTGTGTGTCTGTCTAGATTGTTTTTACGGCACATTTCTAGAGAAATCTTTTTTTAAAAAAAATTTCAGTAGATTTTTGGGGAACAGGTGGTGTTTGGTTACATGAATAAGTTCTTCAGTGGTGAATCCTGAGATTTGGGTGCACCCATCACCCGAGTGGTGTACACTGTATCCAACGTGTAGACTTTTATCCCTCACCCCCCTCCCCCACCCTGCTGTAGGAACATTCTGGGAGGTTTTGATCTGCACCAGGGATGGTGGTTGGCCTACGGTGGGCTTTCCCTGTTGTGTTTTCTTCCTGGCCCCTGTTCATATTATCCTGCGGATGGATGTTCTCTGTAGCTGAGCAGTGGTGACTGACTTACTACAGGACTAATATAGAATGCACCTTCGTTGGGGAGCCTGTAATGGGTCAGGAGGGAGGGCTGAAGGGAGGGTCAGGGGCTGAAGGCACCGTCTCTGACCCCGGGATGGTGGAAATACAGCCTGTGTAAGTGCTCATGTTTCTTTGCTGAGTGACTGCATTTTGATTCTTACAATTTGTTTTTTCTGCAAATGGTTTGATTTTCGGTATGCCCTGAGAGCCAAACCATCTAGCGTTTGTGCCTGTCATGTATGTTTATTTGCCAGCTCTGTCTTTATCCCAGGTTCTGACAGTTCGCACCGTGTGGCTTGTCTGTGTCTTGTTTGATCTCTGCCTCACAGTCAGCTGTTCTTACCAGACCCATAGTCACACCGGGCCCCGCACTGGGAGGAGCTCACAGAGCAGCCAGCCCAGCGCCCTGCCTGCTGTTCCCCGGGGCGGAGCCTGGTTAGCCATGGTGGTCCTGTTCTGCAGAGCCCCAGAATGCTGAATAAAAGAGGGCTCGGCCTGTCTCGCTTCTAGAGGACTCGCAGGGCTATATCTGTGGCCACAAAAGTTTTTTCAAATCCTCCTGTTTCGCGTGCATTCCTGTTGAAGGACACTTTGTTTCTGTACATTGTTGATTCACTGACATTGTTAACGAGCTGTGGCCGGGAACACTGTCCCCCATTCCTGAGTGGAGCTTCTCCACCACACCTGTTCCTCGTGAGGGCAGCACAGCCAGAACGGCAACACTGTGCTTTGGGGCCGTTTTAAATAGCAAAATCACCAACAAAAGCACAAAAAGTGTGAAATGCGTGGCCCTAAATAGACCTTGAAAAAGACCCTGTTTACGGCAGGAGAGTGGAAACAAGAGGGCCGTTGTCAGCTTTACCAGCTCAGCTGTGGACCTGGGTATCAGGTGACTCCGATTTTTCCCCATTCTGCGCCTGTCCGCAGATAATGGCGGAGGTGCTCCAAGTACTGATTTTCGAGGTGAAGTCACAAATTTGGAATCTGCAAATAATGCGGAGGGACTGTATTCTCCGGCTGGTAGCTCCTAGAGAGAGGCTCTGTGCTGAGGGCCCAGGGACCCTGCCAGCAGGTGCCCTTGCCGTGTGACCGCCTCAAGCGAAACCGGCCTCGGAATCTGTGCTGCAGGGTTTACATTAGTTGTTGAGAACAGGACAGTTGGCTGGGTGCAGTGGCTCACGCTTGTAATCCCAGCACTTTGGGAGGCTGAGGCGGATGGATCTCTTGAGCTCGGGATTTAGAGACCAGCCTGGGCAAAATGGCGAGACCCGTCTCTACAAAAAATACAAAAATTAGCTGCACATGGTGGTATACGCCTGTAGTCCTGGCTACTCACTTGGAGGCTGAGGCAGGAGGATTGCTTGAGCCTCGGAGGTTAAGGCTGCAGTGAGCTGTGATTGCATCACTGCACTCAAGCCTGGGCAATAGAGCCAGACCCTGTCTCAAAGAAGAGAGAACAAAAGAAGGAACAGGACAGTCTTGTGCAGAATAGCACAAGACAGTGAACAGTTTAGCAGTCCTTAACCAATCTTCTTTAGGGGAGAAAATATCTTGCCTTTCAGACTAGATCAACTCTAAAGTTGTTATATTTAATTATACTATTAGGAAGTCAGAAAGAACACGCCACGTGGAGGCCCTGCTGGCAGGTGCTGGGGATGGAGATGAACTCAGCTGGCTCTCGGCGATTGACTCACAGGGGGTCTGGTGGGCAGGGGGTTGGACTCCACTGACCTGTGGTGTGACACGGTGGAGACTGTTCTTGAGAGGGATGGGAAGGCTGCCTAACTGAGGGCTGAGGAAAAATGCACCTGCGTGGTGGAGCTGGCAGCAGGTGCAGGGCATGTGCCAGCCTTGAGCTGGGGTCCTGGTCTGTGCTTTCCGGATGTGCTCCCTTGAGGACGTGACCGCACCCCTTGAAGCCTCGGCTTCCCCATCTGTAGGGGTCCTGAGGAGTGAGGAAGGCTGTGCGTGCAAACCTCCTAGCGCACAGCCAAGCACAGTAGCTGCTCTTGCAATGGATGCTACTTATTACGTTACGGCTTGCATGGAATCCTGCACATTTAAGTGCGATAAACTGAAATATGAGGCCAAAGAACTTTGTCTGAAGGAGGGGCAGCCGCTGGTCCAAGGCTCAGGAGGAGGGAGCAGGAGGGACTTGGGATGGCTGTGACGGGGCGGTGGCGGTTCTCCGGGTGGAGGGTGGGCTGTGTGTGCTCGCAGGGCTTGGTCAGCGTCAGCGGTTACTTGATATGCTGACTTTAGTTGAAGCAGATACTTGGATGCAAACAGGAAATTACAAGGAAGCAGAGTGTTCACTGCATTTGAGAATGGCAATTTTGTCTAACCGACCAGACCTATGTGTTTAAGAAACATCTGATTTTCCCTTTTGAGACAACACTTTCTGCCTTCCGGGGGTCCAGGACATGATCCGTGAGTGTGCCCTTCCCTTCCCAAAGCCCTGTCTTTATTTTTTAAAAAGCAATTCTCGATTTCTAAAGTGTCATACTCACATAGATCTATGTTAAGTCTTTGCTAAGAATTACGGACAATAAAAACGGAAATTCAAAAGCAAAAATAAATAAACAAGTAGGACTACATTAAAGTAAAAGCTCTGTACAGCCAAGGAAATAATCAACAAGATGAAAAGGCACCCTATAGGTTGGGAGATAAATATTTGCAAACTATTTATCTGATAAGGGGTTAGCATCTAAAACATGTAAGGAACTCATACAGCTCAGTAAAACAAACAAAAAACAAACAAGCTTGCTAAAATGGGCAAAGGACTTGAATAGACATTTTTCTTTTTTATTTTATTATTATTATACTTTAAGTTTTAGGGTACATGTGCACAATGTGCAGGTTAGTTACATATGTATACATGTGCCATGCTGGTGTGCTGCACCCATTAACTCGTCATTTAGCATTAGGTATATCTCCTAAAGCTATCCCTCCCCCCCTCCCCCGACCCCACAACAGTCCCCAGAGTGTGATGTTCCCCTTCCTGTGTCCATGTGTTCTCATTGTTAAATTCCCACCTATGAGTGAGAATATGCGGTGTTTGGTTTTTTGTTCTTGCGATAGTTTACTGAGAATGATGATTTCCAATTTCATCCATGTCCCTATAAAGGACATGAACTCATCATTTTTTATGGCTGCATAGTATTCCATGGTGTATATGTGCCACATTTTCTTAATCCAGTCTATCATTGTTGGACATTTGGGTTGGTTCCAAGACTTTGCTATTGTGAATAGTGCCGCAATAAACATACGTGTGTATGTGTCTTTATAGCAGCATGATTTATAGTCCTTTGGGTATATACCCAGTAATGGGATGGCTGGGTCAAATGGTATTTCTAGTTCTAGATCCCTGAGGAATGGCCACACTGACTTCCACAAGGGTTGAACTAGTTTACAGTCCCACCAACGGTGTAAAAGTGTTCCTATTTCTCCACATCCTCTCCAGCACCTGTTGCTTCCTGACTTTTTAATGATTGCCATTCTAACTGGTGGGAGATGGTATCTCATTGTGGTTTTGATTTGCATTTCTCTGATGGCCAGTGATGATGAACATTTTTTCATGTGTTTTTTGGCTACATAAATGTCTTCTTTTGAGAAGTGTCTGTTCATTTCCTTTGCCCACTTTTTGATGGGGTTGTTTGTTTTTTTCTTGTAAATTTGTTTGAGTTCATTGTAGATTCTGGATATTAGCCCTTTGTCAGAAGAGTAGGTCGCGAAAATTTTCTCCCATTCTGTAGGTTGCCTGTTCACTCTGATGGTAGTTTGTTTTGCTATGCAGAAGCTCTTTAGTTTAATTAGATCCCATTTGTCAATTTTGGCTTTTGTTGCCATTGCTTTTGGTGTTTTAGACATGAAGTCCTTGCCCATGCCTATGTCCTGAATGGTAATGCCTAGGTTTTCTTCTAGGGTTTTTATGGTTTTAGGTCTAACGTTTAAGTCTTTAATCCATCTTGAATTAATTTTTGTATAAGGTGTAAGGAAGGGATCCAGTTTCAGCTTTCTACATATGGCTAGCCAGTTTTCCCAGCACCATTTATTAAATAGGGAATCCTTTCCCCATTGCTTGTTTTTGCTTTTGCTGCCTGCCTCTGTTCATTCCTATATATAGAAAATCCTAAAGATTCCATTAAAAACTATTAGAACTAATAAATTTAGTAAAGTTGCAGGATACAAAATCAACATACAAAAGTCAGTAGCATTTCTTTAAACCAACAGCAAATTATCCAAAAAGGGAATCAAGAAAACAATCTGTTATGATAGCATCAAAAAGAATAAAATAATTAGGAATAAATTAACCAAGGAGATGCAATAACTGAATGCTAAAAACTATAAAACATTGATGGGAAAAGACTGAAGAAACAAATGGATGGAGCATTATCTTGTGCTCATGGATTAGAAGACTTAATATTGTTTAACTATCTACACAACCCAAAGTGATCTTTACATTCAATGCAATTCTTGTTACAATTCCAGTAGCATTCTTCACAGAAACAGAATTAAAGCAATCCTATAAAATTTGCATGGAACCACAAATGACCCCAAACAGCCAAAGCAATCTTAAGAAAGGAGAACAAAATATGAGGCATTACACTTCCTGATTTCAAATTATATTACAAAGTTATAATAATTAAAACATTATAGTACTGGAATAAAAACAGACAAATTGGCCAAACAAACAGAATACAGAGCCCAGAAATGAACTCAGGCATAGATGATCAACTAACTTTCAACAAGGGTGCCAAGAATACACAATGAGGAAAGGGTCGTCTCTTTGTAGGAGAGCAGTCTGTTGAATGGCAGAGTGGTGCCGTCTTGAAGCAAAACCACCATGATGATCAATGTTTGACTCCTCCATACCAAGGTGTTCTGCAGCAAGATCTTTAAACTGCAGCATAGATAAACACTCATAAAGATGCTTATCTAACCTCCTCAGTGGTCACAAGTTTCACAAGAAAGTCTGAGATGTGACCAACTCTACATGTTTTGTCAAAAGAACCTACTATAAAAAGGATATTTTCTGTGTAAGTCTCTATTAAATATTGCTTTCTGACCAAAAAAAAAAAAAAACGGAAATTCAGACTTACTTTAAATAAAATATAAGGCTGATGTTGGTAGAGATGGAAAAATTTTGACTTAGCACGGATTGAAACTCTTAGATTAATATTTTTCTGTGGGGACAAAAATAAGACTATAACAACTTTCAGGCAGGAAGATTTCTTCACTGAGAATTGTTGTGGGAAAGAAACATGGCTTTGGAGACAAAATGCGACAGTGTCTGTGTTTCAGCAGTGGAAAACAAAGGCTGCAGTTTATCTGAAGTCCTTGTCATTAAATTTATGCTCCTTTTCCTAGTCATAGCCAAGCTTCCTTTTGGGAATAAGATGAAACTTGTTGCATCCTGGCATGAAGCAAATATTTCTAAAAATCTATAACCAGCAGAGCAACACTTTTAACTTTTAAAATATCAATTAAAGCAGATACAGTTACTCATGATTGTAACTTACTCAAACGTGGGATGTTTGTATTGGCATGGCAACAGGCGGCTGATGTTAGTCTTGAACATTTGTTTTCTTGTGCATGTTTTTTTCATTGTATAATTTTCCTGGATCAGTGCCCATGTCACCCTATCCATTCACGTTTACCCATCCATCCATAACCCCCCTTTCATCCATCCATTCATCCATCCATCCATCCATCCATCCATTAATCCATTCATTCATCCATCTATTCATTTATTAGTCCATCTGTCTGTCCATCCATAACCACCTATCCATTTATCCATCCATTAATCCATCCATCCATCCGTTCATTAGTCCATCCATCTGTCCATTCATCCATAACAACTCAACCATCTATTCTTCTATCTATCCATTAATTTACTCATTCATCCATCTGCCCATTTATTAGTTCATCCATCTGTCCATTCATCCATAACCACTCATCCATCTATTTATCCAGTCATCCACCCACCCATTAATACATTCATTCATCTATTCATTCATTAGTTTATCCATCTTTCCATTCATCCATAACCACACATCCATTTATTCATCATCCATCCCTCCAGCTATCCATCCATTAATGCATTCATTCATTCACCTTTCCATTCATTAGTCCATCTATCTGTTCATTGATTCATAACCACTCATCCATCTATTCTTTCTTCCATTCATTAATTCATTCATCCATCTGTCCATTCATCCATAACTACTCATCCATTTTCCAGTCAGCCATCCATCAATGTATCCATTCATTAGTCCATCTGTCCATTCATCCATAACCACTCATCCATCTATTCATCCATCCATCCATTAATCCATTCATTCATCTGTCCATTCATTAGTCCATCCATCTGTCCATTCATCCATAATCACCCACCTATCTATCCATCCATGATGCGTGCATCCATCCATCCACACATACATCTCTCCATCTAGCTACCCACCCATTCACCCATCCATCCATCCCTCACTACTGGAATCACTGTGAAGTGTCCCACAGTGGTGACAGCAGCAGGCTGTCAGGTGCTTGTGGTCCAGAAGGGGTCAGGCTGTGAGGCACACCGTGCCCTGCAACACTGTGCCCCTGGAGCCACAGCCCTGTCCCTGCTTCCTCGTACCCCCCTCCCATATTTTAAGAATAGTGTTGGAAGCCTAGCTAGAGGGTTATAGAGAAGGAGATAGCTGTGGAAGGAGCCCCACCTGTAGACGCACACCTCTTTTCTCCTAAGTTCAGAATGCACTGATTTTAAAATACAACTTTCTTATATTTTTTGAGGGGAGGTTAGAGAAGCCTCCTTTGCTGGGAAGTTCCTCAGAGTTCTGTGTCTAGCAGTCTTTTTCAACTGGTTATTGAGAAAATAAAGCTCCAAAGAAAATGATTTGGGTGAATATGTTCCCAGTTCTTCTGAGGATCACAGCCAGCTAGAATCTGGATGCTGGGATAACCCATGCATTGCACGCAATGGATTCTGCGTTGAGATTCTCCTGTTCTCAATTTCTCATGGGAGAGGGACTGCCAAGCCACCAGGACTCTGAGGACTCAGTGCCGAGAGAGGAGACTGCGTCAGCATCACAGTCCTGGGGTGAGGGAACGGCCATGCTGGCTGCTGACCGGAATAACCTGAGGTAAAGTGAAGACGTCCACGTGGAGAGCTTTCAAGAGGGACTGCTTTGGCTTAATTTTATTCTTCTTACATGTTCTATTTTGTGTCCGCTCGCTCAGAAACTTCCTGATAGTTCATCTTCAGCCCATCCATTGTCAACACCTCTCGGGTTCATTATTTCTCGCTTAACTCTGTCTTGTGGTATTTTCTCATTTATAAAACTGTCTTATTTAGCACTTTAAAAAGCGTTTCCTCATTCACTCATCAGCTTGGCTTGCCTTTCTCGCCTTCCTAACAAGTGATGTGTATGTGGGAATTCCCCTAGGTTAGATCCCCTTTGAGTCTCTTAGTAACTATTTGGTATAAATATTTCTTGATTCCATTTTATGATTCATTTCCTCAGTGGAGGTCATTAAAGCACAGCCTGATTTGAGGCTTTTATTTATTTATTTATTTATTTTGAGACGGAGTCTCTCTCTGTCTCCCAGGCTGGAGTGCAGTGGCACTGCAAGCTCCACCTCCTGGGTTCACGCCATTCTCCTGCCTCAGTCTCCCAAGTAGCTGGGACTACAGGCGCTCGCCACCAAGCCCGGCTAATTTTTAGTAGAGACGGGGTTTCACTGTGTTAGCCAGTATGGTCTTGATCTCCTGACCTCGTGATCCGCCCGCCTCGGCCTCCCAAAGTGCTGGGATTACAGGCGTGAGCCACCGCACCCGGCCAATTTGAGGCTTTTAGAAAAGCAACAAGCAAAACTCAATCTGTTTCACTAGAGCCTGGAGTCAGTTACTTCCTGGGCTTGGTTTGTGAAGAGGGGCTTCCTGCCTGCTGGTTGGCTGAATCCTGGATGAATGCCCAGTGGGATTAACATGATTCATCCATTTGTTTTGCTCAACTCAAAGAGCACACTGGGTCTTTCTGAACAGGAACCACCTCAATTAACCCGTACCGTTGTTGAAACTATTCCCGTTCAGTTGTTTGAATTCTGACACTTCTAAGTTGGCTTCATCTCAGCTGCCTGCCACATTTGCACCTTCTAAGTGAAGGAGCCCCATCCTCAGCCACGCTGCCTGCCTGCCTGTGATGCTGAATTTTATGTCGACTTGGCTGGGCCACTGCACCCAGATATGTGCTGAGACATTATTCTGGATGTTTCTGTGAAGGGGTTTTTAGAGGACAGTAACATTTAAATCTGGAGACTTTGAGTAGAGCCGACTGTCCTCTGTGGTGTGGGTGGACCTCGTCCAGTTAGTTGAAGGCCTTAACGGAATAAAGGCTGACCTCCCCGGAGCAGGAGGGAATTCCACCAGCAGAGGCGGCTTTTGGACTGGAGCTGCAGCTACCATGCTTCCCCGGGGCTGTAGCATCAGTAAGCGGCCAGCATGAGGACTGCTGTCCTGGGTCAGGCGCCCACCCAGGTCCAACCAGCTGCGGTCCGGGAGGACCAGGTCATGTGACACACATTGCGAACACTGGGTTGGTCAGGGTTCTCCAGAGAAATGGAAACCACAGGATATGTGTACGTGTGTGTGTGTGTGTGTGTGTGTGTGTGAGAGAGAGAGAGAGAGAAAGAGATGCAGAGAGAGAGAGAAAGAGATGCAGAGAGAAAGAGATGCAGAGAGAGAGAAAGAGATGCAGAGAGAGAGAAAGAGATGCAGAGAGAGCTGTATCTGAGAGGCAAAGGTGGTCGGCTGCCTCCCCAGGCTCTGGTCTGGAGCAGGTGGTGTGAGAAAGCGTGGAGCGAGGCACTCCCTGCAGACTCTGGACTTGCCAAGCCACCACCATCTCAGCCAGCTCCTTAAAATACACCTCCCTTCTGCCTCTCTTCTCACCTTCAACCCCACCTCTCTCTCTGCATCCCTCCCTCTCTCTGTGCATCTCTCTCTCTGCATCCCTCCCCTCCCTCTCTCTCTGCATCCCTCCCTCTCTCTGCATCCCTCCCTCTCTCTGTGCATCTCTCTCTCTCTGCATCCCTCCCTCCCTCTCTCTCTCTCTGCATCCCTCCCTCTCTCTCTCTCTCTCTGCATCCCTCCCTCCCTCTCTCTCTCTCTGCATCCCTCCCTCTCTCTGCATCCCTCCCTCTCTCTGTGCATCTCTCTCTCTCTGCATCCCTCCCTCCCTCTCTCTCTCTCTGCATTCTTCCCTCCCTCTCTCTCTGCATCCCTCCCTCCCTCTCTCTCTGCATCCCTCCCTCCCTCTCTCTCTGCATCCCTCCCTCCCTCTCTCTCTCTCTGCATCCCTCCCTCTCTCTCTCTCTCTCTCTACATCCCTCCCCTCCCTCTCTCTCTGCATCCCTCCCTCTCTCTGTGCATCTCCCTCTCTCTGCATCCCTCCCTCTCTCTCTCTCCCTCTCTGCATCCCTCCCTCCCTCTCTCTCTGAATCTCCCTCCCTCTCTCTCTTTCACACACACACACACACACACACACACACACACACACACAATGCACGCATGTACACACATCCTGTGGTCTCCATTTCTCTGGAGAACCCTGACCAATCCAGTGTTCACGATGTGTGTCACATGACCTGGTCCTCCTGGACCGCAGCTGGTTGGAACCGGGTGGGCGCCTGACCCAGGACAGTGGTCCATGTGCTAGTCACTGATGGTCAGGCTTAGCCCAGCCAGTGCTGTCTCCTGAGAACTTGAACTTGAAAATGTTCAGGGATTAACAGCTGGCCGTGGGGGCTGAAACTGGAGGACTGTGGTGAGAATCCAGAGAGGCCCTGGAGGCCGCTGTTAGAGGCACAGGGGTGCTAGGGAGCCAAGCAGGCAGGTCGGCGGGGACCGGCGAGGAGTTCGATGCCTCCTGCAAGGCCAGTGTCCCCTCTTAGGTTCCATGTACCCTCAAGGCACACAGGCTTTGTGTGGTTTATGTAAGGATTCGTGCTGGGGAGAGGACCCTGAGCAGGGGCACAGACCCAGGAGGGCCTGGGACAGAGCCTGGCTGGGTTGGGTGCTGCCGGCTGCTGCCTGGGGAGGGCCTTTCTCCATGGGGTGTCCTCTTAGGGGATTGCCAGGCTGTGGCTGAGGGGTGAAGGTGGGTGGCTGCCTCCCCTGGCTCTGTTCCCACACGGGGAGCAGGTGGTGTGAGAAGGTGTGGAGCAAGCCCCCTTCCGAGTAACTCAGGTGGGAGGCATGGCCGCAGGGCCCCAGGCTGGCTCGCTCGTCTAAGGAGCCATGACTGCGCCAGTGCAGCCAGCCCCTGGCCCCTGGCGTCTCAGCTCGGCTGCTGTGCCCGGTGTTTGCCTTTGCAGGGACCTTGCGTGGCTGTCAGCGTGTCCTGGGTGTGCCCCTCACATGCCATCTGCGAGGTATGGTCTTCGGGGCTGGGCTTCCTCCACGGCCATAAGAACCCCTCTTTGGGCTGGAGTTGTGGCAAGTTGCTGGTGGCAGGTGCTGGGAGCTGCCCGCTCTGCCTTGCCCTGCCCTGGCCATTTCTTCCTCAGCCTGTTTGGCTGTGGCAGGCCAGAGCTGGAGACCAGGCTCAACCAGAGGACTGGACATCACCAGAGAAAGGATGCCTAGAAAGGCCTGGAGATCCAGCAGCCGTAAAGGGACCACACACGCCCTGCCCGCGTCACCCCGTGTTTGCTGCTCTGTGTCACCCCGTGTGTGCTGCCCTGTGGCAGGTTTGGGTGGTAGGTTAGTGGAGTAGGTTAAAAGAGTAGGTTAGGGTGGTAAGTTAGTGGCATAGGTTAATAAAGTAGGTTTGGGTGGTAGGTCAGTGGAGTAAGTTAGTAGAGTAGCTTCGGGTAGTAGGTTAATGGAGTAGGTTTGAGTGGTAGGTTAGTGGAGTAGGTTAAAAGAGTAGGTTTGGGTGGTAAGTTAGAGTAGGTTAGTAGAGTAAGTTTAGGTGGTAGGTTAGTGACATACGTTAATAGAGTAGGTTTGGGTGGTAAGTTAGTAGAGTAGGTTAATAGAGTAGCTTTGGGTGGTAGATTAGTGGAGTAGGTTTGAGTTTTAGGTTAGTGGAGTAGGTTAGTAGAGTTGGGTGGTAGGTTAGTGGAATAGGTGAGTAGAGTAGGTTTGCGTAGTAGGTTAGTAGAGTAGTTTTGGGTGGTAGGTTAGTGGAATAGGTGAGTAGAGTAGGTTTGCGTAGTAGGTTAGTAGAGTAGCTTTGGGTGGTCGGTTAGCAGAGTAGGTTAGTAGAGTGGTTGGGTAGTTGGTTAGTAGAGTAGCTTTGGGTGGTCGGTTAGTGGAGTAGGTTAGTAGAGCAGGTTTGGGTAGTTGGTTAGTAGAATAGCTTTGGGTGGTCGGTTAGTGGGTAGGGCAGGTTTGGGTAGTTGGTTAGTCGAATAGCTTTGGGTGGTCGGTTAGTGGGTAGAGCAGGTTTGGGTAGTTGGTTAGTAGAATAGCTTTGGGTGGTCGGTTAGTGGGTAGGGCAGGTTTGGGTAGGTGGTTAGTAGAATAGCCTTGGGTGGTCGGTTAGTGGGTAGAGCAGGTTTGGGTAGTTGGTTAGCAGAATAGCTTTGGGTGGTCGCTTAGCAGAGTAGGTTAGTAGAGCAGGTTTGGGTAGTTGGTTAGTAGAGTAGCTTTGGGTGGTCGGTTAGTGGAGTAGGTTAGTAGGGTAGGTTAGTAGAGGATGTCTGTGCTGCAGGTCAGTAGAGTAGTCCATGTGGTTCCAGGCTCAGGATCAGCTATTTTGTGATTCTGTCTGCATTATTAGAAGACCTTCTATAAATAAGTTTCCCGCATCAACAATTTGGTGACCTGATTCTTTTCATCTATTAGGTAAATTAGGTGAGTCTATTGTTGCAAGTTTTTCTTTTGTCAATAGGAGTTTACAAAGATTCAGGGGTGTGTGAAGTCTTTTCCGTTTGTGTGTGGACCCATTGTTTCCTGGTTGTGTGGTTACCAGTCAGGAAAAGCTGCTGAGCCCAGTTGAATCAGATAGCCCCGGGCGAGAGGCATTTGGACTGATCCGCAGAACCGAGAACAAAGAGGCCTTGAATAGTGGACAGACAGCAGCGGAATCTCTGTTCCCGTCAGACTTTCCACCAGCCAGTTTAGGCATTAATCTATTGTTAGGGGAAGGCCAAGAATTCACCAGCCAAGCAGGCTTTTTTTCTCAGGAGTGGCCTCAGCCAAGAGGATAGTGAGGGAGCTTTCTCATGGCCAGCGTTTCTAGACGTCAGATTTGGGGAGGCCTTAGCATTTTAAGATCGATGGCTGTGTTACATCAGATTTGTCTTCCCATCAGTATACAGACCTTAGCCAAGTTAAAAATGGGGAGTGTTGAGCGCAGCAGAGATCGTGCTTACCAAGGGGCTGTTGAGAGTGGGTCAGAGAGCAGGGTTTTGGGGACATGGGGCTGGATGGGGGCAAGGCTAGTGACGCCTTCTTTTTCTGCCCCTGTTGGGCTGTGTGACTTTAGGCACAGGGACCCACTTATCTGAACCTGTCCATGTGGTGTGAAATGAAGGAGTGGAACTGGGCTTCCTTTCATCATTTTCCAGCCCCTCATGTTTGTCCTTGGGGTCAAACAGGTGTGTCTGGAGCGGTTACCCCTGTACTGATGGAGAAGGGGCTGGGAGGGCGTGAGAGGTACCACCAGGGCATAAGGCCCCAGACAGGACCTCACTGTGGGCCCCACCACGTGATTGCAGGTGCCCGTCTCTTTCCGAGGAGGATGCTGCACACTGGGCCTCCATGCCAACCCCTTGCCCCAGGTAGAGGGTGTCCCTGTGCCCAGCCTGCCCGCCACCTCCCACGCTAGTCCTCCTTAACCACCAGCTTCCCACTGTACACCTCTTATATCCAGTCCTTGCCGCAGTCCTGGGAGGCAGGCGATGTTGCCACCCTGGTTTTTTTTTTTTTTTTTTTTTTTTTTTTTTCCTGAGATGGAGTCTCACTCTGTTGCCCAGGCTGGAGTGCAGTGGCATGGTCTCGGCTCACCGCAACCTCCACCTCCCGGGTTCAAGTGATTCTTCTGCCTCAGCCTCCCAAGTAGCTGGGATTACAGGTATGTACCACCATGCCCAGCTAATTTTTGTATTTTTATAAGAGATGGGGTTTCACCATATTGGTCAGGCTGGTTTCAAACTCCTGACCTCAGGTGATCCACCCTCCTCAGCCTGCCAAAGTGCTGGGATTACAGGCATCAGCCACTGTGCCCGGCCCACCACCCTGGTTTTATAGATACGTACACTGAGGCTCAGAGAGGCCCAGGCATCTGTCCAGGAAGCCACAGCCAGTCAGGTGGCACAGGTGGACTCTACCCCAGGCCTGCCTGTTGCCTTGTCTTTGGCCAACACTCCACCACCTGCCGTCAAATTAGAAAAGACCAACACTTGCTTGGAGCAGCTGGGTGAGGGCTATATTGTTTGCCTGGAAAAAACTATGTCTGTGTCATACGCACACATTGGGCAGCTGGGTGAGGGCTGTATTGTTTGCTGGAAAAAACTATGTCTGTGTCATACGCACACATTTTGGTTTTCCCGGGCAAGTACCTTAACCCTGAGTATGGAAGATATTCATCCTGCAGAGGTTGGGCTGGGCAGGGAGGTGAGGCCTTTCCATGAGTTACCTGCCGCTCTGGTCTCTGTGCTCAGAGCCTGGAAAGTGGTCCACTCTGCATTTCCCTGGCTGTTTCCATCTGCAGCTTGTTCGGCTGCTGCAAGCCAGGGCTGGAGACCAGGCTCCACCAGAGAGCCAGCCAACCTGTGGCTGACTTGCTGTGGTGCTTCTGGGATGCTGGGGACGACACCCGCCCGGCACCGTGGCGTGTTCCTTGAGTTAGAAGATACAGCCCCTTATTTGCACCTGTGTCCTGTTTTCATAACAGGAAGGCGTTTACAGTTTCTCAGCAGAAGCTGAGTTGAGTTCCCCCTTCTCTTCATCTGGGATTTCATTTGCATGATTCTGCTGGGAATTGGCTCCCGCTCCGTCGCTGTTTTTGTGGCTGTTTCTAATTAGACAGATGACGGCCTGCAGTATTTTCCCGGACATACTTAGCGGGAAATGTGGAGTTCCTGCAGTTGTTTCACGTGCCTGGTTCTTTAGCAGATGACCGTCGGCTCTTTCCCCTCTCATGACCCCACTGTCCTTGCCCTTAACCCCGGAGCAGGGTCTTTCTGGGGCAGAATGAAATGGCCTTGGAAGAAGTTTTCAGGAACGCAAAACTGGCCAAGTTTTTCTGACTGGAAGGCAGGAAAAATACTGATTTTATTTTTTAACACCCATGGAAGAAGTTTTGGATTATTTTTCCCAAAGAGTAAACTGTATATGCATGAACAAACAGATTTGTATTGTTTATTTGTAAGCCGGGGATGGGGGGAGGGGGCTTTGTATTAATGGGTGGCGTGTTCATATGTCGCCTAAAACCTGATGCTCCCAAAAGATAAATGCTAGACATAGGTTAATCTGGGACAGGGTGAGCAAGACAGGGCGCCAGGCCAGGCTCCCAGAGCCTGGAGAGGGACCCCCTACTTCCTGTGCCCTTGGCCAGGGGCCCCATCTGACCCAGGCCTGGTTTGTCCGGCCCAAGAGCTATGCACTTTGCATTTCTAAATGTCTGAAAAAAATCAAAAGAAGAGTAAATATTTCATGCTGTGGACATTTTATGAAATTGGAATTTCAGCACCATAAATAAAAGCTTATCGGAGCTTGGCCACAGCCACCGGGTCGCCTCTTCTGTGGCCGCATTCCTGCTGCAGAGACAGAATTCAGGAGCTGCAAGGCCAGGATCTGCACCTCAAGCAAAGATGTCCCCACCTGGCCTTTCAGGGAATGCACGCACTGGGCCTGCTGTGGGAGGGGCATTTCCCTGAGCGTGGACCCGCGGTCATTGCTGGGCGAGGATTGGTGGTGATGAGGAAGGGGTTGGAAGTTCTAGGAAGTGTAACTGGCAGGGTCCCTGCTCCCACAGTAGCCCCATCTTCTTGGCAGAGGCAAGACCTGATCTCCTCTCAAAGGCATGGGAGCGAGTGGGCCAGGGTGCCGGACCATCGGGGGACAGGGGAACCTTCCCAAGAGTGGCTCCTGGGGTTTTGGAGGGCTTGACCTGGGCTGGGGTTGACCCCTCAACTACCTACGCAAGGGTGCTGCGGGTGTGACGTGTAAATCCATAGTAATCAAGTGCAGATGTAAGAGCAATAAATGAGGTAGTTGAAAAAAACAGTATCCTGGATGTGGATGGGTGTTGTGGCGGGGAAGTCACCAAAGGTGACGGATGCGCTTTCTTGAAGCTGTTTATCCGAAGGCCATTTCCAAAGCCGCCAGTGCCAATATTATCGTAGGTTGCCCAGGCTGGGCCATGTTTCAGGGTGACATGAAACTTCACTGTCCCTTGAGACCCACGTGCCTGGCCCGCACAGGAGAGCCTGGGAGCCTGTGCCTTCCTGGCTCTGGGAGCTCCTTCCTGCCTGCTGAGGCACTCTTAAGTTCTCTTCTCATGTCTCTTTTTAAGCAATACCAAAAAAATGGGGTCAGTGAACACCCCAGGACACTTACGGGGAGATGCAGTGCTCTGCAGCAGGCTGCATTGGGTTGCCTGGCTGCCCACCTCTTACCTCTCAGGGGCCCGGGGCCTCAGGTGCGCCCCTCAGTCTGTGCCCCCATGCTCCGGAGGCACTGCAGTGGCTGCAAGGACCAGGAGCACACGAGCATTCGGGGGGACCGAGGCTCCCGCCCACCCGGGGTCCATTTGGAGGTACAGCCCCTATGCGGCCACCCTGGGCTATGAGGGAGACAGCCTCTGGTGCTGGAGCGGCCAGTGGGGAGAGGCGGCCCCCAGGGCTCTCCTGTCAGAGGCAGGTGCCCCTTCTACTCCTCCCCAGCCTGCAGTCACCCGCAGGAGTCTGGAATGGGTTTTCCAGGTGGGGATTTTGCTTTGGACTGGAGGCAGGAAGACCTCTGAGCCGCAGATTTCCTGGGTGCCTCCTGTCAGATCCACCTGCTTCTTTTCGCAGGGATGGAAGCCCGGAGGCCAGGCTGAGTTACCACAGCACAAAACTGTAGCAGGGAGAGGCTCAGCCTTCTTTCTTCTGTGGTAATTGATCGTTGGTGCAGAAAATTAGAGTTGCTTTAGATCTCGCTCTGCAAGGCTCTGGGGAGCGTGTCTGAATCCTGAGGGCCCTGCTTGTGACGCGAGAGAGGTGGGAGGGTGGCAGGGGCCTTGTGCAGCGGCTTGGGGACTCGGGCCCCAAGATCACCAGGTCTAGGAACCAGGGGCCACCTGTGTGACTCATTCATTTACTTTTAATTAAAGGAGTATTCTTTTTAAGAAAAAATATACAACATACTCCAAAACGGCCGGACACAGTGGCTCACGCCTGTAGTCCCAGCACTTTGGGAGGCCAAGGCGGGTGGATCACCCGAGATCAGGAGTTCGAGACCAGCCTGGCCACCATGGTGAACCTCATCTCTACTAAAAATACAAAAAATCAGCCAGGCCTGGTGGCGGATGCCTGTAATCCCAGCTACTTGGGAGGCTGAGGCAGGAGAATTGCTTGAACCTTGGAGGCGGAGGTTGCAGGGAGCCGAGATTGCACCACTGCACTCCAGCCTGGGCAACAAGAGCAAAACTCCGTCTCCAAAAAAAAAGAAATCTAAAACTAAGAATAACGGTTTCCCTGCCCAAGTCTCATCCGACCGTTTTCATTTTAGTTCTGCTGCTGGCCGCTTTTCCACCACAAGGCCGCCATGTGTGACCTCCTCTACTTCAGGCCGTCCCTGGGGATTCGCTGCTGGGAAGAAGAGGAATTTAGCAAATTTAGATTTCCACTCTTCTCCCCTTTCTGCCTGTTTGGAATTTTGTTGGTTATGTGATCTGACATGAACCAGGCTCCTGACATTTCAACTTGACCCTCCAAACAGTTGTCTTCCACAGTCTCTCTATAGGCTGATTATAAAAAGTTGAACCCAGTAAAACAAGGTTTACTGTTATGATTATTTTAAGACATGATGCATTACAAAAAAGTGAAACATCACCTTAAGAAGAAAATGATATTGTCATTAAATCCCAGAGAAGCCTAATATTTAAATATTATGACTGCATTTTTACATTTGCTGATTAAACTCAGAAACCTAAAATCGTAATAAAAATTATAATGTAGTTCTTCCTTTCAATTTGTCAGTACTTTGATTTACTTCCCAGTCTTCTTTGTAAATAGCTTTCTGTCCTATGCTTTTAGTATTATCTCAGTTCCTTCTTTTCTGAGTCTATATTAATTGGAGAGAAAAAATGGCTTTTTTTTACCCTCGTTGATCTTGATCAATATATATTCCTCAACATTTTCATTGACAAGAATTTTAAAATAATTTACTGGATGATTACTTGAGAGTTGTGTTAACCTGACATCTTGTCTTGGGAAGCTGAGATGGGAGCCGCTGGTTGAGTGAAGCAGAGCTTTGGATGAGGAGGACCTCCTGGGTCAGCCTCCTGCCTCCTGAGAGAGCAGTTACAAGTCCAGGCCCCTATTTATAGGGAGCTGAGATCTCCACAGACCTGAGTGAGGATTTGGTTCGTGGCTCCCAAATGCAGTGGGAGCTGGCTGTTTAGGGGCGTCATCACCACCAGAGAGCCTCCACCAGCACTTGCCTTCCCCCAGTGGATCCTGCAGGTGGCCCTCCTTTTATTCAGCCTAGTGGTTCGGCAGGTGCTGGTGGAGAGTGGGTGCTGGTGGAGTGGGTGCTGGTGGAGCGGGTGCTGGTGGAGAGTGGGTGCTGGTGGAGAGTGGGTGCTGGTGGAGTGGGTGCTGGTGGAGAGTGGATGCTGGTGGAGAGTGGGTGCTGGTGGAGTGGATGCTGGTGGAGTGGGTGCTGGTGGAGAGTGGGTGCTGGTGGAGCGGGTGCTGGTGGAGCGGGTGCTGGTGGAGAGTGGGTGCTGGTGGAGTGGGTGCTAGTGGAGAGTGGGTGCTGGTGGAGAGTGGGTGCTTGTGGAGCGGGTGCTGGTAGAGTGGATGCTGGTGGAGCGGGTGCTGGTGGAGAGTGGGTGCTGGTGGAGCGGGTGCTGGTGGAGCGGGTGCTGGTGGAGAGTGGGTGCTGGTGGAGAGTGGGTGCTGGTGGAGCGGGTGCTGGTAGAGTGGATGCTGGTGGAGTGGGTGCTGGTGGAGAGTGGGTGCTGGTGGAGCGGGTGCTGGTGGAGCGGGTGCTGGTGGAGAGTGGGTGCTGGTGGAGCGGGTGCTGGTGGAGAGTGGGTGCTGGTGGAGAGTGGGTGCTGGTGGAGTGGGTGCTAGTGGAGAGTGGGTGCTGGTGGAGAGTGGGTGCTTGTGGAGCGGGTGCTGGTAGAGTGGATGCTGGTGGAGTGGGTGCTGGTGGAGAGTGGGTGCTGGTGGAGTGGGTGCTGGTGGAGCGGGTGCTGGTGGAGAGTGGGTACTGGTGGAGCGGGTGTTCATAGAGTGGGTGCTGGTGGAGTGGGTGCTGGTGGAGAGTGGGTGCTGGTGGAGCAGGTGCTGGTGGAGAGTGGGTGCTGGTGGAGTGGGTGCTGGTGGAGTGGGTGCTGGTGGAGAGTGGGTGCTGGTGGAGTGGGTGCTGGTGGAGTGGGTGCTGGTGGAGAGTGGGTGCTGGTGGAGTGGGTGCTGGTGGAGTGGGTGCTGGTGGAGAGGGTGCTGGTGGAGTGGGTGCTGGTGGAGAGTGGGTGTTCATAGAGTGGGTGCTGGTAGAGCGGGTGCTGGTGGAGAGTGGGTGTTCATAGAGTGGGTGCTGGTGGAGAGTGGGTGCTGGTGGAGAGTGGGTGCTGGTGGAGAGGGTGCTAGTGGAGAGGGTGCTGGTGGAGAGTGGGTGCTGGTGGAGTGGGTGTTCGTAGAGTGGGTCCTGGTGGAGAGTGGGTGCTAGTGGAGAGTGGGTGCTGGTGGAAAGTGGATGCTGGTGGAACGGGTGCTCATCTAACATGTGTCACCTCCAAAGGCTTCACACCTCCTAATACCACCACCGTGTGCTGCTGTCTCCAGCTGTCCCCCAGAAACGCTGAGCCCCCAGCGGCCTGGGTCTGGGTGTTTGTAGATCCATGTGCTACGGTCAGACTTGAGCAAGTTCCTGACCTTCAGGCTTGGGCAACACCTGTATTTATAGACGTGGCCCACACCTACCAAGTGAGCAGCAGACGGCAGCTGTTCTTCGGCGTGTGTCTCCTTTGACACAGCAGTGCCATTTCTAGGAACCTGTTTCATAAGTATATTAACACGCATCACAGATGGGATGTACCGAAAGCTTGTCATTGCAGGGCTATTTATAATAGTGCAAAACTGGAGGAACCCAGATGTTCTCCTCTCCGCAGCTGCGTGTGCTCCTCTGGTGGGCTGGGTGGCGGGAAGGGCTTGGAGACAGTGTGTGCTGTTTGCATTGGGCAGCCTGGGCAGCCCCACAAACACCATGGATGGGGCAGCTTGAATCACAGATTTATTTTCTCACAGTGGTGGAGGCTGGAAGTCTGAGATCAAAGATGCCAGCAGAGTTGGGTTCTGGTGAGGGCCTCTTGCAGGTCTGCAGATGATGGCATCTCTCTGTGTCCTCACATGGTGGAGAAAGAGAAACACGCTCTCTGGGTTGCTTCCTCTTCCTAGAAGGACACGAATCTCATGATGGGGCTTGTTCTCAGGACCTCATCTAAAGTGCGTGGCCTCCAAAGCCTCCCCTCCTGATAACACCACCGCGTGGGGGTGACAGCGGGAGGACCGATGGGAGCCGCCTTGCCGGCCTCCTGGGGCCGGGCAGGTGCGGAGTGGGAGCGCAGTCAGGAGCGCATCTTGTTCAATGGCCCTGACTTTGGAACCTTCAGAGTGTTTGAGATAAAGAAAGGGAAGCTCCAAGCTGGCTCCGGCTGTCCCTTAGGCATGCTGCACCCCAGCCCTGCTGCACCCCAGCCCCGCTGCACCCCAGCCCCGCTGTGGCTTCCGTTAGAGGTCCTTTCCTCACCCTGTCTTCTGTGGGGCCGTGCACAGTGTCCATTCAGCAAACACCACACACCCTGCCCTCGTCAGATCAAGCACCCGCACTCTGGGGCCCTCTCTGACCCTGCAGCCATAGCTACTCCCGGGCCTCCTCCTGAGCCTTTCACTGCAGCGAGCGCCGTGGTCACCTGCTGGTGCCTGGCCTCCTCCTCACCGAACAGCAGTGCTCGTGGTCCCCGCACCTGTGGTCAGCATTGCCCATGAACTGCAGATGTGTCGCTAGTACCAATGAGTGAGCGGCGAGCACAGGGGCTGGGATATTCTTTGCAGTTCCACGGGTGGGATCAGAGCCAGGGCGCAGGGACCAGACGGAGCCTGGCTCCCGTGGGGAAGACCGGCCACCAGCTCCCTCCCGCGGTGAACTGGCAGCCTCAGCAGATCATGCCTGTCACCGTGCTGTCTGTGAAATCAGACAACACCATGGTCAAGGGCGCTGCAGGACTGTGTTTTGGAGCCAGCATTCTGCATCATCAGTGACTCCTTAAAAAAACTGTACTTGATAAAACCTGTACACGTAGAGAGGTTCTTAACAAACCCAGCCGGGCACACCAGACTCCACGTGCTCTTGGTGATTTGTGTCTCATACAGGAAGTGAGGTGATCCAAATCGATACCATAAAAGATGTCCCCGTTTCTATGAACTGGGCGTGCCCAGTGCCCGTGCAACTCAGATGCCTGGGAGAGGAGGTTCCGTCACACCATGGCCTGGAGGTGAGGGCAGCTCAGGGAGCTCTCACTGTTTCTTCCTTGCGGGGCGAGTCGGGGGTTCTGGGTGCGTGACTGCATCAGGGACCCCTCTCCCCTTCCTCTGCCATCGTGGGTCAGGGCGGAACCTCCCCGGCCTCTGTTTCTGCCTCTGTAAAGGAGGATTGAGAATCACTTGGGCTTCTTATGACTTTTGTCATTCTAGTCAGGAAGAGGCTTCCTGCGAAGGGCGGAGGCTGACTGGGTTCTTGGTGTTTGGGTGGGATTGAGCAAAGCCCTTCAGTCCATCCACAGGGGGCCTCAGGGGCAAACTCCAGGCCCAGACCAAAGAGGAGCTGCTGGAACATGAAAGGGCGAACCTCTTTTAAATCCAGGAGCTTTGTCGGCTAAAGCGTCCTGCTGGGTTGTAAGAAGCATGTTTCCCCCTCTTAACTAATTGCAGAACAATGGCAGGGACAGAGGGTGCGTGATGAGACCTGGGCCTGCGCCAGGGCACATGCCGACAGCCAGCCCAGCCCCACGATCTCAGCTCCAGCAAGGCCAGCTCCAAAACAAACACCAGCTCCCGGGTTTACTTGGCGGGGAGGTGGGAGGATAACTTGAGAAGTCCCATTCATCCTGCAGCTTCCAGGCCTGGGCGTGCCCCCCTTGTTCTCGGGACAAAGCTCATTGTTCCAGCTGGAGAAGAGCTCCGCTGAGGATTGCCTGCGTTTGGTTTCCGTTCTCTCGCTTTGTGTAACTTTCCAGTGCCTTAAGAGTTCCTCTTTAGCCCTTAGGGTGCTGACGTAAGTGTGGTAAAACGTAGATCCTAAATGGGCTCCTCTTAAATGGTGATTCTTCTTCCCTTTAGACAGTCACCGGCATGCTGCTAGGGGAAGGATATCTGCAGATCGTCGCTTTCGGCACCTTGGTACGAATCCCTCCTCTGCACCAAGTTTTAATGAAGAACCCAGAGTGTGTTCATTCCCTGCCTTGTGCAGGGAAATGTCTTCCCCTTTTTTGTCCTCTTCTGTGTAGTTATTGCGTCTTTGACAGCTGATAGCCCCTCCGCAGGGATTTCTTTTGTTCCATTTTTGGAAGACTTTTGGCAACCTCGTGCTTCCAAAAATTTGGGTGAAAAGTGTGGGTTGATTATTTACACAAAAGTCAGACATATCACAATTAAATCATAATTTCTTTCTGATTACTTCGATTTGACAGTTTGATGTTCAGAAGGCGTGGATGAGGCATCTGGGATTGATGAGCAATGCAGCATGCTCTCAGTTTGTATTATTAGTGGGGCAGGTGATGCTTAGAGCTGATTGGTGAGCACTGCAGCGTGCTCTCAGTTTGTATTATTAGTGGGGCAGGTGATGTTTAGAGCTGATCGCTGAACACTGAAGCGTGCTCTCAGATTGTATTATTAGTGGGGCAGGTGATGCTTAGAGCTGATTGGTGAGCACTGCAGCGTGCTCTTAGATTGTATAATTAGTGGGGCAGGTGATGTTTAGAGCTGATCGCTGAACACTGAAGCGTGCTCTCAGATTGTATTATTAGTGGGGCAGGTGATGCTTAGAGCTGATTGGTGAGCACTGCAGCGTGCTCTTAGATTGTATAATTAGTGGGGCAGGTGATGTTTAGAGCTGATCGCTGAACACTGAAGCATGCTCTCAGATTGTATTATTAGTGGGGCAGGTGATGCTTAGAGCTGATTGGTGAACAGTGAAGCGTGCTCTCGGATTGTATTATTAGTGGGGCAGGTGATGCTTAGAGCTGATTGGTGAACAGTGAAGCGTGCTCTCGGATTGTATTATTAGTGGGGCAGGTGATGCTTAGAGCTGATTGGTGAACAGTGAAGCGTGCTCTCGGATTGTATTATTAGTGGGGCAGGCGATGCTTAGAGCTGATTGGTGATCACTGAAGTGTGCTCTCGGATTGTATTATTAGTGGGGCAGGTGATGCTTAGAGCTGATTGGTGAACACTGCAGCGTGCTCTCAGGTTGTATTATTAGTGGGGCAGGCGATGCTTAGAGCTGATTGGTGAACACTGAAGCATGCTCTCAGATTGTATTATTAGTGGGGCAGGCGATGCTTAGAGCTGATTGGTGAACACTGAAGCGTGCTCTCAGATTGTATTATTAGTGGGGCAGGTGATGTTTAGAGCTGATTGGTGAACACTGAAGCGTGCTCTCAGATTGTATTATTAGTGGGGCAGGTGATGCTTAGAGCTGATTGGTGAACACTGCAGCGTGCTCTCAGGTTGTATTATTAGTGGGGCAGGTGACTGGCTTCTGGCAATGCCAGCAGGATGTAAGATTCTGTGGCTTGCAGTGAGACCGTGTCCGATTTGTGACTTAAACAGTTGTTACTGCACTTGCTCCCTGGAGGACTTGATATCACATGGAGGCAGGACTGTGACCCAGTGAATACCAGGCTGCCAGTGGGACAGGGAAGCCCCACCCTCCCAGATAGATCTTTAGGTGCTGGACAGACCAGCTCCCAATTTCATAGAATAACCCGGGAGCTCCTAACTCTCACTGAAGGTCAGAGACGCTGGGACGGTCTCTGGGTTTGAGAGCCCAGGAATCGGAGGGCAGGGTAGAACTTGAATCTGGCATCCAGTCGGATCCAAGTTCTCGCTCTGACTGAGGTCTGGAGACCCTGAAGAAGCTGGATCAGAGAAGCCAGTAGCCTTGACGGTGTCCAAGCCACATGGATGCCTGAGCGGCAGGGCCTGGAGTGCCTGGGGGAGGCCGTAATGGACGGAGAACTGCTCCTTGTAGCCCCACACTCCACGCGGGAAACTCTCCAAAAGGGCTGGTGACACTCCACGCGTCCCAGGTCGTGGGCAGCCGTGCCCTGCACCCTGCGTCCCAGGTCATAGGCAGCCGCACCTGCATCCCAGGTCGTGGGGAGCTGCACCCTGCATCCTGTGTCCCAGGTCATGGGCAGCCGCACCTGCATCCCAGGTTGTGGGGAGCTGCACCCTGCACCCTGCATCCCAGGTCACGGGGAGCTGCACCCTGCACTCTGCACCCTGCGTCCCAGGTCACAGGGAGCTGCACCCTGCACCCTGCGTCCCAGGTCGTGGGGAGCCGCACCCTGCACCCTGCGTTCCAGGTCATGGGGAGCTGCATCCTGCACTCTGCGTCCCAGGTCGTGGGCAGCTGCACTCTGTACCCTGCATCCCAGGTCGTGGGGAGCCGCACCCTGCACCCTGTGTCCCAGGTCGTGGGCAGCTGCACCCTGCATCCCAGGTCATGGGGAGCTGCATCCTGCACCCTGTGTCCCAGGTCATGGGGAGCTGCACCCTGCACCCTGCATCCCAGGTCGTGGGGAGCCGCACCCTGCATCTGGGCTCATGGGGAGTGGCACATGGCTGCCTCCTACATTCACCCCTCCCAACCCCAGCCTTCATGGAGGGAGTGTCTTCAGTGGGTCATGTGGGTTTGGGAGTGAACTGAGCCGGTCTGCCTCTCCCTCAGGGGAGGCCCAGGGCCCCTGGGATGTGTGCAGACATGCTCTGCTCTCACGGCTCCGGGGAGGCCCAGGGCACTGGGATGTGTGCAGACGTGCCCTCTGCTCTCACGGCTCTCACGTGATGGGCAGTGCCGGGCGACATCAGGGTTGAGCTCTTAGTACTGTTGTCTTTTTTTCTGTAACTTCAGTTAATTTTTAGTTGGTTACTAACTAGCTCGTGTGTGCATCCTCTCATTACATCCTCAGAATACACTGACGGATGATGCATCATCTGCTCTTATTAATGTCATGTGATAATGGTTGCTCCCCAAGACTTGTATGAAAAGAAAGTAAGTCTTGGGACCCCCAAATCACTAAGTTAAAGGGAAGAGTCAAGCTGGGAACTGCTCAAGGCAAAGCTGCCTCCCATTGTATTCAAAGCCACCCTCTGCTCACCGAGACATGCATATCTGACTGCATCCCTTGGAAAAGATCATCAGAAACTCAAGACAGTGCAGCCATTTGTCTCTTATCTACCTGTGACCTGGAAGCTCCCTCCCCTCTTGGAGTTGCCCCCCCTTCACCTGGAGCTGCCCCCCCTTCACCTGGAGTTGTCCCCCCCTTTACCTGGAGCTGCCCCCCTTCACCTGGAGCTGTCCCCCCTTCACCTGGAGTTGCCCTCCCTTCACCTGGAGTTGCCCCCCTTCACCTGGAGTTGTCCCCCACCTTCACCTGGAGTTGCCCTCCTTCACCTGGAGTTGCCCCCCCCTTCACCTGGAGTTGCCCCCCTTCACCTGGAGTTGTCCCCTACCTTCACCTGGAGTTGCCCTCCTTCACCTGGAGTTGCCCCCCCCTTCACCTGGAGTTGCCCCCCCTTCACCTGGAGTTGTCCCTCTTTCACCTGGAGTTGTCCCCCGCTTCACCTGGAGTTGTCCTTCCTTCACCTGGAGCTGTCCCCCGCTTCACCTGGAGCTGTCCCCCCCTTCACCTGGAGTTGCCCCCCTTCACCTGGAGTTGCCCTCCCTTCACCTGGAGTTGTCCCCCACCTTCACCTGGAGTTGCCCTCCTTCACCTGGAGTTGCCCCCCCTTCACCTGGAGTTGCCCCCCTTCACCTGGAGCTGTCCCCCCTTCACCTGGAGTTGCCCTCCCTTCACCTGGAGTTGCCCCCCTTCACCTGGAGTTGCCCTCCCTTCACCTGGAGTTGCCCCCCTTCACCTGGAGTTGTCCCCTACCTTCACCTGGAGTTGCCCCCCCTTCACCTGGAGTTGTCCCCTACCTTCACCTGGAGTTGCCCTCCCTTCACCTGGAGTTGTCCCCCACCTTCACCTGGAGTTGCCCTCCTTCACCTGGAGTTGCCCCCCCTTCACCTGGAGTTGCCCCCCTTCACCTGGAGCTGTCCCCCCTTCACCTGGAGTTGCCCTCCCTTCACCTGGAGTTGCCCCCCTTCACCTGGAGTTGCCCTCCCTTCACCTGGAGTTGCCCCCCTTCACCTGGAGTTGCCCCCCCCTTCACCTGGAGTTGCCCCCCCTTCACCTGGAGCTGTCCCCCGCTTCACCTGGAGCTGTCCCCCCCTTCACCTGGAGTTGCCCCCCTTCACCTGGAGTTGCCCTCCCTTCACCTGGAGTTGCCCTCCCTTCACCTGGAGTTGCCCCCCCTTCACCTGGAGTTGTCCCCCACCTTCACCTGGAGCTGCCCCCCCTTCACCTGGAGCTGTCCCCCCTTCACCTGGAGTTGTCCCCCCTTCACCTGGAGTTGCCCCCCCTTCACCTGGAGTTGTCTCTCCTTCACCGGGAGTTGTCCCCCGCTTCACCTGGAGTTGTCCCTCCTTCACCTGGAGTTGTCCCTCCTTCACCTGGAGCTGTCCCCCACTTCACCTGGAGCTGTCCCCCCCTTCACCTGGAGTTGCCCTCCCTTCACCTGGAGTTGCCCCCCTTCACCTGGAGTTGTCCCCTACCTTCACCTGGAGTTGCCCCCTACCTTCACCTGGAGTTGCCCCCCCTTCACCAGGAGTTGCCCCCCCCTTCACCTGGAGTTGTCCCTCTTTCACCTGGAGTTGTCCCCCGCTTCACCTGGAGTTGTCCCTCCTTCACCTGGAGCTGTCCCCCCTTCACCTGGAGCTGTCCCCCCTTCACCTGGAGTTGTCCCCCCTTCACCTGGAGTTGCCCCCCTTCACCTGGAGCTGCCCTCCCTTCACCTGGAGCTGCCCCCCCTTCACCTGGAGCTGTCCCCCCTTCACCTGGAGTTGTCCCCCCCTTCACCTGGAGTTGTCCCGCCTTTCTAGACTGAACTAAATTCATCTTACATATATTGATTGATGTCTCGTGCCTCCCTAAAATGTATAAAACCAAGCACTTTGAGAGGCCGAGGTGCGTGGATCACCTGAGGTCAGGAGTTCGAGACCAGCTTGGCCAACTCGGTGAAACCTCATCTCTAAAAATACAAAAAATTAGCTGGGCGTAGTGGCGGGTGCCTGTAGTCCCAGCTACTCGGGAGGCTGAGGCAGGAGAATTGCTTGAACCTGGGAGACGGAGGTTGCAGTGAACCGAGATCACGCCAGTGCACTCCAGCCTGGGCGACAGAGCGAGACTCTGTCTCAAAACAAAACAAAACCAAAAGAAAACAAAAAAAACAAGCTGTGCCCTGAAGACTTTGGACATTTGTCGTCGGGACCTCCTGAGGCTGTGTCATGGGCATGTCCTCGACCTTGGCAAAACAAACTTTCTAAATTGGCCGAGACCTGTCTGAGATATTTGGGGTTCACACATGTCACTGGGGTGGCATCTGTGACATGTGGGAGAGTCAGCCTCTGTCTCCTCTTCTCTCTTAGAGCAGCTCCTTGCCCCGTCCATGCAGCCCTGGTGGGGCCTGCCCCAGGCTGAGGCTATTCCCTGCGTCCTGGAGGAAGCCTCGGTGACAGGGGACACTGTGCCGGGGTTGGGGGGGTGGCACCTGGCAGGGGGAGAGGATGGGCAGGACCCCAATTCCCGTTGCCTGGAAGCCAAGATAGATCTTCACTCCACTCAAGCCTCCTCTGCTCCTTCTGCCTTCAGGTATTTGCGATACTCCAGGATCCCACAAGAAATGACCCTCACAGCCAAAGGATTGAGGCCAGGTTTCTTTAGCTGAGGGCCAGGCAGGTCCTGACTAACGTAATTTGATCTCATTAATGGTATTAGTGGGCGTGTTATGTCTTACTCCGTTCAGGCGTCTCTGAGGAGCCATAGGCGGGGCAGCCTGTAAACACAGCAGCAGTTACCAATTCACCCCTGCAGCTCTGGAGGCTGGAAGTCCAAGATCAAGCACCAGCCAATTGGGTGTCTGCTGAGGGCCACCCGGGTTCAGAGAAGGGACCTTCTCCTCGTGTCCTCTCACATTGTGGACAGGACAAGACCGCTGTCGGGGTTCTTTCATAAGGGCAGTCATCCCACCCTGGGGGCACCACCGCCATAGCCTCCTCACCTCCCAGAGGCCCCACCTCCCAACACCATCCCTTGGGGATTAGGTCTTAGCACAAATTTGACGGGGTGCGAACGCTCAGTCTGCAGCCGTGGGGGCTCAGGGAGCCATGAGCACTACCACTGGACCCAGGCAGCTGGACACCCCTGACCCCATCCTGCGTCCCCCACCCCATTCCGCACCTCCCACCTTGAGCCCGCTTCTCTGCGGCTCCCCTTCACCCGCAGGGGAAGTAAGGGGCATCCTGAGGTTTCCCACCTCAGTGGTCCTACCCACTCTTCCTCCAAAATACACCCTTGCCCTCCACTCTGGGCACCCATTTCTCCTGCGACTGCCGGTGTGCAGGCTTGAAACTCGTCCGTGCCCTTCATGTCACTGTGGCCGCCTGCACGAGTGGCTCAGGTCACATATGTTAAGTACAGAAGCGAGTACATTATGAAGTCCTAATCCTTCACAGACTTCAGTGGGCCACGTGAGACTTCCTGACATTCACCCCAAGTGCATGGATGTACTCACCCCTGTGGTAAAGCACTGCCATCTGTGACTCTCGGAACACAAGCTCTGAGTGTTGCTTCAGTGATGAAAGGCAGTCCTTAGTAGGAAGCACTGAAGCGATTTTAGGTCAGGCAAATGTTAATGGAAAACCACATGGCCTGGCTTTGGGATGCAGCTTTTCAAACTCCCCCAGCCTCCCACTTTCAGCAAGACTGGGACGGGGAGATAGGACTCAGCCTCCCGCCTTTCCCAGCGGGGCCAGGTGGTGGCTTCTGTCCTGTATTCATCCTGGGAGAGGGCGTGTGGCATCGGTTATAATTCCAACCTTTAAAATCAGTAAAGCACTTTGCATATTTGCCTCTCTGAAGCAGCACAGTCTAAGAGCCTTTGGGTTATATTGATTTTTTGTTGTTGTTGAGACAGAGTCTCGCTGTGTCGCCCAGACTGGAGTGTAGTGGCTCCATCTCAGCTCACTGCAACCTCTGCCTTCCGGGTTCAAGTGATTCTCCCACCTCAGCCTCCTGAGTAACTGGGATTACAGGTGTGCGCCACCACGCCTGGCTAATTTTTTGTATTTTTAGTAGAGACAGGGTTTCACCATGTTGGCCAAGCTGGTCTCGAACTCCTGACCTCAAGTGATCCACCCACCTCCGCCTCCCACTGTGCCTGGCCTTGGTTGTGTTGCTGTATCCTGTGTGTTCTCACTGCTGAGCAACACGAATGACAAAGAACCACAACATCATCGCCGTGATTTACTTCAGGAAGGCACATTCGAGTTGAAATCCTGTACCTTAATGAGGAGCTTAAAATGATATTTCTGCCATTAGCTTCAAGATAATTTTTAACATCGTGACCCAAATGTGATCAAAAATCTTAGGTAACATGTTAAGATGCGCAAAATACTCAAAGAAAAAAAAAATCCAGACAATGGCTGGATGTGGTGGCTCATGCCAGTAATCCTAGCACTTTGGGAGCCTGAGGCGGGTAGATCACCTGAGGTCAGGAGTTGGAGACCAGCCTGGCCAACAAGGCGAAACCCCGTCTCTACTAAAAATACAAAAATTAGCTGGGCGCAGTGGCATGCGCCTGTAATCCCAGCTACTTGGGAGGCTGAGGCAGGAGAATTGCTTGAACCCGGGAGGCGGTGGTTGCAGTGACCTGAGATCGCGCCACTCCACTCCAGCCTGGGTGATAGAGTGAGACTCTGTGTCAAAAAAAAATAAATAAAAATACAAATCTAGACAACAAAGATAAAGTCATAATAAAAATATATTGAGAAAAAGACAATTCACCTCTGCAATGCATAGCTTGTGGGGAATATTTGCAGGTAACCCCTGGCTCTTATTAGTTAGAAACATAGGCCTATCTTACATGACTAGTGCAAGAAGAAACAAAAGGCAAGAGTTCCCATCACATCATGAGAGTAACTTCTTACATTTCAATGCTCTCACCTGAAATTTTCATTCCATAATTGAGATAATTTTCGTTCTCGAACCGAACGATATAGTGTATAACTTTGAATTTGTTGGCAAATTGGCAAACTCTTATTTATTTTTGTTTGTTTGTTTGTTTGTTTTGGTGAGACAGAGTTTCGCTCTTGTTGCCCAGGCTGGAGTGCAATGGTGCTACCTTGGCTCACTGCAACCTCCACCTCCTGGGTTCAAGGGATTCTCCTGCCTCAACCTCCCGAGTAGCTGGGATTACAGGCACCCACCACCACGCCCAGCTAATTTTTTGTATTTTTAATAGAAACGGGGTTTCACCATGTTGGCTAGTCTGGTCTTGAATTCCTGACCTCAGGTGATCCGCCGGCCTCGGCCTCCCAAAGTGCTGGGATTACAGGCATGAGCCACTGTGCCTGGCCAAATTCTTAATTTTCTATATTTAAAAATGAATTCAAACACATCTGAGACTTGCGTATGGGAAAAGTCAAGATTGTTTTATTTTAAAAATCAGTATTATGGAAGGTATTAGAATAAACTTTATAACATAATCTTTAGTGACCGCTTTTTAGAATTCATAACTTTGGCATGATTAAATTAAGCATTACCAAGTGGTCTGTGCATTTTAGTTTACTGTGAAAGGGAATCTAATGGCAAAAGTCCCTGGAGGGAATTAGATTAAAACTTGGATCTCCAAGCTTCCTTTTAGTTCTAACCTTCAACTATTCTGTGGTTCTGCAGTGACTTGTGATTTTGATATTGAGTGTAAACCTGTACTTTGATGTTTCGTTCCAAACACTACAATTCTTGACATTTTTTTTTTCTGGTAGGATTTTTAGTACATTAAGATTTGAGAATAATGGAAACATTACAGCAAAACAAAAGGAAACACAAAAACTACCCTAAAACTCCTTGACTTGAAGTTCACTTGCTTTTTAAATGTAAAATGTAAATGAATCTGTGTTCTGTTTTTGAGACTGTAAATTGAAAAATTCATAGTTCATGCTTAATAGTTATTGCAGTCTTCTCTTTGAACTTGAGAGGGCTTGTGTTGGCGTCGACGTTCCCTAAGTAGGTCAGAGGCAGCGGCTCTGCTCTAACACTTGGGAGAACTCTTGAATGTAAGTGGAAGAGTCTGGTGAATTCTACCAGGGAGGATTAACCTCTTGAAATGCCTTCAATGAGAGCAATTTTAATGCTGAGAAAAGAGCCCTGGGCCGACTCTAATTGCATTTCTAGTTCTGCCACTTACAGACTGACTGACTTTAGACAAATTACCTGATCTTTCTTAGTTTCTAAATTCCGATTTGTCCAGGAAAGGGATTTCTTCTAACCTGGATCTCATTCTCTCCTCCCTTCCCTCAGTCAGCCACCTTCATGTGCTGTGCCTTAGTGTGCTCGACCATTTCCCCAGGACGTGCCTTTGTTACTCTGAAGTAGGGGGTGACCTTGCCCTACAGTTATCATTTCTGGGAGCTCTCGAGGGTTCCCTGTATGCACCGATCTTCTCCAAGTGCAGGTGCTGCTGCCTAGCTCAGAGGTTGCCTCAGATCCATGCTTTGTGTGCTCAGTGAATGAGCTGATAAGACCCACTGGAATTGCAGGGGATGTTCACAATGGATATTTACAGAGTTTTGCTGTTTATGAAGGACTTTTCACACACAAACTTGTCGTCCTTCTGTGACCTTGTTCACCGCTGCTTACTGTCATTGGTGCTTTATGGTTTAGGGCCCCAGGCTTTAGAAGGGATGCACCCCTCACGCTTACCCAGGCAGGGGTGTGGCGTTTTTATCGCAGTCTCCTGGGGCTTTGGCCTTGGCTTCAGCAAGAGTTCATGGATGCCCTGCCTGATGTTAGCCCTCAGTGTTCATCTGTGTTCCACTTGCTTTAGTAATCACGCCACTTATAGGTTTCCCAGAACTTTCTACAATCTGTCTCCATGCTCATCATGCCAACTTACTTCATAGAGGGCGTGCCAGAGCCCCTTGCTTGTTGGGAGAAGGGTCCTGCAGCTGCGGAGGGCAGGTGACCCAGTGGTCCACTCATTGGCATGTGGCACACAGCTAGGACCACGCCGCCACATCTGCCAGGGTCCCTCTCCAGTACCCTCAGCCCCCTGGGGAGACGTCACTGCAGGAGGACGGGGTGGGAGCACGGAGCCCCAGGGAAGAGCCAAGGAAGGCTTGTTGAAGTGCTCTTTCAATCTTTAAAATTTGGGGGAAGTTTTTCCCCCCCCGTTAGGATTATTTGTGGAACTATTTATTATGATTGTTAAAATAATAATTCTGTTTGTCAAGCTGTTGAGTCATATGTAGGTGCATAATGCAGGGATCAAATGCCTCCCCACAGTCTTATTCTGCCCAGACATGTGCAAAGCTTATTTTAAAAATTGTAAAGTGGGGAGCACTTACATGTGGCACTTAAATTTAAGTACTTTTTAATTGGAGAGTTTAGCTTTACATTTATTGTAAGCTTTATGTCAATGATGACCAGTAAGCTAAGGATCAGACGTGGAAATGCAGAGGAAACAAGCAAATGCCTGCTACTAGTGTTTATGAGTTCGCCTGTGTGTGCAAATGCTTTTCCTATATCTCCTCACACGCACACTTAAAAATATACATAGTGTGTATTTGCGTTATATCTTCAGCATTCCCGAAGAACAATGACTTCCAAACTTTACCTTGCTTAGAATCACCTGGAAATCTTATTTGAACCCACGTTACTGGGAACCACTCCCAGAGTTTCTGATTCTGGAGATTTGGGGTGGGGCCCAGAATTTGCTTTTCTAACAGGCTCCCAAGCACTGGTGCTGTGGAACAGACCCCTCCTGAGCTCTCTAGAATCTCGCAAGTGAGAAATGATTCAGGCAAAAATCAGCCCTTGTATTTGTCTTCGTGACCTTGAAGTTGGGGTTCATATTTGAAACGAACGTTGGCTTCTTGTGTCTGTGGTGTCTTCTTGCCCTGAGCTTGTCTCTCAGGGATGGAGCCACAAGAACCTGGACCCTCTGCCCTTTCTGTTGCTCTGGAGCAGGAGGGTTTCTGAGGCAGCTGCAAGTCCCCTCCAGTAACACGTGTGCAGATGTAGCTGTGTTGTAAGTCAGCCCATCCCAAACACACGGTCCGGTTTGGTGACAATCTTTCTAGCTCCTTTCATGTGCTGTGGTATCAGACAGAAAATGTAAACACACACACATGCAGATGAATATGTGTGGTATAACTATTGGTGTATGAGTGTTTCTTCATCTCTGTTCCTCAGATTAGATCATTTCTAATGTTGAGTAGCTCCCAAGTCCTCTCCCCTCTGCAGTATTCAATATGTTAAGTCCATGCAATGAGCTTTTCATTTCAGCTATTATATTTTTCAGTTCTAGAATTTCAGTTTGGTTCTTTTTTTATGGTTTCACTTTGTCTTCTAAGATAACCCCCTTTGCAGTAAAGGGGACCGTTTGTTTTACCCTCTTCATAGTAGAAGTCTTTTTTGGTGCTCTGCCTTAGAGCATGGTGGGAGGTCTAACTGCTGTGAGCAGCTTGTGAAATGATCCCCTTAACCTAGACCAGTGCCATCCACAGAAATGTGATGAGAACTACTTATGTCATTTAACATTTTCTGGTCACTTTGTGAAAAAACTAGAAATAAACAGTTAATTTTAAAAATGTTTTATTGAACTCTGCATGCCAAACTTGTACATGTTTCAGCATGCACTCAATATAAAATTTTATCGAAGATATATTTATGTTCTATTTGTTTGTAGGAAGTCCTTGAGGTCCAGTGTGAGTTTTGCACTTTTACTCAACACTGGCTACCTCTCAGGTGTTCAGACACAGGGCACAGGGGCCTGTGGATGGGACAGCACCTCTCTGTCCATCACTCTAGGCCACCTCTCAGGTGCTCAGACCCAGGGCATAGGGGCTTGTGGATGGGACAGCACCTCTCTGTCCAGCAGGGCACAGGGGCCTGTGGATGGGACAGCACCTCTCTGTCCAGCAGGGCACAGGGGCCTGTGAATGGGACAGCACCTCTCTGTCCAGCAGGGCACAGGGGCCTGTGGATGGGACAGCACCTCTCTGTCCAGCAGGGCACAGGGGCCTGTGGATGGGACAGCACCTCTCTGTCCAGCAGGGCACAGGGGCCTGTGGATGGGACAGCACCTCTCTGTCCATCACTCTAGGCCACCTCTCAGGTGCTCAGACCCAGGGCATAGGGGCTTGTGGATGGGACAGCACCTCTCTGTCCAGCAGGGCACAGGGGCCTGTGGATGGGACAGCACCTCTCTGTCCAGCAGGGCACAGGGGCCTGTGAATGGGACAGCACCTCTCTGTCCAGCAGGGCACAGGGGCCTGTGAATGGGACAGCACCTCTCTGTCCAGCAGGGCACAGGGGCCTGTGGATGGGACAGCACCTCTCTGTCCAGCAGGGCACAGGGGCCTGTGGATGGGACAGCACCTCTCTGTCCATCACTCTAGGCCACCTCTCAGGTGCTCAGACCCAGGGCACAGGGACTTGTGGATGGGACAGCACCTCTCTGTCCAGCAGGGCACAGGGGCCTGTGGATGGGACAGCACCTCTCTGTCCTTCACTCTAGAGGTTTTGGTGGCACCGACTTCAGATCTGGGGAAAGGCCTGCATGTCAGGAAGGTGGTTTTGTGGCTCTTCCTGCTGTCTTCCCAGGCTCCAGGAGCCAAGTCCACATCTTGCTTTCCAGCTTCCACGCTGTTGCCGCTGCCTCCTCTGTGGCTTGCGTGTGGGTTCCCACGGGGAATGAGGAGCCAGAATAAGTGGGGCTCACTCCATCCTCTGCTCTGGAGGAGCAGCTTGGTTTCTGGATCAGATGTGGTCAGAGTTGATTTTTGCTCTAAGCTGTGATGCGTGGCTCGGCCTTCCGGGACAGCCTTTCTTACCTGTTCAAATGCTGGGAAGCCCCTCAGCTTGCTGTGTCTCAGGTACGGGAGCTTCTTTGCAATTGTTTGTTTATCCTGAAATTGCAGCTGGTCAGAATTCTCTCCTTATCTGTACTTGATCTGTGTCTTCCGTATGGAGTGAGTGGGCATCCTGGATGGCTGCTTTCCCCTCCCGTGTCTTCCTCCAGCACCGCCTCCCAGTTTCGATGCTTCTGACTTTCAGCAGCTCCTACGTGGAGAGTCCGTGGAGCCACTAGTGATATTCTGAATATGAATGTAAATTAAAATCTCATCTGTTTAGAGGGGAGCATGGCGGTGCAGGGGGAGGGTGCGTGTGAGGAGACTGTTGGTGGACAGTGGGTATCACTGAGGAAAGCGAACCCGGGTGCGAGGGCACGGCGTGGAATGATGGCCAGGAGGGCCAGGTGGGCAGAGGGGGGCCGCCTTCCCCTTCTCCTCCAGGAGAACTTGACCCACAGCACAGGGGCGGCGCTGGGAGGGACACATTTCATTCACTGACATCTAGGCTGGATGCTGTTGCTGTCAGTGACACAGATACTTTTTTTGAAGTATCTTATTGAACCATGAACTAGAACCAATTCTACAAACTACTGACAGTGATTACATTGGCATAGGATAATCAGATTCCTTAGAAGGTTATAAACATTTTATGTTATCATACCCTAATGTCCTGACCTTACCTATGATACCCTAATGACCAAACACCTGAGGCACTGGGGCTGAGCATTTCAACATGTGGATTTCGGGGAGACACAGTTCAACCCGTACCGATCCCTACTGGACGATATTAAAAGAGATTGGACCTATGATTAAGGAATTTAATTTTTCTAAGAGTATTTGATAAAGAAATTGGTCTTTCTGTTTATTTTTCAGTGGTTTCTATACCTGTTCAATTTATAGTTTTAATTCAAGCTGGGATGGGCTGTCTGCAAGGGTAGAGCCGACGCCTCTGCATGTCTGCACTTCCCATCGCTGCCTTCAGGCCTCTGACCTGGCTGCCTGTGCTGCCCCCAGGCCCGTGGCCTCCGTGGTTGGGGCCTCCCAGCTTGCTCTGCCTGAGCATCAGATTAGCAGGAATTGAAGTGTTTCTCTTTCCAGCACCAGATTCAGTCTCTGTGTCGATTCTGGCGTACTCTCTGGTCTCTCATGGGCTATTCGGATCCTCTCTCCACCCCCGAAATATGAATAAATAACTGCCTTAACAGTGGACGTTTAACTTTACTGAAAATGCCTGTTTGGAACCATTAGGGTAAAACCCATATGTGAGAAAGCCTATTTTCCCAGTTAGCGTGCTGAATTCACTTTTGTGGTTTTGAAACATTCAGTTTAAATCTCATGAAGGTAGCAGTTTAGGTCGTTGACTAAGGAAGAGCCTAATTCCAGCTCAGGAAATCACTGGAGTAAACTCTAAGGTGTTTACTCAGTTGCACAGGTGGCGTGACTCTCTTCTTGAATGTCATCAAACCTAACCTGTGTTTATTATCCTAAGACTTATCGACACGACATTTTCCAGTGGGTTGCCAGAGATAGGGTGCTTAGGTAGTTTATGTAATTTTTCTCCCCATAATTACTGTTTTTAGAAATTCTGTAATGGGTTACTGGTGTTCCACCATTCAGACACATATTCATACACTTACTAGCCTCAGTGAAAAAGAAGATTCATTGAAGGAGTGAACTGGGTGGTTTAATATTTTAAATGCATTGTCACCATTTTGAAACTAAGAGCAGCAAATGTGTAGCGATGTTTGTAGATTTTTTTTCACGTAATAATACCTTTCTTGTTTCTTCACAGAGATCTTCGCTTTAACAGAATCAGAGAGATCCAACCTGGGGCATTCAGGCGGCTGAGGAACTTGAACACATTGTGAGTGGAAATATTCTATTGGAAACTAATAGAAAAATAGAAATCATTACATTGTTTATCTGTAGGTAGAACTCATCATCCACAATCAGTGGGCTTGGGTGGGGAAAAGTGGAGCAGGAAAGTGAGGCTGGAAAATGCCCCTGAATGCCAGGACTGTGAATGCCAGGACTGTGGCCACTGTGTTTCTCGTCTCATGGCTGTGTGCCTGTCTGTGGCATGTTGATTGGGACCCATGCTGACCGCTAAGCTTGTCCCTGGCCTTCATGTGGGTCACTTGCTCTAGAATCACTCAGTCCTTGCTGGGTCAGGCTGACCTCTGTGTGTTCCTGCACCTCCTCCGTGGCAAGATTGAGCAGGACAGTGCTTCTTCTGAGTGTGGAGTGGACTTAAGTGAGGGTTCAAGGCAGTCCCATGATGCCTGGAGGGAGCAGGCAGGGCCAAGTCCAGCGTTGCTGTGCAGACCTCAGGCTCTGCAGGACACGCCCAGTGCAGTGGAAGCTGGTTCCCTTCTGCACCAGGACTGAGCACAACGGTGTAAGAGCAGGGTCATGGGGACTGTGGGACTGTCTGGGCCGCCTATCCACTGTTGACCCTGGAGGGCAAGTGGCCCGGGGTCTCTCACCCCAGGCCCTTGTCTGTGCGCTCGAATGGAGCACGGGCCACAGGGCCCACCTTTCCTGGCACGTCTGTCCACCCGGACCACCCTCCCACCATGACTGCCTTAGCACTGGCCACAGTCCTGGCTAAAATAGAAAATCTAAGAGACAGCAGGATAAAGATACAAACTCCCTTCTATAGGAGAGAAGGAATTTTTTCTCCGCTGTATCAAAAGGTAGTAACTGTGGAGTGGTACGGACACCATTGCTCAGCAACGTTTTCTTCATGATGGTTAAACGCGAAAGCTGTGTTTTGTCCTGCGGGTTCAGCGTTCGTTGAATGTTGATGGCGAGGCTGTAACTGAATTGTCAATGTGACCTTTTCCAAGGCTGTCGGAATGTTTTAACACAACTTCGAAGTTTGTTTTCTGTTGTTTTTTAAAATTCTTATCGACTCTCTTTCATAGGCTTCTCAATAATAATCAGATCAAGAGGATACCTAGTGGAGCATTTGAAGACTTGGAAAATTTAAAATATCTGTAAGTTAATGATCAGTTCTTTAACCTAAAAGCTTATGGTATCTAGATTACTTAAAAATAGAGCTAAATTTCGTGCTGCTTATGAATTATTGTAAATATATTCATTTAAATGAGGTTTTATTTTGAGAAGGTGAGTAAACATTTAGCTGGGATTATTAAAATAGCTTGTCAGTGATATAAAGTGCTACATTATGTGATTTTTAGTGTTTCATCACTAAGCCTTAGTAAAGTGGATTGCATAAAATGAAAATGCACAGCCTCTGAAAATCGCTCTGGAAATGATGGTGATGCTTCCAGAGGGGAAAGTGATGACCCAGTGAGTTGCCGATATGAACAGCTGACGGGTGTGTTGCAGAAATCAGCTATCAAAATAGTTTCCGGTCGCCTTGCCAGCTGCAGGTGACATGTAAACTCGAAATAACTAACCCCGGTGGAGTGTCACTAATTCCTGCAGATTTTCCTGTCTCCCGCTAAGTGATTTCACCTCTTACTTTTGTGCAGTTAAATTTTATTTCACTTTTAAAAACTGATTTTAATCGATTTATTTTCATTTAACATATCTTCTGCTCGTTGAGATCAGTTTTGCAGTTTAGAAAATGAGCTTCCTGGGAAGTACTGGTTTAGTCTCAGTCACACACATACTTGCTATAAAATTGGAAAGGTGACGAAGTGTGTGTCGTGTGCTTTTAGAAGAGTATTCTTTTAAGACTTAGTCACTTTCCAAAGAGAGCTATTTTTAATAAAAATTATTTCAGCCATTTTTGTTGGAAATTTTTATCATATGTGAACCTAAACATGTTTAAGTTATTTTGATTTTTTTTTATTTTACTTTAAGTTCTGGGATACCTGTGCAGAACGTGCAGGTTTGTTACATAGGGGTACACGTGCCATGGTGCTTTGCTGCACCCATCAACCCGTCATCTAGGTTTTACACTCCACATGCATTAGGTATTTGTGCTAATGCTGTAGTTATTTTGATTTTTAAAACAAAGTCGTCTTGTTATTGTTGATGTATACTCTGAAATCTGTTTTGATTCTAGCTGTGTCTGTGACTGTTAATTACAGAGCTACCTTTAACTCTGTTTATTAAAATATATTCCCTCTGTGCGATATTTGTCAGTGTTACATACATCCTTTTTCCCTCCATCATTGTGGCATAGGATGTTAATTTTTAATTTCATATAAACATGATGAAGCCTGGTCCCACATTTCTATTTCTAAAATGAGAGGCAGGCCTTTTATTTGTTTATTTACCCTTTTTTTTTTTTTTTTTTTTTTTGGTATTTTGAATGTTGTGCAAGTTCCAGAAGAGGGCTTTTGTTTCCTGGAAAGTAGATCCAGTCAGCTGATAGCCAGCATTCCTTGTGTGTGTATATGTGTGTTTAATAGGTTTAACAGGTTTTTTAATATTTTATTTCATTTTTTGTCACTGGTTTTGAATTATTAAGAGCAACTTAGTATGCACTCAGCAAACACGTTCAAAGTGGAGTTGTTGGGGATGCTCTGTTTTCACTGATCTCTTTTCAATAACCCTCTTCCGACCTCATCTGCTGCACAGCCGGCTCTGAGCGCCCACACTCCAAACTCTTCCCTCTCTCCCTCGGTAACAAACTGCGGTGTCCCTGGTGGTGGAGGACACAGATCACTGGGGTGGAAGAAGCACAGGCCAGTGGTGAAGGGGCCGTGGGTCATGACTCAGAAACGGACTAAAGACCAGGGCAGTGGAGGGAAGCTGTCCAGAGAGGCCCGGGGACCCTTTCACCCAGCAGCTGCAGCCTCCGCTTCTCAGCTCTCATTGGTGGAGTACATTTGATAAGTGCTGATTTAGGAAACTGTGTGAGAGTTAAATGCTGTGATTTCACCTGTGTACAACCTATATGCTTAAGAGCTCTCCTGAAATTTATTCATTATTTCAGCCTTCTATATTGAGTCAGTACCAAACTATACTTGTAGAGGTTGAGTAGTTCTTATTTCTTGGAACTCCAATTACTTCTAGTAAGGCATAAGCCTTCCCTTTAGTTCACATTGCTTAATGAAATTATTTCTTGAGACAGTTAGGACTCATTCAAGGGTCAACTCTATGATGAAGTAGAAAATCACAATTTATTATTATGGTCAATACTCACCCTTTTTTTTTTTTTTTGAGGTGGAGTTTCCCTCTTGTTGCCCAGGCTAGAGTGCGGTGGTGTGATCTCGGCTTACTGCAACATCCACCTCCCAGGTTCAAAGGATTCTCCTGCCTTAGCCTCCTGAATAGCTGGGATTACAGGCGTGCACCACGATGCCTGGCTAATTTTTTGTATTTTTAATAGAGACGGAGTTTCACCATTTTGGTCAGGCTGATCTCAAACTCCTGACCTCAAGTGATCCACCCACCTTGGCCTCCCAAAGTGCTGAGATTACAGGCATGAGCCACCACGGCCAGCCAATACTCACCTATTCTCATGAAAACAAATTACGTTCCAATGTCTTTATAAACACACATTCACACATGTTAGTTTGATTCAGTTGTCCTGTGTATTCTTTAAAAAGATTCCCTTTCATTTTTTAAAATGGGTCTAAAGCGATGTTCTCATTGATACTTTGTTTTTGTTTTTCTTTTTAAATAAATGGGCACAGAAAATTACATTTAAACTTGCCTTCTGTAGAAGTATAGTAACAACTCCCATGTGAACAATGGTTAATGTGTGCAGGGGCCATATTGTAAGAGCTTTATATATATACACACACATTAATTTCAACAACTTCTGTCCATTTTAGAGAAGAGGAAACTGAGGCCCAGTCATTACGTGGAAGTTCAAGGATTCCCACGTATGCGGCCTAGAGAAGTAACAGCCTTGCCAGGCCTCTGCTGCGGGCACTGGGCTCTCGGTCGCTGGGGAGTTCTGGGTGGTTCGTGTTAAGGCTTGTAACTCTTTATGAGGTCAGCTCTGCAAATTCGCAGGGAGGGAGGACGTGAGAGCCACTTAGATGGGTTGTAAGAAATAAGGTTAGCAGGGCTGGTCCTGTTAAACTGGATCCTGCACCAGACATTATTAATTAAGTTACAATCAAACACTCGGCCCTTCTGGATATGAATTATATAATATTATAAGCATTAAGACAAAAAATGTTGGTTATTTAGTGGAACGAGTAGGTGAAACCCAGGCATAAGTAATCAATTTTGAAGAGACGTGTCTGCCTGAATTTGAAAAGTAGGAAAAGCGTGGATTTTGACTTGCCCATCTGCCTATGTCAGAGATGGAGCCCAGGGATTCTAAGAAACGGTAGTGGCAGGGCTCCCCATGTCTGGGCACAGACACAGATTCACAGCCTTCTTGGGGTCCCCCAAGCTGCTGGCCTAGAGCTGTGTTGTGAGGCAAGCTGGCTGAAGGCGAGTCATGTCCGAGATGGGTGGGCACAATGCGCATGGTTTTGTGGCTCTTTTTGGAATTGTGATACTTTGGTGTGGAAATTTTCATCCTCCATCAGGCTTGGCAAGTGTTTTCTGTGCAGGACCAGTCCTCTGTGAGCTGCGCAGTCTCTACTGGGACCACTCAGCTCGGCCACACAGCGCCAGCGCAGCCCCAGATGGTGCGGAGTGAGCGAGTGTGGGCGTGTTCCAGCAGAGCTTCATTTATGGACGCTGGCATTCCAAGTTCACATGTTAGGAAATAGGATTCTCCTATTGAGATTTTCCACCATTTTACACAAAGACAAGAGCCAGGCCAATTGTGTGGCTCTTCCAGTATGCCTCTGTTGCTTCTGTTTTCTAAGAATGGGATTCTAGGGGTGAGTTATTCAAGGTGCATTCGGTCTTCATATTGTCCACTCCCCAAATTATTTCTAGGTATTTTGGAGATGTATCAGTATCAGTTATAGAATCTTACAGCCAATGCATTATACATGCCTGTGGAAAATGGTTTTTATCTTCTTCAGGCTTTGAAGCAAATGTATTGTCAGCAATTCATTAGCCATAGTCTAAGGTCTGTGAGTTGCCTGAAAAACCCGTCGCAGTGGTTTGATCACCTTCAGTTGGCACCGGTTGCTTTTAGCCCCCTTGAGATCTGAGGGAAGGGAAGCCCTTGGGAGAGGCACTGTACTCACCGTGCAGATGGTTTGTTTGCATTCTAATACAGTCATTAATTGTAAAACTGTCTCCATGTGTCAATTTAATTCTTCTTTTCCGTCTGAAGTTTGACCTCCTGTCTGTGTGCTAATGCTCCCCAATGTTTCTTGTTTCAGCTATCTGTACAAGAATGAGATCCAGTCAATTGACAGGCAAGCATTTAAGGGACTTGCCTCTCTAGAGCAACTGTAAGTGCCCCTTCTCTTCGTGCTTTAGTTCTTGGATGCCGTCTGGCTGTTTTCCTCTTGTAGGGACCAGTGGAGTGAGCTAGCTGTTTGCATGATGCATGACTATGCTACCTGAGGTGCGGGGAGTACGTGCATGATGACGGAAAAACAGGGATGGGCGAGTCATTTGCCCTCCGCCCCGCCTTCCACCCAGCCAGCCCTCCACCCACCCCTCAGGACGTATCCCTGGTTTCCTTACGGCGGCACCAGGCCCTGGGCCATGCTTTCCTGACACCAAGGACAGTAATATCGATGGAATCCCTGTCACAACTTAGAGGAGAGACAGGCAGGCGCCCAAGTCCGATCAAGGCATCCTTCACAGGGGAAATATCCAGGGTGCCCGGGGAGGAGAGGGCTCTTTGCCTCGTTCACTGTTCCTCCTTATGACTGTGAACACATGAAGCTGAATTTCTTCAATTGTGGTGACATTATTTTGGAGAAAACCTTTCTTTCCCTTGTAGTTCTAGTTAGTGTATGCAGTGTGTCATGAAACGCTCTTAGTTTCTTTGGCCAACGTGAAGTCGTACTTTGCTGTGAAGTCAGCGTGTTGATTTTTCATTACAATGTCCTGGTAAAAAGGAGGATTTGTCCTGGTTTGTTTGCTCGGCCAGTCACCTTTCACTCGGCAAACTGAGCCCATTCCTGAGGAGCTGCAATTTGTCACGGTTTTAGGAATGTGGATGAAAGCAGCTGTTTGCTGTGACGCAGCGTGACGTCCTCCTGCCACAGCTGCTGATCCGTGGTCACGGGTCACTGGCTCACTGGACACAGCGATGTTGTCAGAGAGTTTGAGGCCAAGCGGTGCAGGGGGGAGACCACTCTGGGATTGTGCATCCTGAGGACCCACGGTGCTCATGTTTCCGAAAGTGTGTGTTGATTCAAGTGAGCGTGGACAGGGCGTGGGTAGATTTGGGAGGAGGTCTGTCTCTACAGAGAAGGACAGTGCAGCTCATTGCAGAAACACATGGACGTATCCAGGGAACACCCAGATGTAGGGAGAGCTTGCAAAGGAGCAAGTTCTCATATCCAACAAGCGTTTCACTCAGTGGGGGCGAGCAAATCTTCATAGCAAACAGTTCTTCCATCCTGAGTGGATCGGAAAATCCTCATCTGGCTTTGTGCTGGGTGAGTCCAGTGTTATTTTTAAGGAAGGAAAGGGCAAGTCAGGGGAGAAACGAGGCTGAATGAGGAAGGGCATCTGTGAATCACCAAGTAGATGTTTGCTGAAATTTTGGATGATGGGGAGGGCTTCTTGAGCTGGCCAGGCTGCCTTTAGCACCCAGGGTTAGGTGAGCTGGGGTCTCTGGTGCTGCAGCTTGGGTTCCATTCGTTAAACGCTGTACAGTGAGCCTGAGGGCAGCCCGAGCCCCGCCCTCGGGCAGGGAGCTGTTGGGGAGGGGATAAGCGAGTCCACCAGACCTCAGTGAGAGACTTGGGCAAAGGGCTGTATGTCCAGGGAGGGTGGCTTGTGCCTGACCCTGGCGAACTGCACCCCTTCCCCGGATCGGCTCTACAGCCCAGAGCTATTGAAAACATGCATTCCTGGTGACACTGGGAGACCGGAATGCAGGAATGCCCGGGAGCCCGGATGCAGTCCAGGGGGATCTGAGTGTCCCTGATCCAGAAAGAAGGCTCTTTGGGAAGCTGTGGACACAGGTCAGAAAACACACCTGGCCAGTCAGGAAACATGCGTTTGAATTCAATGATGACCTCAGTATACTTGGGGAGCCATTTCCTGTCTTTGGTCCTGTTTCCTCAATTGTTCAGGGAGGGGTGGAGGACACCCCAGGCTGCCTGGGGCCCCAGCCTCTCTAAGATCCTGTGCACCCTGGGCCGTCATTTCCCGTAGCACCTGTGCAGCAGGTGCCAAGTCCCACCCACTCAGCCGTCCCCCTGGCCAACCTGCATTGCAGTCTGGGTGGAGGGATTTTTACACCCATCGCTCTCCGTGGGGCTTGAAATACCCCCTTTCCTTCCCTCGGTCAGTACCTCCTCATCCTTCTGGGCTTTGCTTGGGGGACTCCACCCCTGCCTGCCTGCACTGAAGCCTCGCTGAGCAGCTCACAGCCACTGTGCCGTGGTGGTGCCTGGGTCTTACATCGGTCCCCAGCTGCCATGGGCTGTGAAAGGCCAAGGACCCCAGAAAACCACAGGCGCCCTGTCAGCACACTGCCTGGCAGAGACGAGGCTCCAGGGATTCTGTCGGGTTCGGCCTTCCTCGGGACCCGCGCGTCAGGTGCCCGCCCGTCATGCTCGCCCACGGCGGTTTTCCTTGTCTTCCTGCTCCAGTTTTTCCTTCCCTCACGTTTCCCATTCGTGCGCGGAGTGCTGAGCACAGACCTGTCCCGGGGCAAGGGGCAGGGATGGTCTGCGTTTGGGGGCCCTCCGGCTGCAGGTGTCCGCAGAGACTCAGTGTGGCCTGTGTGGGTGCTGCCTGGGGAGCTGGCCCCGGGACGGGGCGGGCCCTGGCAGCCGCACTCTGGTGCCCTGGTGGTGACGGTGATCTCAGGATGTCCACAGACCTGATTCTCAGGCGTGCGTTCTGAGGAGTCCTCCTTTCTGTGGAGTTATGAAGACCTGTGAACGCTGGCATGCTGCTTCTTTGCTCATTTTGGCCTCCTGAAGAAGTAGTCACTGAAAATGTGTGCTGGTTGCAGGGGACACCTGAGTGGGCAGGAGGGGTCTCCCAGCAGAGCACCCCAGGGAGAAGACTGACTTTGTGTTTGACTTAAGAGGAAAAAACCCACTTTTCAAAATGAGAAATTTCGTATTCAGGAAAAATTAGAAAGAATGAGTTATATCAAAAGGTATAAATTGTTGAAGTATGGTAAATGGAAAGAAATAGAAACACTGGGTATTCTGTACAATCAACGACACCCGAGGAAAGATGGTCTCTTATTTAATGCTTCAGGACTGATGGAGAAAGTTGTGTGACATTCTTTTTGTGTTTCCTTTGTGGTCTTGAAGGATATCTTTGTATCTGATAATATACTCTGTGTCAAAGTATATGATGATGCCCCTGCCAAATTTATACACGAGTTAAAAGATTTGAGGGAAGGTATTCACCTATTTATGTATGTGCTATCATTAAAGTTATCCTTTTGATTTTTGCTTTTTTCCATATATTTTGGAAGTGAAAATGGCCGAGTCAGGCCAGGCCAGCACTGCCCTTCTCACGCGGTGTCAAGGACCTCAGTGAGCACCTCTAGGCCTCCCTCGCCCTTATCCAGTCACTAGGGTGGACATCTGTGCCTAGTGTTCAGTTGTATTTATTGAATCATTTGATAATTTTATGTATTGTTCATACAATGTAGGAAGTCTAGTGAGTGAGCTATCTATTGATATCTGAATTTGAAATGACTAGGAAAAAAATTTGGGCAAAAATCTGGATCTAAGAAAATAAATTGTAAGTTATACTTTTTTTTCTTTTAACTCCTCTAGATACCTGCACTTTAATCAGATAGAAACTTTGGACCCAGATTCGTTCCAGCATCTCCCGAAGCTCGAGAGGCTGTGAGTTGTGTGTTGTTCCTTGCCTTTCCATTCACAGAGCCCAAGCCTCAGTCACTGGCTTGGTTAGATTAAGGTCAATATCTACCAAACACCTGAAAACTGTTTCAATATAAAATCCATATTTCTAGTCTAACAATTTGGAAATAGGACTTATAATTTTCTCTTTAATTGAGAGTGTTGATAAAACAGGAAAAAAAAACCATTTCTTTTGTTTTCAGATTCATTTGTATTAAATAAATGTAATCACTGAGATTTTTTTAAAGCTGATATATATTTGACTGCTTATATTCTTTTCTACACATTTTAAGAAATATTTTTCAAAATTGGTTTGTTATAAAATCTCTTTCAACAGATTTTTGCATAACAACCGGATTACACATTTAGTTCCAGGGACATTTAATCACTTGGAATCTATGAAGAGATTGTGAGTATAAAACCTTTTGTGTTTTCTTTGCTGCAAAGCCTTCTTTCTCTCTGTTATCTATTCACCTGGTTCTTTTTCAAGTATTGTGAAATGTTGATAACAATCTGATTCTGAAAGAATGAGAATATATGGAGGGTGGATTGAATCCATTAGAGAGCAAAATGAAAAACATGTGGCTCAGACAATGTGGCAAGTAGTTAATCCTTTGATAGGCAATTAAGACTTAAAAAAATTTTTTTTCAGATAGGGTCTTGCTCTGTTGCCCAGGCTGGAGTGCAGTGGCATGATCACAGCTCACTGCAGCCTCAACCTCCCGGGCTCAAGCAATTCTCCCAAAGAGCTGAGTAGCTGGGACTATAGGCACATGCCACCATGCCCAGCTAAGTTTTGTAATTTTGTGGGTTTTTTTTTTTGGTTTTTCTTTCTTTTTTTCTTTTTTTGTGACAGGGTTTTGCCATGTTGCCCAGGTTGGTCTTGATTTCCTAAGCTCAAGCGATCTGTCCACCTCAGCCTCCCAAAGTGCTGGGATTACAGGCATAAGCCACCATGCCCAGCCATTAAAGACGATTTAAATCGTCTTTAAATTCATCAAATTAATTTTTAATTCCAGCGCATATTTTACTGGTAGAAATAAAACCAGTGTGGAAAGAACCTCTGTGCTATATTCTGTGTCTTTCTACAGCATACTAAGGAGGCTGATCTTTACCCTTTTTTTTGAGACAGAGTTTTGTTCTTGTTGCCAGTCTAGAGTGCAATGGCTCGATTTCAGCTCACTGCAACCTCTGCCTCCCAGGTTCAAGCAATTCTCGTGCCTCAGCCTCCCTAGTAGCTGGGATTACAGGCGCGTGCGACCACGCCTGGCTAATTTTGGTATTTTTGGTAGAGACAGGGTTTCACCATGTTGGCCAGGCTGGTCTTGAACTCCTGACCTCAGGTGATCCGCCCTTCTTGGGCTCCCAAACTGCTGGGATTACAGGCGTGAGCCACCGCACCCGGCCTCCACCCATTTTTTAAGGCTTCCAAATATACTTTTTGCTTATACTGAGCTATTTCTTATAATTAAGGCATTTTAGGACTGGTGGAGAAAGTTGTGACATTCATTTTGTGTTTTCCTTCATGGTCTTGAAACCGTTAGTTTCGGTTAGATATTACTGAGTGTATTCAGTAAACTAGACCTAGAAAGAAACAGAAAATGCCAAGAGACAAGCCTAACTCCAGAGTGGTCTTATGTGATTTGTTTTATCTCTTCAGTGAAATAAAGTGGAGTAAAACATAGACCTTCAGAACTATATGTGATTTTTTTTTTCCTTTAGGATAAAAATACCACAAGCCAAACTAAAAACTACATCCTGGGTAGGAAGATGGGATGAATACTTCCATATTTGATAGATAACAGAGAGGAGAAAGAAATCACCAGATAAATGCTCTAGAAAGTAGCCAAGACAAGTTTAGGGCAGACTGGTAACAGCCTGGATTATGCTGACAGCTGCCTTCTCTCTGTTCTCAGCCTCTCTCTGGGTGTCTGGCAAGGTCCCCCTCTCCTGTTTGCTCACTTTACTAAAGTTGCTCAAACACTACAACCCCAGATTGAGATTCTGTGATAGATTTACAGAGCTGCATCAAGAGAACACGCTGTGTCCTGGCTGCTGTCTGCTCGGAGCAGTCTCTAACCTCACATCCCTGAGGGGCCCCAGGCGGAGGAGGCCACGCCAGCTGCCCCACCTCTCTAGACCTCCTGAATAGCCCTCTCTGCTTCAGAGCAGATGAAGGTTGGGGGTCCTATGCTTCCTTGGGTGCCCTGAGCAGCTCGCTCCACCAGGACCGACTGGCCAGATGCCACATACCTGACTATGACCATCTGGGTCTTGCATGTGCCTGTGGTCCTGTACTGACCTTCAGCTGTGGGCACAGGTTGGGTGCCCTGGGCACGTGGCTGACACTGTCCCCCTCACAGCCTCCTCACCTGAGAGCTGTGCACCTGCTCACGGGGGAAAGGGTGATTCTGGTCGTGAGGCCAGTTCTGTGTTCCTGTCGCCTCTGGGCTCATGTCTGGGAGAACCTCGGATGGGAGGTGTAGCCTCCCCTTCCCCTCCTGGAGCCAGCGTCGGCCCCTAGAGATGCCCTCACGCTGCCGCCCTGGTGAGCACCTCTCGGGATCCCATCCCCATCTCGGGGGTGCCCTGGGGCCACCTCATTGAGGGTTAATAGTGAGCACGTCTGTTGCAGGACTTTTCCCTAGTTCAGCGAAAGATGGGGTCCTTGTTACATGGCCACAAAAATTTAGGCTCGCAGACTATTTGAAGAGTGAGAAAAATGGGATTTATTGGGCAAAAAGGAAAAAAAAAAGGGAAATAGAGACCCTCAGCAAAGCAAGATAGTGTGTTTCCTGCCATGGGCTTCCTGCCTCACAGATTGAATTCCACCCAGGAAGAGGAGGGCCAGGCTTCTCCCCGCCGCAAATGGCACAAACCTCTGTGGGCTCCACCCCAGTGTGCACCCCTCCCAGTGCACAGGCCGGCTGGAGGGGCCTGGGGACCCCTTCCCACCTGGCTGTCTCACATCCAGCTGCCAGCCTCTTCCAACCCTTGCCCTGTAGCCTGTGTTTGCTACCTGGAACTCCTCTGTCCCCCAGACAACTTCTTCCCCGTGTGCGGAGACAACACTTTTCCCAGGGTGCAGGCACATCCTGCCCGTGTTCCCCTTGTTGGGACAGGATGTGCCACTCACTAGAAACTTTCCAGGTCAGCTTGGACCTCAGGAAACTTAGGTGTGAACCCCAGCCAGGAGATGCAGCCCCCCTTCCCACACTGCCTGGGAAGCCTCAGGCCGGAGGGAGATGATGTAGAACTGTCCTGCCCGTGATGATGGGCGTTGAGTGACAGTGGTGGTTTTGTGGCTGTGGTTTTCATGTTACTGATTTCTGTGAGTGGCTCCCACCTGGTCTCCTTCACAAACTTCCCTGACCTGTGCCGCTGGCACACTCCCTCGCCTTGAGCTCGACACCCGATGCCTGGGTGTGCACAAGCCCTATGCTACTCACGCCTCTACGGTTAGTGCCTTGAGGGGCACTGTGCACCCCTGGGCTCTTCCTGGTGATGTGTGTGTCTCGACATCACTCCCTGAGTCGGGCACCGGGGCTCAGATTCCACCACGAGACGTGTCCCATCCCCATGTCGCAAGCCTGGCAGGCCTGGCACATGTTTCCCGACGCGGGACCTGGAAGCCCTGTCTGATGGATGGATGGACAAGCCCAGCCACCCCATGTCTCACCGGCTGCATCTTCCTTCCCACAGGCGACTGGACTCAAACACACTTCACTGCGACTGTGAAATCCTGTGGTTGGCGGATTTGCTGAAAACCTACGCGGAGTCGGGGAACGCGCAGGCAGCGGCCATCTGTGAATATCCCAGACGCATCCAGGGACGCTCAGTGGCAACCATCACCCCGGAAGAGCTGAACTGTGGTGAGTGGCCCGACACGCACACACCATCCACACACTCACACCATCTACACACACACCATCCACACACACACCATCTACACACACAACATCCACACACCACACACACACATTTACACACACACCATTTATAGACACACGCGCAGACACAAACCACACACACGCACATACACGCATACACCATCCACACACACACATACCATTTACACACACACCATTTACAGACACACACGTAGACACAAACCACACACACGCACATACACACACACACCATCCACACACACACCATTTACACACACACCATTTATAGACACACACATGCAGACACAAACCACACACACGCACATACACACACACACCATCCACACACACACCATTTACACACACACCATTTACACACACCATTTATAGACACACACATGCAGATACAAACCACACACACGCACATACACGCACACACCATCCACACACACACAGCATTTATAGACACACATGCAGACACAGACCACACACATGTGCCATCCACACACACCATTTACACACACACCATTTATAGACACACACACGTGCAGACACAAACCACACACACACACACGCACATACACGCACACACCATCCACACACACCATTTACACACACACCATTTATAGACACACACACATGCAGACACAAACCACACACACGCACATACACACACACACCATTTACACACAAACCATTTATAGACACACAGACATAAACCATCCACACACACACGCACATACACACACACACCACACACGCACATACCATCTCCACCCACCATTTATAGACACACATGCAGACACAAACCACACACACGCACATACACACACACACCATTTACACACAAACCATTTATAGACACACAGACATAAACCATCCACACACACATGCACATACAATCCACACACACACCACACACGCACATGCCATCTACACACACCATTTATAGACACACACATGCAGACACAAACCACACACACGCACATACACGCACACACCACACACTCACCACACACACATGCACACACCATCCACAAACACACCATTTATAGACACACACACACACACACACACACACACACATGCATGCACATACACGGCTGTTTATTTTGGTAAGGTGAAAGGATCTCCCTGTGTGATGGTTTTGTAATACGACAAAAATACACAGTTTTTTTTTTTAAGTTTCTTCTAGCTCAGTTCTTGCTGGAGCTATGTCAGGGGCAGTTAGAACTGAGCGCCGGCCTGGTGGCTGGGGGTACTGCACCACTCAGGTTTCTAGCCTGGGGAGCAAGAGAGGCCCAGACCCCTGTGCAGCCGCCTGCCTGCGCTGCTTCCCCACCCCGGACCCAGACTCCGCCCTCAGCTCCGCAGGGCACTGGCTGTCAACAGCTCCCAGAAACGGCCCTCAGTGGAAGGAGCTGCCCCACCTGCGTCCCTGAAGGGAGGGCCCTCGGTGCTCAGGGGGGCCCAGGGACCTGTGTTGCCCAGCTTGGCAGCTCTGCTGAGCTGTGCGAGAACCTGTGAATCAGCCGAGGCCCTGTCGTTTTCGCTGATGCTCCTATGGGTGTTCATTCCAGATGGTTTTCCAAGAAACCGACTCATGGCCTTCCGTAATCACAGTGCTGAGGTTGTGCCCTTGGAGACTTTGTCATACTTTTACTCCTTACTCCAATTTGGCTGTCAGTGATTATTCTTGTTTTTTATAATAGCTTTATCGAGGCATTGTTCCCGTGCCAGACAATTCACCCCGTTCAGGTGTACAGTTAGGTGGGTTTTAGGGTGTCTGCAGGGTTGTGCAGCCTAAATAATGAAGAAAGCAGCGAAAGCTTATTTTGATTTTGTGGTGATGGGGAGCCATGGGAGGGTTTACGGAACGTTGGGATGATGTTTATATTCTAGAAGGAGCTTTCTGGCAGCCCTCGGGAGAGGGAATCGGGGAGTGTGTGAGGGAGGCAGGGAGGCCGGGTAAGGCCTGAGTGGTGAGAACCTCTGTGAAGCCAAGGGCTCTAGTGCTGCAGAGGAGAGAGAAGAGGAGGCACGGTTCCCAGAGTGACGGGAGCACAGGGAGGGCTGGGCAGAGCCGCCCCAGCCTCCTGACCCGGGCTGTGCAATGCTGGGGAGACGGAAGGAGGCAATCCTGGAGGAGCCCTTGCTGACAGCCCCAAGTTGGGTCGAGGGCCTTGGTTTTGGTTGCCGGGCAGAATGGCAGCACTGAGCAGAGCCATCTCCGCTGCACACACACACACACTCGTACCCGTGCTTGTGTCCGCCCCACTGCAGGCACTCACTTGTACACACCTGTGTGTGGTTGTGTTTTTCTTCTCGTGATGCTCACAGAATGTACATGGAGACAGATTCGCACACTGAGGTGACGAGGCAGAGATGGAAGCCTAGGCCTGCCCTTGGTGTGGTTCCCTCATGGCTGCTGAGGGGAGCCTTAGAGAAGGCCGCTCCCTGTGCGGGCCTGGAGCTCCGGAGCAGCCACCAGGGACGGGAGCCTGGGAGCCGTCAGCCCTCGAGGAAGGCCTGGGAGCCGTCAGCCCTCGGGTGGCCCTCGGATGGCCCTCGGAAGCCATGTGGAGTCACGGGCACGCAGGAGGCAGGAGAGGCCATTCTCCCCTTGCCCAGGGTGGAGGGTGAAGGGCGGGGCAGCTGTGGAGGAGGGAGGCTGGGAGTTGCTCCAGCTGTGGTGTCTGCCACCTGCCTGTGCTTTTAGAGGCTTATTCTTTCAGGGACGCTTTAGCTACAGAGTACTATTTTTTGTCTTTTCTTCAGTGAAAATAGCGACCCGTGGCGTATCCACTCCGCACAGGTGTTTGGCTTTCCCAGAGGGCCTCGAGGGGACGCCGAAGGCTGTCATTTGGGGCTGTCTGCCCAACTCTGAGCCAGCCTGTCTCTAGGGTGCTCAGAACATGGCACCCTGAGGCATAGACATCATGTAGATCCGCACCATAGACGGGGCTGTAGAGAAGCCAGTCTGGCACTTTTGTGGGGGATGTTTGTGGCTGAATTACACCTTTGGGCATCTGTGGTTTCCTTTTGGACACAGAGAACTCAGCGTGTGTTGTCATTTATTTTCATGTCATGGTTTAGACTAAAAAGGTTTCCATTTTCTGGTTGGGCACAGAAAGGCCCCGGATCACCTCCGAGCCCCAGGACGCAGATGTGACCTCGGGGAACACCGTGTACTTCACCTGCAGAGCCGAAGGCAACCCCAAGCCTGAGATCATCTGGCTGCGAAACAAGTGAGTTGGGGCCAAACAGAAATGCCCCTGTGCATCTCTCGGAGTTACACTCAGACACCCAAACCACACCTCACTCCCCACCAAGGCCCACGTCCACTTTTCCTCCTCCACGTAGGGAAAAGTACAAAGGAGAAACTATTTCTGCTCCTTTTCCGGTCTTACATGGCAGGGGGTGTGACGACGTTTCTGCCAGGCTGGGGCCCCTTCCCCACTCTCTCCTGGGCAGCACAGGGGTGCCCTGGCTGGGCAACGCGTCACTGCGGCCCTTCCCGGTGGGAGGGAGGGAGAGCATGCTGGTTGTTCTCTCCCTGCCTGCTGACGTCTGGCAGCAGCCTGTTTGCTCTGGTCACTGTTGTTGGCAGCCTTGACCTGGGGCATTGTGACCAACCTGAGTGGGTGCGGGAGGGGCCCTGACCTCTGCTGGGACGGCGTCCTCAGGAGCCTGGAGCGCCATGCAGCTGCTGACACAGGTTCGCTCAGCTCCCGTGTGGATCTAACTTGTCTCCCAAACAAAGGAAGTCTTCTCTTGTGTCCACAAACATGCTGTGGACCTGTTAAGGCTAAGACGGCCCTGGCTGCGGCTGTCAGGGTGACGGAGGGAAGTCCTACCGCTGACCATTACATGCGTCCTGGCAGCGAGCCCCACCTGTGAGCCAGGTGTGGGGAGCACCCCTGCGCTGCTGGGGTTTGTGAGCTGGGGCTGTGTTGGTTAAGGAGTGATGGAGTCTAGGGGGAAGAGATGGGAGGAGGTGAAAGGCGTGCAAGGGGGGTGGGTGGGGCAGGACCTGGGTGCAGGGGCAGAGAGGCCTAGGTGGGAATGAGGTCAGATTGCCGGAAGGCACCTGGGGCCAAATCACTGAGGGTCCTAAGTTGGAGTGGAGCACTTTCAAAGTGACCTTTTGAAAGGAATCCTTAAAAGAAAATCCTGAAGTAAAGCCACCATGTCCTACCTTCTCCCATCTGCCTGCGTGAGGACAGCTTCTGAAGGAGCTCCTCCTGCCGGCCCAGCCCCAGCACTCCTGCGCTGCTCCTCTCTGGCCATGTTTAGTCATGAGGCAGCAAGAGGGATGCGTCTGAGATGTGAGCCCTGTGATACTCGGGCTCAAACTGAGTCATTGTTTGATACTCGGGCTCAAACTGTGATGAGGCACAAACTGAGTCATTGTTCCAGACTCCAGAGGCAAACCGGGCTGGGCTTGGCTCTCGGGCAAGGTGGTGTTTATAGAAGAGATGGACAGGAGCAGGGAGCTGGCCATCCCCAGTGGTCAGGAACAGAATGGGAAGATGTGTTCATGCTGAAGAGGACATGGGAGGTTTGTTCCAGCTCTAGATTTTGTTATCCTCATGACTGAAAAGTCATATTGACCTTGGCTGCAGTGCCGGACAAGGAGCCTGTAAGGTGCAGTCACTCTCTTCACAGCTTTTGTCTTGGATGGCTCCCAAGTTGATGAGATTTAAAATCCAGAGAACACTGGAGGAATTCTGCAGTATTATGTTGTGTGCATTTAAAAGTCAGGGAAGCATAAATTTGGCCCCAGTCCATCACACCTACATTTTATATACGAAAAAATTGATGCCCGCAGTTGAAATCTCACAGCTAAATATGGCAGAGCTAGAGCCAAAGCCCTGAGGCCTGGTGACCTGTGCTGGGCTCTGCCCTCCACCAGCTCGAGTCTCACCTGCCGGCTGGCCTTACCTAACATCCAGAGTCACCTGCAGGCCACCCTCACCTGCTGGCTCGCCGTGTTTCTGGTGGGGGGGATTGGGCCACATCAGAGAGAGTCTTGTTTATGGGGCCTAAGCTGACATTGCTTCCATCCAGCAATCCCTGTGGGTAAGGACAGATTGCAAGTTGGGGGATTGGTGCCAGGCGAGGAGAGCATGAGGAAGATTTGGGAGAAGGTGGGCGTTGGTCTTTCGAGTGTTCCCGACGGTTTGGCTGCGCGCTGGCAGGTTTCTGAGGGCGGTCATGGGGAAGTGCTTTTGCACAGTGCTGGTGCTGCTCCTCCTGCATGAGCGACCCAGCTTGGTCCAGGCTGCACAGGCTCCTTAGGAAACTCGCGTGGAAGGTGATGAATCTCGTGCACTGAGGAAGTGGGTTTCTGTTTCACAGAGGTCTTGTCTGTCTTGGTGATCTGCAAGTAGGAGTTCTCTGTAGGCCCGTCTGCATTCTCAGAGGGCTCCGTGCCTGGCTGTTCTTACTCTGTCCTCACACTTGCCATAGACTGGGATCTCAGTGGCATCCAATGTCACCTCTCTCCTCTTCACCTGCTTCTGCATAAAGGGAACTAAAGTGAAGTTACAGGTGGGGTGAGGGTGAGAGGCGGCAGGACTGAGCGTTGGGGTAAAGGTTGCAGCTTTTCTTGGCTGCCCGAAGTGTGTGTGATGCAGCATGGCCCCAGGGGAGGTCCTTGCTGCCCGAGGACTGGCCAAGCCATGCAAAGGTGGGGTCACCTGTGTCCTGGCCTCTTCGTGGTGCAGTGCCACAGGTTCCTCCCAGATCCCAGAGGGAGGCCAACCAGCAGCTTGCAGGCACTGTTTGTTAAAATACAGATAGAGAGGTCTGGCGCACACCTGCAATCCCAGCACTTTCGGAGCCCGAGGCAGGAGGAGCGCTTAAGCCCAGGAAGCTGAGGCTGCAGTGAGCAATGGTTATACCGCTGCGCTCCAGCCTGGGCTGCAGAGTGAGACTCTGTCTCTAAAATAAAAAAATAAAATACACATAGATACAGCTCTGGCTTTTAGTAATGTAAAAATGTTTCTACCCTTTTTAGTTAATTCACCAGAAACGAAAGAAAATGTTTCCTTGGAATTTTTTCCGTTTTGTTCATTGCTTTCTCCTTTGGAATTAGAAACACTTTAAAACATGTAGATAGATTGAACACGTGAATACTAAGGATAAGTACCTGAGTGAATGAGATGTGCAAATACACGGTCCCCTTTTCAGAATTGCCTGTTAGGTCAGGGCTGCCAGGAAGGAGGAGACCCTGGAAGGTGAGCTGTTCCTCGCACAAGTTGTGCCTGCTGCAGGGCTGGAAACCCCTGTGCTGGGGATGGGTGAGGTACGTCTTTGTGCTTTCAACACTTGACCAGACCATATTTCTGTCTTTGTAGTAATGAGCTGAGCATGAAGACAGATTCCCGCCTAAACTTGCTGGACGATGGGACCCTGATGATCCAGAACACACAGGAGACAGACCAGGGTATCTACCAGTGCATGGCAAAGAACGTGGCCGGAGAGGTGAAGACGCAAGAGGTGACCCTCAGGTACTTCGGGTCTCCAGGTATGTGGCGGGCATTTCACACCGGGGTTCCATCCAGAATTGTCGTCCCTCACTATCTGCCTTCTCCTTTCCTTGCACCCCAAAATAAGAATGAACATTGAAGTCTGAAGTTGAAGCTCCAGTACCAGGGTTGGCTCAGAAAGCTTTCTAAGCGCAGGGTCGTAGATGATCCATGAGCGGTGCTGTGGTCCCCAGTTAGCCCCTCATCTGGGGACACACTCATAGTCCACACAGCCGGGGCAGTCCATGCTGTGAGCCCAGCCCATTGAGAGAGGGCCTTGCCACACCCTGACCCACCGACCCCACCCCCCAGGCGCCATCTGAAGGGACAGCTACTCAGCCACAGCCAGCTGTTGCCATGTGGTAACGAGGTCTCTATTTTGCTAAGGGCTTGGATTATGTAAAAGAAACCACAAATCTAGATTTTTATCCAATATTTTCATGTTTAAGATAATGGCACCTAAATTTAAAACATTTAAAAACTGTCTCAGCCGCATCAAGTCCAGCTGTGGCCTCTCATCCATCTGGGCCCCATCAGGTTGCAAACTCTGCTCTGATCCACCTGTGTTATCCATGGCCATTGCTCAGAAGAGGAGCTGGGCCCTTGAAGAACAGCGGATTGAGGCATTGGGTGTACCCACCATGGCTCTGGGAAATGATACAGATCAGTTCATGCCTCTGGACGGGTCTGCCTGTCGTCCTGTGCAGAAGCCGGTAGAGTCGGAGCCCTTACCCAGGGAGGCTGCAGGTGTAACTTCCTCTCTGAAACCTTCTGGCTGCCTTTAGCTTCAGCCACAAATCATGCCAGGGTTGCTGCTTCCCTGGTATTTTGTATTTCAGGCCATTATGGTTATAAAACCTTTTGTTTGGCAATGTAAGTGGTTTTGGTGTTTCTTGTTTAAATCCCAGCTCCTTAATTGGCCTGGTCTCTGCAGCACCTAGTACATCCCAGCATAGACACAATCAACAGTTATCAGTGACTGAGAATTCCTGGCTATCACATTTCCATTCAAAGGAAAGCCCAAGGATATAGTACTGCTGAATCAAAGCCCTTAATCAAACAACGTTCCACATGTTTAGCACAAGACATTTAGCATCTTTCCAAATTCAGAATGCTGTGGGCCTGTGCAGAGAAGTTAAGACACAGCCGCTGCTCATAGAAGGAGCATGGGCTGTATTTTTAAGGAATTAAAAAATCCACAAAATAGGGAGAAAAAGTTATGTAGTACTGTTAAGTATATGTTATAGACAAAGGAGAATAACTATGGATTATGAGTAATGAACTACTTAGGAGAGTTACTATGTTCATAGGTTGATTGATTCCTAGACAGGAATATTTAGCCAGCTCTTTATGGCTTGAGAGTTCCAAATTTCACTCCTTTTGATCTGAATTGTTGTGTCTTTCTCAGGAACAGCAGCCCTATTTAGTATACTAGTCTGAGCATGTGGGTGTAGCTCCCTCAGATACACATGAAGAGTCTCCCGCCATCCGGTGCACAGGGAGTCACTGCAGCATGGGGGAACCAGCCCTGAGAAGCCCAGAAGCCTAGGCTGACACACTGCAGCCTGCAGTCCACACCTGCCTACTGCCTGTTTTTCCTAAGGTCTATGAACTGAGAATACTTTTCTACAATTTTAAATGATCAAAACTTTTAAAAGAAGAACAATATCTTATGACCACATGACAGCTAGAGGAAATTCAGGCGTCATTGTCTATGATTAAGTTTTCTTGGAGCATGACCACACCCATTCTTCTGCACAATGTCTATGGCTGCTTGTATGCTACCATGGCAGAGTTGAGTAGTAGCAACAAAACCTGTGTGGCCTTCAAAACTTAAAACAGGACCAATCTGGCCCTTTACAGAAAAAAATGGCCAACTGCTGTCACGGACTATGGTAATAATATATAGTAATAGGAATAGAGTGACGTGTAGGTCTCTGTGAGACACAAAGGGGCATATCGCACCCAGTATCCTGAAGCTCTGTGATTAGGAGCATATAAAAAGTTTGCAATTTTTATCTTTCTGATGAATTACATTTTTGATCAGTAACACTTCTATCTCTATCAGTGCTTTTTGCTTCAAGGTAAATTTGTTGTAAGATAAATACAGCAGCTTCTACTTGATTCGTATTGGCAGGTGTGTCTTTTCCCACCATTTTTCTCCGAGCCTTTCCATGTGCATATATTTGAGATGTTTAATATAAATAACATAGAGCTAGAAATTTAAAAAAAAAATCCTAAGTTTTTCTTAAAGTTAATCCATTTAAATATGTTTATTGTAGTTAACAATATGAGATTTATAAATTCTAGCTCTTATTCTGAACTGTTTGTCCAAACTTTTCTATGTTTCTTGCTTTAGTTGGAAATAATTATTTTTCATATTTGCTCCCCACTACTTGTTTGGACACTATGTGCCCATTTCTGTTCTTTTAATGGTTAGCCTAGAAAATTTTAAATGCATTCTTAAATTGCCAAAGCCTAAAGTTAGTATAACCTTCCCCTCTAACGTGCGTTCATCCCTCTGAGTTGATGTGCTTGGTTCTGTTTTTTTTTTAAACCTATAAACATTATTATTTTGTTCTCCCAGTGTTTGTCTGGATGCATCCATGTGGTTCCCACTTCCTTTGTCCTTCCTTTGTTTATCTCAGCTCTTCTGTCGGGGATCACCTTCCTTCTGCCTGATGTGGGGGGAGTTGGGCAGCAAGTTCACGTGAGGACCGGATTTTGGTGAACAACACTTAAATGAGATTTATTTCTCTCTTCTACTGGGCACTGTTCCCTGGGTGGGGCAGGCAGGTTTTGAAGTTAGTTCTTTCTCATGCCGAGGGCACAGCACTGTGGGGATGCAGCTGCTGTTCAGTTTTCTGGTGGACTTCTCTTCATGGGCCTGTGTTGATCTGTGTCTTGTCTTCTGTATCACATGAGGCTCTTAAGGCTAAATTTAAGTTATAAGGGTCTGCAGATGCCCTCAAGGCCGACTTTGACTTTGGTGTTCGTACTTCTGTGAGTAGCTTCATGGTTTCCAGTTTGTTATTCTGATAGAAATACTAATATTAAATGTCATTTCTGTATTTTTTATAATTTATACTTAAATATTTGATTAACACAGCTTACATATTAACATATATAAAAAAGGTAGAAAGTCTTCCTCCTGGCTCTTTTCGTCATCCGCTCAACTCCTATTCCCTTCCCCTCTTCCCAAAATGCTTAGTAGTTTCTTTCCTATCTATATACAAAAAAATGTAAGCATATTTGAGGCAAGTGATTTTTCTTAGATGATATCTTAGAAATCTTTCTAGTCTTTCACTTTTAATACATGAGGTTTCTTACTCTCTTTCTTTGTATAGCTGCATAGAATTCCATGATCTAAATGCACCATAATTTATTTAACAAGTTCTCTTTTGGAGTGAGTTTAGATTTTTTTCCAAATCTTTAGCTATCACAGTTGTGTGTTATTTATTCAAAAGCCTTTGGGCCAGATGTCTTTTGATATCCAGAAACTTGGGGAAATTTTCAGAAGGGTAGCATAGTGTAAAATCCACATACCAGTTTAGACTGTCAGCAGAGCCCTGTAATCAATGTATTAATATCCTATAGCAAACTGTATGGATATTCACAGAAAGTAGCATAAAGACTATAGGTAGTCTTATGCTAGCTAGATCCAGTTTTGCAAACAAATAAGTTATGAAAAAATAATGATTTTTGGAGCTTTCTGAATTTTAGCATGGCAGATAAGGATGGTTGACCTGAAGAAACAACAGGGCAAAAGGAAAACAAACAAAAATTATTTATTTATTTATTTATTTAGACAGAGTCTCGCTGTTGCCCAGGCTGGAGTGCAGTGGTAAGATCTCAGCTCACTGCAACCTCTGACTCCCTGGTTCAAGTGATTCTCCTGCCTCAACCTGCCGAGTAGCTGGGACTACAGGTGTGCACCACCATACTGGCTAATTTTTGTATTTTTAGTAGAGGCAGGGTTTCGCCATGTTGGCCAGGCTGGTCTCGAATTCCTGACATCAGGCGATTGCCCACCTCAGCCTCTCAAAGTGCTGGGATTACAGGCATGAGCCACCACGTCTGACCCAAACAAAAATTTATTTGGACATATGACATTTTATGTGCTTGTAAAAATATCTATGGATTAAGTTTCTAGCAGAATATATATATTTTTAAATTTTACTTTAAGTTCTGGGATATATGTGCTGAATGTGCACGTATGTTACATAGGTATACATGTGCCATGGTAGTTTGCTGCCACCTATCAACCTGTCATCTAGGTTTTAAGCCCGACAGGCATTGGATATTTGTCCTAATGCTCTCTGTCCCCTTTCCCCCAACCCCCCGACAGGCCCTGGTGTTTGATGTTCCACTCCCTGTGTCCATGGGTTCTCACTGTTCAACTCCCACTTATGAATGAGAACATGCGGTGTTTGGTTTTCTGTCCCTGTGTTAGTTTGCTGAGGATGATGGTTTCCAGCTTTTTCCATGTTCCTGCAAAGGACATGAACTCATTCTTTTTTATGGCTGCATAGTATTCCATGGTGTGTATGTGCTACGTTTTCTTTATCCAGTCTATCATTGATGGGCATTTGGGTTGGTTCCAAGTCTTTGCTATTGTGAGTAGTGCTGCAATAAACATAACGTGTGCATGTGTCTTTATAGTAGTATGACTTATAATCCTTTGGGTATATACCCAATAATGGGATTGCTGGGTCAAATTATATTTCTGGTTCTAGATCCTTGAGGAATCGCCACATTGTCTTCCACAATGGTTGAACCAATTTACAATCCCAGCAACAGCGTAAAAATGTTCCTATTTCTCTGCATCCTCGCCAGCATCTGTTGTTTCCAGACTTTTTAATGATCGCCATTCTAACTGGCATGAGATGGTATCTCATTGTGGTTTTGATTTCCATTTCTCTAATGACCAGTGATGATGAGCTTTTTTTTCATATGTTTGTTGGCCACATAAATTTCTTTTGAGAAGTGTCTGTTCATATCCTTAACCCACTTTTAGATGGGGTTGTTTTTTTTTTTTGTAAATTTGTTTAAGTTCCTTGTAGATTCTGGATATTAGACCTTTGTCAGATGGAGAGATTGCAAAAATTTTCTCCCATTCTATAGGTTGCCTGTTCACTCTGACGATAGTTTCTTTTCTTGTGCAGAAGCTCTTTAGTGTAATTAGATTCCATTTGTCACTTTTGGCTTTTGTTGCAATTGCTTTTGGTGTTTTAGTCACAAAGTCTTTGCCCATGCCTGTGTCCTGAATGTTATTGCCTAGGTTTTCTTCTAGGGTTTTTATGGTTTCAGGTTTTATGTTTAAGTCTTTAATCCATCTTTGAGTTAATTTTTGTATAAGGTGTAAGGAAGGGATCCAGTTTCAGCTTTCTACATATGGCTAGCCAGTTTTCCCAGCACCATGTATTAAATAGGGAATCCTTTCCCCATTGCTTGTTTTTGTCAGGTTTGTCAAAGATCAGATGGTTGTAGATGGGTGGTGTTATTTCTGAGGGCTCTGTTCTGTTCTATTGTCTATATCTCTGTTTCGGTAGCACTATCGTGTTGTTTTGGTTCCTGTAGCCTTGTAGTATAGTTTGAAGTTAGGTAGTGTGATGCCTCCGGCTTTGTTCTTTTTGCTTAAGATTGTCTTGGCTATACGGGCTGCTTTTTGGTCCATATGAAATTTAAAGTAGTTTTTTCTAGCTCTGTGAAGAAAGTCAATGGTAGCTTGATGGGAGTAGCATTGAATCTATAAATTACTTTGGGCAGTATGGCCATTTTCACAATATTGATTCTTCCTGTCCATGAGCACGGAATGTTTTTCCATTTGTTTGTATCCTCTCTGATTTCCTTGAGCAGTGGTTTGTAGTTCTCCTTAAAGAGGTCCTTCAAGTCCTGTGTAAGTTGTATTCCTAGGTATTTTATTTTCTTTGTAGCAATCATGAATGGGAGTTCACTCATGATTTGGCTCTCTGCTTGTCTATTATTGGTATATAGGAATGCTTGTGATTTTTGCACATTGATTTTGTGCCCTGAGACTCTGCTGAAGTTGTTTATAAGCTTAAGGAGTTTTGGGGCTGAGATGTTGGAGTTTTCTAAATATGCAATCATGTCGTCTGCAAACAGAGACAATTTGACTTCCTCTCTTCCTATTTGAATACCCTCTTAGGAGGGTGTATATGTCCAGGAATTTACCGCTTTCTTCCAGATTTTCTAGTTCATTTGTGTAGAAGTGTTTGTAGTATTCTTTGATGGTAGTTTGTATTTCTTTGGGATCAGGGGTGATATCCCCTTTATCATTTTTTATCCTATTTGATTCTTCTCTCTTTCTTTATTAGTCTGGCTAGCAGTCTATCTAATCCATTTGTCAAACCGATTAACAAAATATGTATTTTGTTAATCTTTTCAAATTAATCCAGCTCCTGGATTCATTTTTGTTTGAAGGGTTTTTCGTGTCTCTGTCTCCTTCAGTTATGCTCTAATCTTAGTTATTTCTTGTCTTCTGCTGGCTTTTGTTTGGCAGGGTCATTTCTGGGCAATAGAGTGTGCACATCTTCAGTGTCAGTATGCACGGCCACGTCCCTGCAGGTGGGCTGGGCCAGGGTGTGCTCCCACTGCCAGCATGGGAGAGTTCTGTTTCCACACAAACTCACACATGAAACACATTCATAATTGTATGGACTTTTTTCTGGATTTAAATTTGAAAAATATTATTTCTTGCTTACTTTTAATTTGCATTTTTTGTGAGTAAATTTGATATTTTGTATACTCTAAATATACTTCCCTAACAATAATTTGTGCCAATAAGAACTACTAGCAAGGTCTAACAAGATTGACATAATGTATTTTATTTAGAAATAAGAAACCTCCATGGAGTTCGGCACATGTTTTAAGAAAAAGCGCTTCCTAATTAGCTCTTCCTAACCGATCATGGTTGCTCACTTTTCTCACGTGGCCTGCATTTTGTTTGACCCGAGGCTGTGAACCATTTTTATTGTCTGCACATTTCTTTAAAAAGAAAATATGCAGTTACGTTGTGTTTGTTTTGCCTATTTCGGTGGTAAATAGAATTAATAGCCTGACATAGGAAAAATCAAGCAAAAACCATGTCAAACCGGGAGAAATTAATTGAGAATTTCTGTTTAATTGTGACAGCTCGACCCACTTTTGTAATCCAGCCACAGAATACAGAGGTGCTGGTTGGGGAGAGCGTCACGCTGGAGTGCAGCGCCACAGGCCACCCCCCGCCGCGGATCTCCTGGACGAGAGGTGACCGCACACCCTTGCCAGTTGACCCGCGGGTGAACATCACGCCTTCTGGCGGGCTTTACATACAGAACGTCGTACAGGGGGACAGCGGAGAGTATGCGTGCTCTGCGACCAACAACATTGACAGCGTCCATGCCACCGCTTTCATCATCGTCCAGGGTGGGTATCCATCCTCTGTGCCAGAGCCAGGGCTCAGCCCCATCCTCACCCCTCCACTAGCTCGCGCTGCCATACCCACAGACGCTCCATAGAATCTTCTGCCCTGTCCACTTCACTCGGTTGATTTTTATCCATTACACCCCCCTTGGACTAAATACAGACGACTGCAGTTTGTAGATTTTTGGAACAGAAGGCTCTGTAGTATGGGCTCTGTGTGCTGGCTGTCGTGTCTCTGTACCTCCAGCACCTGGCCAGCAGGAGTGTCTATCAGATAAGTGAGAGAGAGAGTGTGTGTGTGTGGGTGTGCACACATGCATGCACATGTGCAGTAAGGTGGTTGATACACCTTGCAGACAGCTTTGAATCCTTCCCTAAGGTCAGTTTTGGATGTAATCTGGGAGTATTCATCGTTTTACGCCATCTGCCATGGATTTCTACATTGCTTAATTGACTGTAAAATGAGTTATTCTTGTGAAGTGGGACTTTGTTGGAAAACATTCAAACAATACGGAAGTGCAAAAGATAAATTATTAGAGATGATATTAGAGATAGAGCAATCATTTCCTTCTGCTGGCCTCTCTTCAGCCCTTTCCTGTCTCACTGGCAATCTGTCGAGAATCTGCACGCACAGCAGTGCAACTGCGTTACATGGATTTACTTTTTTTGTGGCTGTTACTTTTATAAAAATGGAATCATACCAGACAATACTATTCTGTAAGTTATGTTTTTCATCCAGTGATAATAACCACTATCATCATACACAGCTATACCAGATGGCATTTTTTAAGCATTTGCAAATATTAGTTTAGGGTGAGGATTGAGAGGAATCGTTGTAAGTCGGCCTGGTGTCCACGAGCTGCAGTGTGTCCTCATCCGTGCCCCGTGTGCATTGCAGCTGGCGGTGTGGTTGAACGGTCTTTGTGTGCTTTCCAGGGTGATGCTGAGAACACACCCATCCTTCATCTTCTTTCCGTTCTGCTCCCATCTTCTCCTGTGCCCTCTGCCTCTTTCTGACTCTTCGTTGTAGACATTGCTCCTAATGGTCAGACGTCTGCCAAGACTGTGGTCATTTTCTTGGTCGCGTTTTTACCCCAGGCTGTTTTTTACATGTCCTGTTTTGAATGCTTTCTCTCCGGAAGCTCTTCCTCAGTTCACTGTGACGCCTCAGGACAGAGTCGTTATTGAGGGCCAGACCGTGGATTTCCAGTGTGAAGCCAAGGGCAACCCGCCGCCCGTCATCGCCTGGACCAAGGGAGGTAAGACCCAGGCCGGCCCTTTGCCTGCTCCCTCCGCGGCCACAGACGCAGGAAGCACACATTTCCACTGTGCCCAGGCAACCCCAGCGTGTTCTGGACAGGGCTGAGCTGGGACTGGATTCCACAGGACCAAGGCACTGGGAAGCGCAGAGGTGTCTGCACATCCCCCGCGGCTTCCTGTCCATGCATGGCCGTCCCTCATGGACATCATGGCAGGAAACTCTGAGAAGCTCTGTCATTGCGGAAGAGACTTGGGGTTCCTGCCTTTGACTCCCTCACACCTGCCTTGTTTCAGATAGTCTCTAGGATGTGCTTTTAAGTAGCCTCTTGAAGGAATCTATTTGCATGGAGGATAGAATTTTCTGGAAACAGTCGAGGAATATATTGAAACAGACGAATAGCTTTTGCTCTGACTTTGCTTCCCAGAGCCCTCACTGTCACCTCCCCATTCGGCATCATGACCTTTCATCACATTCTTTGCCTACAGTCCTAGCCCTCTTTCTTCAATGGGAAAGTCGCTGGGCATGTTACTGCATAAAGGCACAGCCTGGATGGGGGTTGGGGTGAGGGCAGGAGCTGAAACTGCTGGAGAAGGAGCTACGCAGACCTCCTGGTTCCTGTCCTGGGATGCAAGCAGTGACCCTGAGACATCCTGGCCACTCCAGCTTGCACCAAATGGCCAGCCCATCCCTTCAGCCCTCTGAGGGGCCCCACCCAGGGCTCCTGAAAGTCTTTGGGGAGGAGGCTTGTGCCTGCATCACACGCCCTGGATTTCCCTTTTCTCAGGCAGTTATGGGCAAGAACAGGAGAGGTTTATCCCGGAAAGGAACTTGCTGGGGCCTCGCTTGGCTCTTCGTCATCTCCAGCACTCAATCCTCTCCCTGGTTCTCCCAGCTGGCCATCCACCCCGCTCTGACTCCCCGAGTCCCCATGTCCTCCTGGCCCCCTGTGTAGTGCTTTTCCCTCTGTTCTCTGCCACTGTCAACCCCTCTGTCTGAGTTACGGGTGCAGGGACGTTCAGGTGTCACCATGGTGTCTGCTGGGGAGGCAAAGATTTGCTTATGCAGGGCCAGGCCAAATTATCCGGCGCCCCGACCCAGGTGGAGACAAGCTTCTGTGGTCATGCTGTCAGTCTGAGAGCAGGAGTTCTCCATGCGTCCGAGTGTCCAGTGTAACGGGCCCATGCCCTTGCAGGGAGCCAGCTCTCCGTGGACCGGCGGCACCTGGTCCTGTCATCGGGAACACTTAGAATCTCTGGTGTTGCCCTCCACGACCAGGGCCAGTACGAATGCCAGGCTGTCAACATCATCGGCTCCCAGAAGGTCGTGGCCCACCTGACTGTGCAGCCCAGAGGTAGGTGCCAGGAGGTTGTGGACTGAATTGATTTTCTCAGATCGGTTATCAGGAAACACAGAATTCCGCAGCTGACATTAGTGTTACTCTTCGTTATAAAGCGTTGGCTGTTCTCTCTGCATTTTGTGCACCGTCATTGTGCTTGTGCCCCCAGGGTGTCTGCATAGTAGCTCATTCAATCTCTGTCCCTTTAGCGGGTGAAAACATTTGCTTATTTTTCAGTGATGGTTGTTTTGAACTTGGATAAGAGTGACTTGTTAAAGTAAAATCTATCAGGTTTTTTCCCTTGGTTAATTAAGATTATTTTAGAAAAGGGTTGTTTCTAACTGCCCTTTCTGGGGTGGTTATTTAAGTAACACAGTCTAATCAAGTCAGCTCCCAAGGCACAGACCCCAGATGATGTATCATGAGGCCAAATCCAGTTTCTTTCCCGTCTGCCCGCTCATCCTTGGACCCTGGTCTTCATCTTGTTCTTTTTGGATGTCGCCTTTGCCTGTTCTCTCCAATGAGAAGAATCCCCACAACCTCATATCCCTCCCGATAGAATCAGCGTAGCACTGATTGTGGCCTCTGCAAGAGCGAAGGCCCCTGGCCCAGCCCCCGTGTTGCAGGCGCCCTGTGCTAACTCCAGTGTTAGCATGAGTGGCCCCCAGAGCTGAGTAATCCAGGTTGCCACAGACCCTGAGCTTGTCATGGGGACCATGGGGAGTGGGGCAGAGATGTCGTGCGGGGAGGATAGGGCTGGATTTCCTTGCGTCACTTTGGGGCTGTCCTGAGACTGTGCAGACCTCTAGAAGGGGCTCCCCTCTGCCTGTTGTCAGTAGGCTGTTGATGACCGGCCCGCCGGGTTGGCTCTGTGTTTCTTGGGTTTGCCCTTGGCGTCCCTGACCTAGCAGAACGCTGGGTGCCTGTATAGAGAATGCGGGGGTGGGATTCCTGAACGGCTCCCCAGATCCCAGCACTCAGCCACGCTCCTGCTCTTTCAGAGGAGGAAGCTCCCCTCTGTTTCCTTCTCCGAGAGTCGGGCTCTCCCCAGAGCTTGTTATCCTCTGTGGGCCCTGCGGCACAGCATATGCCTGAGACTGCCCCACCATCGGTGAGGGACTGGGGGCTGGAGGACATGGCAGCCAGCCCATCCTGGACCCTGCGGCTGTCTGTCTCTGAGCAGGGAAGACACTGGCTATGCTTTGCTCTCCTTGCCCTGAGAGGCGGGGAGGCGGGCGGATCTTCCCTGGGATCTTTCAGGCTCCCCTGCCCTGTGCAGAGGCTGCTGGGAGGCAGAGAAAGGGCCCATTCTGAAACTGACTGTGAGCTCCCAGCATCCCTGAGTGGGCCTGATGGAGGGCAGGGGATTTTGTTCTTCTGAAGTTTTTTGATGTAATTGACTCGTTCTCCTGGATTCTCTACATCTGCCTTCCAGTCACCCCAGTGTTTGCCAGCATTCCCAGCGACACAACAGTGGAGGTGGGCGCCAATGTGCAGCTCCCGTGCAGCTCCCAGGGCGAGCCCGAGCCAGCCATCACCTGGAACAAGGTAGGCGGTCTGGTGCCCGAGCCAGCCACCACCCAGATACAAGGTAGACGGGCTGGCACCCACACCACCCACTACCTGGAGCAAGGTAGGCGGACCAGTGCCCACGCCCCAGCCTCCCCTCTGCTGTGGGGTATGATGGGCTGGACAGCTGCTGCCTGCCCACTTCCTCTATAGACTTTCTGTAGCAGAAAGAAAAACATTCAGATCTTAAGCCTTGAGGTAAAAATACTCAGGGCATCCTTACTAATAAGAACAAAACAAACTTGGAGCATTCCATTTTTTTGATCTTTTCAATAACAAAAGCAAAGAAAAACCCTCTTATAGAACTATGGTCTCATCATCAATAAGGAAGGGTTTTCATCGTTATTTCATTTCTTTGCTGTTTTTATTAAGCTCAGTAGGAAAATGTGGGTAGCACTCACACACCATGACCCGTGTTTCTGTGAATTCCCTCCCGGGAGCACAGGGCTGGCCACACTGGTCCCCATGGAAGGAGAGTGCTCAGCGGAGATGGTCCCATCCTCCACCTGCATCCCTGCACTGCCCTGTGAATCTCTGTGTCCTTTTCTTCCTCGCCACACACACCCCAGGCATCTGCTCTTGTTCCTGCCTCAGCTGGGAGGTCACCTGTCCCTCTGCGTCTGCCTCTGAATCCTTCTTTGCCCTCGGCGCCAGTGCCCTCTCTTTCTGAGACATTCCTAGGTCTCTTTGTAGGGCCCCCCACCATAGCGGGTGTCTAAGGGAGCCATCATTGGTGCCTCTTCTCCTCATTGTGGAAAATCATCCTTGCCTCAAGCTGTCAAGCTCTGTTCTCCCAAAGAATGAGATGTGGGAAGAGTTTATCTCGCCAGCTTGGCACTGGGAGAACTGACCACATCTCCTTCGCTTTCCAGGCCTGGATGGATCTGAGCGCAGCCTGGGAGCTTCTCCATTTGCAAATCCTAACAAATGGCTCCCCTCCCCCAACCCTAGGTCAGATAACTTCTGCTTCTTAGTCTTATTTCTAATACTGTTTTCATTCTGTTTTGCTCCAGGATGGGGTTCAGGTGACAGAAAGTGGAAAATTTCACATCAGCCCTGAAGGATTCTTGACCATCAATGACGTTGGCCCTGCAGACGCAGGTCGCTATGAGTGTGTGGCCCGGAACACCATTGGGTCGGCCTCGGTGAGCATGGTGCTCAGTGTGAATGGTAAGATGCCACATGCCCACATCTACCCACATGGTATCCACAAAGAAAGCCCGCAGGTCCCTAGTGTGGTCCCAGGCCAGTTGACTTAGGCTGTTCAGAATTATTCAGAAGACAAAGCACCCTTGATTCCCAGGTGGGGACACTCTCCTGATGCATGGCCGGGCTGCTCGACAGCCCCTCCCCTCCACACAGGCACCTGGAGGCCCTGCTGCCCATCCACGGGGCAGAGCTTTGTCCTGCAGCCTGTCCACTGGGCAATGTCTTACCCTGCAGCCCATCCACTGGGCAGAGCTTTGCTCCGGGGTCATCCACATCTGTCCAGAAATGACCAGGTGTAATTTACAGTTACAATTTGGCAAATATGGTTGCTTGAAGAGATTCTGATTCCTTAGCTGCGGTTTCTCTCTCCTCGGGCTTTGGCCAGGAATGCTCTGGAAGCATCTTTCAGTGGGAACCTCTAGGTGCTCGTAGGCAGCCTTACATAGATCCAGTCGGTGGTCCTAGAGCCGTCCTGACTCCATGCCTGCATCTGTCTGTTTGCATCCTGGTCCGCCACCACTTCCATCCCACTCACCCCGAGGCCCTTGGCATCTTGTCCGGGTTCTTGTAACAGAGGCCCGGGTCACTCTGGCCCCTCTTTCTCAACCCACAGACCCCATGATGCCCATGATGTGTCCCTGACCCTTCTCCATGTCTCCTGTGGCCACCAGGGTGACACTCACACCCTTTAGCTTTGCATGGAGTCTTCACAGTGTGACCCAAACCTGCGCCTCATCAGTGGTGTGTTCCCCACTCCTGCTCTGTCCCCCTAGAGTTAGCAACACTCTGAGAACGCGCACAAACCCCCCTTCACGGGGTAAAGGACCCTCTGGCCATCACCCCACTCCCCGCAGGCGCTGGCCTTCCCCCGGGCCTCCACTGTGACTCTATTTTTGCCTTTTCCACTCTCATTGTGACTGATCCGCCTTCTCCATGGGACTTGTTAACAGACAGGAAGAGTGACCCCCACTCAGTGCCATGAACATGGCAGACATAAATGTGAACCGTAATGGAATTCCTCAAAGACTTTTAAGAATTATTTAGGAAAAGTCTTAAGTGACCTTATTTTCCCATTATATGTAGAGTGTGAAATGTAAAGTTGATGTAAAATTAAGTGTAAAATTAAGTGTAAAATTAAGTTGATGAAACTTAAAAACCAGTAGATTATTTAAAATTAATATTTGTTTTTTGCTTGAAAAATGCTACCTTAACATGAATTAATTACATCTGAAATTTAATCGTCCACCCGTAATTCCATCCCCCAAAAATACCATCATTAATATTATGGTTGGATTCCTTTTCCTTTTATAAAAAGGTAGATAAAGAAATGCTTTTGGATTATTTTTCTGTGATCATTGCTTATAGAAATACAAATTCAACTTAAACCATTAATAAGAATGAAATGTGAGTCATAAAATTATATAAAATTGTATGTCTCATTTATCTACCTATTGGCATAAAAATATTGCATTCCAAAAATTAGTAAATTTGGGCTCTGAGATACACACCAAAAAGTAAGGTTTCTGCCTAGCTGAAATTCTTTTCAGCCATTTGAGTTGTCCATGTATACATACCTCAAATATGCAAAATAGCCAATGAGCTCACCTAATCCACATGCCTGTGATGTCTGTTAGCGGTGAAATAAATCAGGCTGGAGATGTCCATCCATAGTCCGGTGTGAGCACATGTTGTAAGAAGATGGTTCAGAAGGGCCCTCGGGTTGGCCCAGTTATCACCAATAGTCGCCGCCACTTGGTCGTTCGTTCAGCAAATGCCTTCGTGGGCTGGACTCTGTCCTCAGTGCTGAGCCAGGTGTGCCAGGCACTCGGCTCCATGGAGTTAGATCCTGGTGGAGAGATGAGTAAGAAGCAGTGAGATGAGCAGTCACGCTCAGATGGTGAGGAGTCCGTGAGGAACCGCAGGGCAAGGCATGGGCCGGAGGGGGAAGCAGAGGTGGTCAGCACTCGCCTGCGTATTGAATTCTGAGCAGAGGGAGCCGCGGGGAGATGGGGGGTGGCAGGGGCAGCCTGGTCTGGGAGAGTAGAGTGGGGGGGTCCTGGGGTCAGAATGAGCCCGATGCCGGGGGGTGGGGAGCACAGGGCTGGGGCAGTCCTGGGGGTCCTGGTGCTAACTGGGCTGCAGAGCTCGACTGTCCTTGCAGACATACCGGGACGCCATGAGGAAGTTCCCAGCAGAGGAGCACCGTGAGCCAGTCTGCTTTCCTAAGATTTGGCTTGGGCTGTGGATGAAGGGTCCAGGGCGAGGTGTCGGGGAGGATAGTGGGGGGTGCTGGGCCAAGTGGGAGAAGGAGTGCCTGCACCCGGGCCCACAGCTGGGGTCTGCGGGGCTGGTCCCTGGGCTCGTGGCCAGTAGCAGATCTGAGGGGGCCTGGCAGTAGTTGGCTTGCACTGTGGGGGGACTGCTGGGCTCTGTCAGTGTCACCCATTGAGACCCAGAGACAGCTGGGGAGGAACCGGCTTGGGGAAGAAGAGATGGAGGAGTCCTGTTTGAGCATGGAAAAGGGAAAAGCCTGGAGTGGGTGGTGAGAGCCACGAAGTGAGCTGCAGGGAGAGGTCAGGACGATGGTGTAAATTTGAAGACAACAGCGTGAAGTGGAACCACACAGGGAGATGCTGTGGAGGACCAGAACACCCAGTCACTGTGCTGGAGCTGCAGCCTCAGAGGCCGGGCGGGCAAGGCAGAATGAGCAAAAAGACACTGAGAGTGGACGCACGCAGACACTGTAACAGAGAGAGAGAGAGAGAGAGAGAGAGAGAGAGAGAGAGAGAGAGAGAGAGAGAGAGAGAGAGAGAGCCCACAGCTGAAATGGAGTGCTCAGGAGGAAGAGACAAGGAGAAAGGAAATCACAGTGAGGGGGCAAGTCCCAGTGAGGAGGGGGCAAGAGGGGGCAGGTTCCTGTCAGGAAGGGACTAGGTCTCAGTCAGGAGGGGCAGGTTTCGGTCAGGAGGGGGCACGTCCTTGTCAGGAGAGGGCGGGTCCCAATCTGGAGGGTGCAAGTGCCTGTCAGGTGGGGACAGGTTCCAGACAACAGGGGGCAGGTTCCTGTCAGGAAAGGACTAGGTCTCAGTCAGGAGGGGGCCCGTCCCTGTCAGGTGGGGGCAGGTTCTTGTCAGGAGGGGGAAGGTTTCACACAGGAGGGGCTGGTCCCTGTCAGGAGTGGGCAGGTCGCTGTCAAGAGAGGGTAGTTCCTTGTCAGTAGGGGGCAGGTCCCTGTTAGGAGGGAGCTGCTTTCAGTCAGCAGCCAGGTTTCAGGCAGGAGGGCCAGGTGTCTGTCACGAGAGGGCAGGTCCCAGTCAGGAGGGGGACGTCCTAGTCAGGAGGTGGCAGGCTTCAGTCGGGAGGCAGCAGGTCCCTGTCAGGAGAGGGTAGGTCCCTGACAGGAGGCGGCAGGTTTCAGTTAGGACAGGGCAGGTCCCCTTCAGGAGAAGACAGGTCTCAGTCAGGAGTTGGCAGGTTTCAGTCAGGTTGGGGCTGGTTTCAGTCAGGTTGGGGCTGGTTTCTGTCAGGAGGGGCAGGTCCCTGTCAGGAGGGGGCTGGTTTCAGTCAGGAGGGGGCTGTTCCCAGTCTGAAGGTGACAGGTTCCAGTCAGGGGAGAGCAAGTTTCAGTCAGGAGGGGGCAGGTCCCAGGAGGAGGTGGCAGGTTCCCCCCCAGTCAGTAGGAGGCAGGTCCCCCCCCAGTCAGGAGGGGTAAGTTGCAGTTTAAAGAGTTCGGGTCCCTGTCAGGAGGGGGCAGGTCCCAGCCAGGAGGGGCCAAGTTTCATTCAGGAGGGGCAAGGTCAGTCCCTGTCAGCAGGGGGTAGGTTTTAGTCAGGAGAGGGCAGTTCTCAGTCAGAGGGAGTAGAACCCAGTCAGGAGGGGACAGGTCTGAGGCAGGAGGGGACAGGTTTCTGTCAGGAGGGGACAGGTTCCAGTCAGGAGGGGGTAGGTCCCTGTCCGGAGAGGGCAGGTTTCAGTCAGGAGGGGGCAAGTCCCTGTCAAGAGGGTACAGGTTTCGGTCCCTGTCCAAAGGGGGCATGCTTCAGTCAGGAGAAGGCAGGTTCCTGTCAGGAGGGGACAGATCCCAGTACTGAGGGGGCAGGTCCCTGTCAGGAGGGGACAGGTTTCAGTCAGGTGGGGGCGGGTTTCTGTCAGGGGGGCAGGTCCCAGTCGGGATGGGGCAGATTTCAGTCAGGAGTGTGCAGGTGCCTGTCATGAGGGGACCAGTTTTATTCAGGAGGGGACAGGTTTCAGGCAGGAGGGGACAGGTCCCTGTCAGGAAGTGGCAGGTTTCAGTCAGGAGGGGGCAGCTTTCTGTCAGGAGAGGGCAGGTCTCTGTCAAGAGGGGGCAGGTCCCCATAGAGGGCTGTGTCCCAGCAGCCAAGTGAAAGAAGCTTTTTTGTAAGGGTGTGTTGGGCTGTGTCAGCGTCTGTCAAAAGATTGCGTATGTTGAAGAAAAATGAAATCAACTTTGGATTTATTAGGGTTCATGTCATTGGGTGAGATGGTTAGAGCTGTTTTCATCACTAAAAATAAAAGTTGGTTGGAATTAGTTTATAGTATTTGGTAAAGTATCAACTAGGGACTTACTATTAAGCAGAAAAGAATGACAAGAGGGAACTAGAAAGAGGGCAGTAACTTTAGGGGTAGATAAGGTGTGTGATTCTGTGTGTGTGTGTTTCTTTGGTTTGGTGTGTTTGTGTATGTTGTGTGTTTGTGTGGTGTTTGGGGTGTGTGTTTGTGTGTGTTGTGTGGTGTGTCTGTGTGTTTATAGTGTGATGAGTATGTGTGGTATGCTATGGTGTTGGTATGTGTAGTGTGTATCTGTGTGTATAGTGTCGTGTGTATCTATATGTTTGATGGGCTATGTGCGTGTTATTTATAAGGTGCTGGGTGTGTTGTATTTGTGTGGTGTGTATGTGTGTCTAATGTGATGTGTGTGTCGTGTGTATCTGAGTGTAGTGTGATGGATGTGTGATTTTTGTGTGTATCTGCATATATAATCTGTGTGTGTGTGGTGTGTGCGTCATGTCCTATGTGTGGCGTGTGTCTGTGTTTAATGTGCTGTGTAGGTGGCATGTGTCAGGAGGGGGTAGGTCCCTGTCTGAAGGGGGCATGTTTCAGTCAGGAGGGGGCAGGTTTCAGTCAGGAGGGGGCAGGTTTCCGTCAGGAGGGGGCAGATTCCTGTCAGGAGAAGGCAGGTTCCTGCCAGGAGGGGCAGATCCCAGTAAGGAGGGGCAGGTCCCTGTCAGGAGGGGACAGGTTTCTGTCAGGAGGGGCAGGTTGCTGTCAGGAGGGGCAGATGTGTGTGTGTGGTGTCTGTGTGTCTGTGTATAATGTGCAGTGTGTGGTGCATACCTCTGGTGTGTTTGTGCAATGTGATTTGTGTGTGTGGTGTATGTGTGTTTGTGTGTACAATGTGATGTGTGTGTATAATGTGATGTGTGTGGTGTGTGTGTGTAATGTGATTTGTGTGTGTATAATGTACTATATGTGTGGTGTGTGTGTGGTATGTATCTGTGTGTGGCGTGTGTGTGATGTGTTATGTGTGGCGTGGTGTGTCTCTATATAATGTTCTGTGTAGGTGGCGTATGTGTTTCTGTGTATATAATGTGATTGTGTGTGGTATGTGTTTCTGTGTATAATGTGACATGTGTGTATAATGTGCTGTGTGTGTGGTGCATGTGTGGTGTGGATCTGTGTGTGGCGTGCATGTAATGTGCTATGTATAGTGTGTGTGTCTGTGTATAATGTTCTATGTAGGTGGTGTGTGTGCGCCTGTGTGTATAATGTGATTGTGTGTGTGTGGTGTGTGGTGTGTGTGAGGAGGGAGTTTCCCTGTGTAATGATACAAGTCCACAGGTGAGAAGATGGGATCATGGAGGCAGCAGATCTTTAAAGAGGGGAGTGGGTTAGGATCCCGGAGTCCAGGGAGGCTGTGGCCTTTGATGAGAGGAATGGACGAGATCTGCTGGACACTGAGGTGTCTCCACAGACATCTTGTCTGCTGGGCTGGCCACACAGGGAGGCCTCAGTCCACACCTCCCACATGCTGTTGCATATAGCGTAAGATCTTCCATGCTTCACATTATAACTACTTCCTGTCTTCTTCTTAGGTATAACATGATTTCAAAAGCTAAAGTCTGTAATTTTCATGCTGTCTGAAACGGCTTCTAGTAGAATTTGTGATAAAATAATTTGAGTTTGGGTTTGAAAAATAGAAATAACATTTGGAGAAAAGTATGCCTTGTGGCTAATGATGTAGTGTCTAGACATCATTTTATGAGTAATTGTGCAGTATTTTTCCTGGTAATACGCGACTTTGTATTTTCCTAGTTCCTGACGTCAGTCGAAATGGAGATCCGTTTGTAGCTACCTCCATCGTGGAAGCGATTGCGACTGTTGACAGAGCTATAAACTCAACCCGAACACATTTGTTTGACAGGTATCGTGGGGCTGTAAACACGCTGACCCTCAAATCACTGAGCTTTAGGGTGAAGGTGGGAGTGATTAAAGAATGCATGCAGTTCTAATATATGAATTTTGATTTGATTATCTGATGATCAAAATGTTTAATTTAAAAATCATGAACAACATGGGCATCTGAGTTTTCTGGGGGTTGAAATAACAGAAGGATGTGTGCTTTTCAAATAGAATTTGGCTATGATCCACAACCAAAACATTCTTTGAAAATTTCAACTCATTCCTTTGGCTTATGACTAAATGATTTGGCAAAAACAAATAGTTTAAAAGTCATTAGTGTATTTGTTCACGTTGCTGATTCCAAAGCAGTTTTTCTGCATCTTATGTGAAATGCAATATCTGTGATTTTCTCTATTGACTTAATTAATTATTTGTTTTTAGTGTCTTCCGGTTTTTGTCTGTTTGTTTTGTTTTTGTTTTGTTGCCTCCCACTTCGGATGAGGAAGGTATAGTACATTATGTTGTAGAAAGTAGCCGTAGAAATATTAATAGCAATGATTATATTTTGGGGTACTATGAATTTTATCTTCAGTAATTTGTTTCATTCTTCCTTTCTTCCCCCTAAACTCTGGTTAGCCGTCCTCGTTCTCCAAATGATTTGCTGGCCTTGTTCCGGTATCCGAGGGATCCTTACACAGTTGAACAGGCACGGGCGGGAGAAATCTTTGAACGGACATTGCAGCTCATTCAGGAGCATGTACAGCATGGCTTGATGGTCGACCTCAACGGAACAAGTCAGTGCCAAAGCCTTTTCTTCCTCCTCCATGGCCTGAGTAACGGGGTTGAACACGCCTCAGTTAAGTCACATTCCTAGGGAAGAGTTCCAGCATTTTCTTTCCCACTGTGCTTATGAACTGTGAAATTATTTCCTTAAACTGTGATTCCTCTTGAGCCCTACAGCCCTGTCGCTCTCACTTTGGTTTAATAGGAATCTCTGGGGGACGTGAAGTCCCTTGGAGTGCTGATCAGGCTACAGCAGGTCCACCTGCCCTGAGTGGGTTATGCCATCCTGGCCAGGGTGGGTTATGCAAGCCCAGTCCCTCTGCAACAAATGAGCCATAAGGGAGGACTTGGCAGCGTGCTTGCTCCCTGAGTGACGTTGTGTCCTGGGAATGCGGTGCCACGCGTATTAGGAGGGTTGTTTTGGAAGAGTCCCGGGTCTGTGAAACCAGCTGATGAGATCACCTCGGGCTGGTGTGGAGATGCTGTTGGGGGAGGTATGTCCCCCACTCACTCTGCTCTGGCACTTTGCCGTTGCCCAGTAAATAACAGATGCCTTTACATGTCACGATTGTCCTTGCTGGTAGTAGTACTATTGATGAACCCATAGAAGACCCTGACTTTCTCATGTAAAAACATCATTTTCAGCAGCAGCTGGTTACTCATGGTTCTGTACACACACACACACACACACACACACACACACACACAGAGCACGGAGGAGAATGTAACAGTAGCTGTCCCTGTGGGATGAAAGAACTGCTTTATAATTTTTCAGTTTTCCAAATTGTTTTCATTGAGCATAACTTTTACGATTAGAGCAAAAAATGTTCTTCAATGGTTAAATGAAAGAGACGTGGAATTGAGACCTGTAGGGTGATATATGCCCGTCTTCGGAGTAGAGTGTTGCTCTGAGCCAGCCCCGTCCTGTTAGGTTTTGGAGCCCTGTTGGTGCTGAAGCCTGGGCACCAGCCAATGTGAAGCTGTATGTTCCGCAGCTCCTGCTTCCTGATCCTCTCCTGGCCTCTCGTGGCTGGGGGCGGGGGTGGGGGCAGGGCAGGAAATGTTGGAGTTGGAGACCTCTGGATGTTTCTGCTTTTCTCGATGGGTGAAACTCCAGCCTCACCTCCCAGGCACATTCTTGGGGAGAAGCATCAGAGCCCATTTTGTTATTTCAACAAGTATTTATTGGGCACTTTCTGCTTGTCAGGTGCAGGGGGAGACTAGGATGAGAGGTACCAGGCATGGGTCCCAGCCCCTTCCCAAGTCCCTGGTGCCAGTCTCCTGGTAGAAAGGCCATGTTCTCTTCTCCAGAGAATGAAGAGGGAGTTACTAAGTGTAATTTCTTGCTACTCCCTACCTTTCTTCATTTAGTTACAGGATCAGATCTTTAAACATTACTGTGGCAGCCCAGCAAGTGGGTTCTGCCGCCACCACAGAAATAAAGCCATCTGGAAATGTCTCCTCAAAGGCAGGCTGTTGGAAGCTGTTCCTTGTGAGGAATTGCATGTCCATTGTGTGTCATTACATGCCAATTATAGAAAGATTTAGACTCAGGGAAAGACAGAAAGGAAAGAGTAAAATCACCCCAACAATGTGAAATCATTTTATACATTTGCTGTTTACCCAAGCAGCAGTTAGGTGCACATGCAGGCACTCATTTCTTCACTTATTCGTTCCACCTGCCTGTCAGGGCACACCCTCTATGCCAGTCATTGTCCTGGGCCAGGGCCTACAGTCACAAACGGAAGAAATAAAAACCTCTGCCCTCAAAGATCAGACCTTCCAGAGAAATGCAGATGGAAAACCAGAGAGAGGCCCCTGCACATAAGAAGCCCCAGCGAGTGACCCAGAGAGAAACAGCAGGCGGGAGGTGGGTGGTGCCCTGGCTGGGATGGGGTGCTGTTCCCCATGGGCGAAGGTGACACGTGAGCAGGGACCCCACAAGGGCGAGGGGGCCTCCCTGGAGCATCTGAGGGGACCACACATGCAGAGTCTTGGAGGTGGGGCACGTTGGAGCATAGTGGAACAGCAGGTGGTCACTGTGGCTGGAAAGGGGGTGAGGAAGGGCTGATAAAGTTAAGGAGATTTGTGCTCCACCAGAAAGGGCCTGGGAGCGAATATAAGGATATGTCGTTGGCTGTGTATGAAATGGGAACCTTAGGGTTTCCTGCAGAGAAGCAACATGGTTTGATGCATTTTCAAGCATCGGGCTGGGTGACCACTCTGCATGGGGTGAGGACAGATGTGGGCAAACCAGTCCTGGGAAACTGGGGCCAGGGTCGGTGCCACCTGCTCTGGTTGGCGGGTCTGGTCTGCCTCTGAACCAATGGCCAACGCCACGGAAAAAGTGAACATTCTGGAGGAAAGCCCGGAGACCAGCCCCACAGCCCAGCCAGGCATTTGGGAGGAAGTGCTTTTCCTCCTGGCACTCTGCTTTCTTGGCTCTATGGATGTTCAAGATTGATAATTCTGTAGGACTTCCCAAGAGTAGCTGTGAAAATAGGGCCAGATGTTTCAGCTCACTGTTTCAGCCTCTGGGAAAAGTCAGACAGAACAGAACCAGGGGCTGAGGGGAGCCCGGGGTTCATGTTCCCTGCACAGACCTTTCCCACCCAACACACCAGGGTGTGTGTTTCTGACTTATTCTCCCCAGCCTGGAAAATGCCTCACTTCCAATTCTTTGCATTCTTATGTGGGTGTTATGGACACCGCTCCCCCACAGAAAAGGGGCTGTCTCTTGTTTTCTTTAAAGGTGTCCATAGTGATACCTGTGATCTTGACAAGCAGAAATGGGCTGGAGAAACTTTAGAAAAAAGAAGCAGTGATGGCTTGGAACTCTGTGAGTATGTGCACACGTGAAAGTGTGAGTGTGGCTCTGTAAGCATGTTTGCATGTGAGTGTGTGCATGTGTGAATGGAAAACATTTAAGCGTGCATGTGTGTGTGCGTGTGTGTAGCTTTTCGGCAGGCATGACATGTGCCTGGAAAGGAGGAGTGTTGAGGAAGGTGAAGGCCTAGGATGTATGAATATGTGGAGGAAGCACTTTGGCGAACACAGAGATCTGAGTGTGTCTGACCCCAGGACGTGGAGTAGCTGTTGCTTGGAGCAGGTGTCTTGAAGGCGAAGACTAGGATCTGAACTTAGGAAGATCTCTTTCATCTGTGGAGTGATGGCCCAGGCTACCATGTTTGGAATTTCTTCTGTAGCTAGTGGGCAAAGACAGAAGGTCTCTGAGCAAGAAGGTGACCTAGTCGGAGCCTGTGCCAGGCTCATGGGAGCGTGCGCTTGCTGTGGGGAGGGCGTGTGGATGACCTCCACCAGGCAGGAGGCCCTTCTGGAATTGAAGGCCAGTGCCATGGAAATCAGTCCCAGGATTCTGCCAGAGAAATGGAGAGGAGGGCGCGGCGGCTAGGAACATTTTGAGGTAGCGTGAAAGGAAGTGGCACTCTTTTGGACGTTGAGGGAACAGCATGAAGCCTCAGTGGACCGAGATGTGCAGTGACAGGTGTCAGGAAATGCCCTGCTCGGCAGCCTGTGGAGACCGATGGTGTGCACTCGTGTGGAGGTGTGGTGACTGTCTCTTACACGGGGCGTTTAAAGTGAGGTTGGAACAGTGTCAGCCTGGACTGGTCAACGTGGGTCGGGCTCCATCGGTTAGGGGTCTCCCAGAGGAGAGCTGCTGGTTGAAACCATGAGACTGCTAAGTGGGGAGGGGAGACAGGGCCCAGAAACTGGGGCTGTGGAGAGAATACCTGTGTTTGGGGCTGGAGGAGGGGAGGAGCAGTTTTACCAAACAGGAGGTGAGCAGGTTTCCAGCAGGAAGCGCTTGTTGCATGGCGCACAACAGGTTTCATGAGCTGGGGGTAGATAGCCCCATGTCAGCGGCAGAGGTGCCAAGGGGTACCGGGCCCTCACACATCCTCCAGGGGAATTGAGTGCGTCTTGCTTTTCTCCACGTCCCAGGTTACCACTACAACGACCTGGTGTCTCCACAGTACCTGAACCTCATCGCAAACCTGTCGGGCTGTACCGCCCACCGGCGCGTGAACAACTGCTCGGACATGTGCTTCCACCAGAAGTACCGGACGCACGACGGCACCTGTAACAACCTGCAGCACCCCATGTGGGGCGCCTCGCTGACCGCCTTCGAGCGCCTGCTGAAATCCGTGTACGAGAATGGCTTCAACACCCCTCGGGGCATCAACCCCCACCGACTGTACAACGGGCACGCCCTTCCCATGCCGCGCCTGGTGTCCACCACCCTGATCGGGACGGAGACCGTCACACCCGACGAGCAGTTCACCCACATGCTGATGCAGTGGGGCCAGTTCCTGGACCACGACCTCGACTCCACGGTGGTGGCCCTGAGCCAGGCACGCTTCTCCGACGGACAGCACTGCAGCAACGTGTGCAGCAACGACCCCCCCTGCTTCTCTGTCATGATCCCCCCCAATGACTCCCGGGCCAGGAGCGGGGCCCGCTGCATGTTCTTCGTGCGCTCCAGCCCTGTGTGCGGCAGCGGCATGACTTCGCTGCTCATGAACTCCGTGTACCCGCGGGAGCAGATCAACCAGCTCACCTCCTACATAGACGCATCCAACGTGTACGGGAGCACGGAGCATGAGGCCCGCAGCATCCGCGACCTGGCCAGCCACCGCGGCCTGCTGCGGCAGGGCATCGTGCAGCGGTCCGGGAAGCCGCTGCTCCCCTTCGCCACCGGGCCGCCCACGGAGTGCATGCGGGACGAGAACGAGAGCCCCATCCCCTGCTTCCTGGCCGGGGACCACCGCGCCAACGAGCAGCTGGGCCTGACCAGCATGCACACGCTGTGGTTCCGCGAGCACAACCGCATTGCCACGGAGCTGCTCAAGCTGAACCCGCACTGGGACGGCGACACCATCTACTATGAGACCAGGAAGATCGTGGGTGCGGAGATCCAGCACATCACCTACCAGCACTGGCTCCCGAAGATCCTGGGGGAGGTGGGCATGAGGACGCTGGGAGAGTACCACGGCTACGACCCCGGCATCAATGCTGGCATCTTCAACGCCTTCGCCACCGCGGCCTTCAGGTTTGGCCACACGCTTGTCAACCCACTGCTTTACCGGCTGGACGAGAACTTCCAGCCCATTGCACAAGATCACCTCCCCCTTCACAAAGCTTTCTTCTCTCCCTTCCGGATTGTGAATGAGGGCGGCATCGATCCGCTTCTCAGGGGGCTGTTCGGGGTGGCGGGGAAAATGCGTGTGCCCTCGCAGCTGCTGAACACGGAGCTCACGGAGCGGCTGTTCTCCATGGCACACACGGTGGCTCTGGACCTGGCGGCCATCAACATCCAGCGGGGCCGGGACCACGGGATCCCACCCTACCACGACTACAGGGTCTACTGCAATCTATCGGCGGCACACACGTTCGAGGACCTGAAAAATGAGATTAAAAACCCTGAGATCCGGGAGAAACTGAAAAGGTGAGCTGAAGAGGCTGTGTGGGATGGCTCGTGTACCTAGGCACCTGGAACACCTGAACTGTGGTGTGTGTGTTATTTGTCTCTGTGTGTGAGTTTTGTTCGTGTCGTGCAGAGGTGAGATGAAGGTCAAGTCCATGAAGGTCAAGATGGGAACCTGCAGCCTCCCGTGGCTGCGTGGTTGTGGGGAGGGGGCAGAGCCAGGGGTGGATGGACGGTGGAGGGCCCTTCCACCGGCCTGTTTTGTTCCAAGAGAGGAGCTTTGCTGAGCTGTGGCACATTTTCAGCTTAGAGATGAGCTATACTTTTCTGGCAGAGGGGTTGACTGCAGGGAAAAATACACTGTTCGCACCAGAAAACACCAAAACTGACACTGTGGCTGTTGGGCAGCTTCGGGTTCCTGCTGTTGTATCAGGGGCAGAGAGAGAGGCAGAGCTTGGTGTCTGCAGATCCGGGCCCTTGGGGCCACCAGCCCCTAAGGCTTGGCCTGTAGCATCTTCCATACTCACTGTGTTGCCCAGACCCAGGCCTGTGGGGCCACCTGCCCATGACCGCCACAGATGGCGCCGCTTCTGAGCCACAGCCTTGATCACCTGTGGGTGCGGTTCTCCTTGTTCTGCCACAAAGGCAAAATGGGACGCTGTCACCCCTGAGACAAGGGAAGCTGGCCAGGTAGATTAGGAGACCTCGGACCCTGTGGGGTGGAAAAAATGGCAAAGTTTTACAGGCAAAGCAGTGACCACAGCACTACCCAGGCCTAGGACTGGGGTAGGATCAGGGCTGCCGGGTCCATAGCCAGTCCCCTTCCCAGGACTCGGTGCCACAGTGGGGTTCTCATTAACTCAGAATTCCCCAAAGTGGAGACATTCAGCGGCTCTCCTTTTTGCTAGATATTCACATCTTTTACTCACTACCTTTTTTTTCATGTTATTTCTACCAGTTTATTTGCTTTTTGTATTTTAAGGAAATAGAAATAATTGCAGCCAGGCCCGGTGGCTCATGCCTATAATCCCAGCACTTTGGGAGGCTGAGGTGAGTGGATCACGAGGTCAGGAGTTCAAGACCAGCCTGGCCAAGATGGTGAAACTCCACCTCTACTAAAAACTACAAAAATTAGCTGGGCGTGGTGGCAGGCGCCTGTAATCCCAGCTACTCGGGAGGCTGAGCAGGAGAATTGCTTGAACCTGGGTGGCAGATATTGCAGTGAGCCGAGATCACGCTACTGCACTCCAGCCTGAGTGACAGAGACCCCATCTCAATCAAATAATAATAAATAAAAATAAAATAATTGCTCATCAGTGTTTTCCCATTGTGATTCTTCTCAGTCCTTGGATTATGAATCAGATTCACAGGTCACTGTGTATTAGGAGATGTTATTCCCATTCAAAAACATTGTTTTAAAAAGAAGAAAAACCCTTTCTTCTTAAGACTGTCTTCCTGTATTTGATGGACTCTGCAGTTGACTCCTAAGTTACTTAACGCTGAAGTTAGGACATACCCTGTTAGGATCTGACCTGTGCCTTCTAGGGGAAAGTGATTTTTTACTTGTAATTTATTGTAAGTTATGACTAAATGAACATGATGTCCTATTAAATTTAATATGTTCCAGTATTCATTTAAATAATGCGCTTAAATTACTGGCATTTGGAAGTGTGTGCGCACTCCGTTAATCCAGTGTAATTTTTTTATCATGGTTTTGCTGAATTAGGACTGATGTGAACTGTCTGTGTTTTTTATGTGCTTAAATATCCTCCTTTGTTCTTGTCCAAACTGACACAGATTACTCTCCCAGATGATTCTCTCTTTTGCCAAACTTATTTCAAAACATTTCAAAAGAGCTAGATGTGGAGCCCAGCGCCAGGTGGACCGCGGCTGTGTTGCATGCTAGGTCCCTGGTAAAGAAGTTAAGGATGTTACCCACACACTGAGCCCCTCGTCTCTTTATTTATGTTTTCCTGTCTCAGCCCATTGCTGACTAAGGGGAAATGAAACATAAACATGAGAAAAGATGCATGACCATCAGAGACCATGGGGCCAGGAGGACTTCACAGGGCAGAGGGGTTGCCTTCGGCAGACTGTAGAGATTGTGTAGTTCTCATCTACTTTGTGTTTCACGGCCGCACGGCGAGTGGATGGCGTGGCGTTGGCCTGGGCTCGCCTCTGCTGCCCATCCCCAGCCGTGGGACATTCCGGAACTGCGAGGTCTCTTCCCTGGAGGAAGCTCCTTGGATTCAGGTGGAGGCTTTAGACTCTGGTGAGCCTAAGGAATGTGACTATTCCAGCCCCTGTGAGTCCCTCCCAGCGGTGGGGGACAGAAGAGAGCAGGCACCCAGAGCAGGAGCCGCCCGGAGCAGGAGGGAGTCCTCTGGGAAAAGGTGTGGACGCTTCTGGTGGCCCTAGTGTGCTGTCCTCAGCCACAGACCAGATGCTGCCAGGGTCCTCCCGACCAAGTTTCACTCCCAGGGGACATCTTAGAGCTAGAAGTTCAACCTGAATGTCATTGAACTTAGAAGAAAAAGGGACAATTTGTCTTTGAAAGACTAAATGCTAGTTTACATAAAATTGTGTTTATTCTACGGTAAGACCAATGGCCAGTGAGGACACAGCCCTGTGTGCATCCTGTTCAGTAAGCAACAAAATCTGTCTTGATCCTAGGGTTCAGTTGGTGGTCACTGATTTGAGTTTTGTAGAAAAGGGCAGTGAGAATTATAGAATATATATATGTTAAAAATCGAGTAGAGCTTTGAATAGCAGTTGAAACAGGCATCATCTGCTGCGTAGTCGAGTTCTAAGATGAGATTAGCTGATTCGTAGTAGAAGTTGTGACATGTTGCTTATAAGCCTATATTTCTAAGGAATTGGAAGAAGTCGATGAAAATGTTTGTTCTTGAACACATAAACCTAAGTTTTTTGCCCTATCTTTGCTTAGCAGATATTTTCTTTATGGCAAATATATTTTCAATATATAGTAGAATCAAATGTTATTCTTTAAAAATGTATATACTTTTAAAAATACACATGAACAATAAACTATATACATTTAGCTATATATAGTTTATTGTTCATATGTTTATTTTAAAAAGATTGGAAGGGTATACATTATGATGTTACGTGTGGTTATCCCTGAATAGTTGGAAAAGGTGTGGCTTAAATTTTCTTCCTTATCTTTTCTTGGCTTTTCTAAATTTGTTATAATAAATGCGTTTGTGTGTGTGTGTGTCTCACATATATAATAGAAAGTAGGGAAAATCCTTTAAAGCATTGTGGAGAGATGCAGCAAAGAAGTAAATATTTTCTTTGTTAAGTAAAATTCTAAATAATGTAAAATAGTGATAGAAAGAAAGAACTGTTTTTATATTTGCTGTATTTTTTACCACGTGCAGCTTTGTTAGGTAGATTTCAGTTTTCTCTTTATTTTTTAGGTTGTATGGCTCGACACTCAACATCGACCTGTTTCCGGCGCTCGTGGTGGAGGACCTGGTGCCTGGCAGCCGGCTGGGCCCCACCCTGATGTGTCTTCTCAGCACACAGTTCAAGCGCCTGCGAGATGGGGACAGGTGAGCACGTGCACCAGAAAGGGGAGCACGCTCCTAAGCCACCTTCTTAGGGACTCCAGAGGAGAAGAGCTGTCCTGGTTGAGACTGAGGGAGGCACGAGGCCCTAGTGTCTTCTGTGTGTCCCCGGTTGAGAATGAGGAAGGCACTGAGGCCCTGGTATCTTCTGTGCACCGCCTTGGGCTTACATGTCCTTGCAGCCTCAAAACTCAACCACACCAGGTTCAATGATGCTTTTCCCACCCCTTCATTTATAGGAATATTTCTGTTCCTGTAAACCTGTTGGACAGTCCATACAGCTAAACCACTGTGGGACTTTAGAGGAGTTTGGGCTTCGGGCAAGATCTTTGTTTTATCTCTAGTCTACTGTTATTACTTTACTTTAATGTAGTGGAAAGGCAGACCCTACCTATTACAAACTATTTCAGCAGACCTGAAATAACTGCCATGCCAGTTTTGTTTTGTTTTTTTAAAGTTGCCCATCGTCTTTGTTGCTAGTCAGAAGAGCTAACACTGTCGTTCTTTTTTTTTTTTTTTTTTTTTTTTTTTGAGACAGAGTCTTGCTCTGTCACCCAGGCTGGAGTGCAGTGGCGCGATCTCGACTCACTGCAAGCTCTGCCTCCCGGGTTCACCCCATTCTCCTGCCTCATCCTCCCGAGTAGCTGGGACTACAGGTGCCCACCACCACACCCGGCTAATTTTTTGTAGTTTTAGTAGAGATGGGGTTTCACTGTGTTAGCCAGGATGGTCTCGATCTCCTGACCTCGTGATCCGCCCACCTCGGCCTCCCAAAGTGCTGGGATTACAGGCGTGAGCCACTGCACCTGGCCAACACTGTCATTTTTACACCAGATTGTCTGCCTTTGGTTTTGTTATGGGGTAGGGGATGTGAGCAGTGTGTGAGTCCATTTTTAAGTGACACCTAATCAAACCTAGTGGTTTCTGTATTGCTGTGAACTAAGCAGGGGAGATTTTAACTCAGCTCCTAGTGACCTGTGAGTCTCCTGCCCTTCTCTGATCCTGCTTTCATTTTGGGGGATCCAGGTTGTGGTATGAGAACCCTGGGGTGTTCTCCCCGGCCCAGCTGACTCAGATCAAGCAGACGTCGCTGGCCAGGATCCTATGCGACAACGCGGACAACATCACCCGGGTGCAGAGCGACGTGTTCAGGGTGGCGGAGTTCCCTCACGGCTACGGCAGCTGTGACGAGATCCCCAGGGTAGACCTCCGGGTGTGGCAGGACTGCTGTGAAGGTGCGTGCCAGGGGCACCATGTCTGTTCCTTTTTCATCCCTGGTTTTGGTGACTGCTTGGCGGGTGCTTAATGACCTGCAGATGTCATCCTAATCTTGAAAACTGAAAACAAAATATTCAGCTTTAGATTTAAATCGTGCTGTATCCATGCTGAGATGGACTGCGGAGCCAAAAATATGAACAAAGTTGGTGATTCTGAGGAATTGGCAGTGCTGTGGGAGAACATTCAGAATAACTAAAACACTAAGAGAAACAGAAACCCAGGCTTCAGCAAGATGTGCCCCTAATTTTTCCTTAAAGCCTAATGTATGTCTAGCTTCCAGTACTTGTGTAGCCAGATAAAAGACGAAAATCAAAATATGGAAGAAGCATATCAAATATATCAGGTTTTCTTAAAAGTTAATCTGAATGTTGTAAATATCTGTAACATAAGTGACTGAAGATAGATGTTATCAAATATCTCGTGAGGAGCCCTGCAGGTAGGAGGTGGTCTCATGATTGGCGCGGGGGGCCCTGTAGCTGAGGGACGCCCTGATATCAATCCCACAGCCCCGGCACTCGTGCCCTGGAGTGCCAGCTCCGTCTTCCCTGCAGAGGCGTCAGTGGCCTGCTGTGTGAGGCGATGGTTCTCCTGGCTGAGTTCCTGCTTCGCATTCCTAACTCCCAGTCTTGGTTAACCTCCATTTCCATTACTAATTTGAACATAATTTTGGCTTTATTCAAACTATGATCAGATCCCCATAAAATACCAAACTGGGGATGTTTAGAACCCAAGTTGTGGAGCACTCACTCTTGTGGTGAGAGAAGCAGGGCCCACCACAATGGGGGGATCTGGGGACCTGCGGTGAGCGTGACCGGGAGGTGGGGCCAGATCCCGGCCTCACCCGGCAATCTGTGGAGCTTGTGGTGTCTGTGGACACTTGGTAGTTTAAGAAGAGACACACAAAGTACAGACACTGTCCACATATTCTCCACCACCTCATTTTTCCTGAAGTAATAGTTCTGGCCAAGAGCTTATTTAATTTAGTAAGCGTTGAAATCTGCACTGATAATAGAGCTGTGTTTTAGCAGCTTCTTCTAAGAGAGTGCGTGCCTCTGTGTCTGTGTGCGACTGTGGGGTGTGTGTGTGGAGTGTGTGTACCTGTGGGGTGTGTGGGGGGTGTGTGTGATCTAATCCTGCATCTGCCTCCTCATCTGCACCCCCCACCACCCACACACACATGCATGGAAGTATATATGATAGGAGAATTCACATAAAAAATAAAATTATGCTTGCTAGGTACCCAATTTTCCAAATTATTTACATGCTTGTTATTACATCTGTTGGAAACTTATATCTGTTTTTTGTTTTATTGTTTTGTTTTGTTTTTGTTTTTGTTTTATATCCTCACTGGTTTATCCAATTCAAAATGCTTTTCTACAAGCATGGTAGAAAATTTGTTCTGTTTGTAGAAAATTGTTCTCTTGAAAATGATTAGGAAAAGCCAATGATACAAAAACCCATTTTCTGATAACTTTACCAGGCCCCTGTTAGCTGCTTATTAAGAAGTACAGCCAGGCTTTCTGTTCTTTTGCTAAGAAAATCCAAAGTCCTTTGAAAGACTTCATCTTTAAAGCCAGTCTTTGTTCCCCGCATGTTACAAGCCCCTCCTCCTCTCAGGGCACTGTGGGAGAGGCTTAGCTGCTGAAGCAATTGCTGACATTGTTTCTTCCGGACACTTTTCCCTCTTAAAATACCAGGCATGGCCTTAAGCTGACACAGCTTAGAGAATACTTGATAAGCTTTACCTGTTTTTATTTTACCCCAAAAGCCATATCTAAATACAGCAGAAAAATACGAAAACAGAACTCAGATTTGACAGAACCAAATGTCAATTGCTATTTACTTTTCAATTAAACTTTTTAAAAAGACACATTGGGGGCTGGGCGGTGGCACATGCCTGTAATCTCAGCACTTTGGGAGGCCGAGGCAGGTGGATCACCTGAGGTTAGGAGTTCGAGACTAGCCTGGCCAACGTGGTGAAACCCGTCTCTACAAAAATACAAAAATTAGCCGGGCGTGGTGGCGGGCACCTGTAATCCCAGCTACATGGGAGGCTGAGGCAGGAGAATTGCTTGAACCCAAGAGGCAGAGGTTGCAGTGAGCTGAGATCGTGCCATTGTACCCCAGCCTGGGCAACAAGAGTGAAACTGTCTCAAAAAAATAAAAAAATAAAAAGACACATTTAAAGCGAACGTCCTTGAGCTACAACTTTTCATCATTTGCTTCGTTGATGCCTACAACAAGTGCTGTGTGGGGTCTGCACTAGGTCTGGGAAGCCAGCCTGCTCCTGGCTTGGCCAGCCTGGGCAGCACAGAGCAGGTGCAGGCCAGGCCGCTGAGCAGGTGTGGCCCAGCCGTGCCCTGGGGTGTGAGGAAGAGACGGCCATCCTGGAGGGACGGAGGTCCCATCAAAGAGTTCTGGGGTTGGGGCTGGTGTGCGCTTTGGCAGGGACCCCACAGTGCCTGGGACCGTGTCCTGGCCCTGCTGCTTCCCTGTCGCCCTGTAATTCTACCAGGGACCCACCCCAGACCTGCACAGCCCTGGGTGGACCCCACCTGCCAGTGAGGCTCATTCTTGACCCCAGGTGTTGCTGGGAGGGGCTGCGGTAGTCTGGGAGGCAGCTGCTGTTTTATGATGTATTTGTGTGCCCAGGAGTTTTAAGAAACTCTGCTCTTCTCTGCTCCTGAGACGATTTGTGGGTGGAAGAAGCGAGGGGTCCAGCCAGCTGGGTTTACTCAGAAGCTGTATAGTTAACTGCGGAAATAAACACATTCAGTGGGACTGTTTGTGGGCTCCGCTGTGGGGGCAGAGGGAGCTTTAGGTCTCTGTCTTGAAGATACTCTTTCCAGCCAGTCAGACAAATGCTAGACCAGAAGGAGCCGGCCGCCCTTCAAGGGAGACAGGAAAGCTAGCATGGGGTCTGAGGTGTATGCTGCACGTGCCTCTTCTCTTCTCATAGAATTTCTACTCCAGTGGCTTCCTGAGACATTAGCATTTTGCAAAGGTCCATATTTGCCCTTCACTTTCGTGCTCTGCCACAGCTTTCTTGGGTGGGGATGATGTACAAGACAGACTGAACACCCCATTACTTCGTTAGATAGTGTGTCCACAGGGCCCAGGTGGGACACGGCACTGAGGGCCCCTCACTCACCCGGGGACCAGGAGGGACACGGCACTGAGGGCCCCTCACTCACCCGGGGACCAGGAGGGACACGGCACTGAGGGCCCCTCACTCACCCGGGGACCAGGAGGGACACGGCACTGAGGGCCCCTCACTCACCCGGGGACCAGGAGGGACACGGCACTGAGGGCCCCTCACTCACCCGGGGCTCAGGTGAGGCATAGCACTGAGGGCTTCTCAGTCCACCACAGGTTGAGAAGGAAGCCACTCCTAGGCAGGGAGGTGTTTGGGCTACATTCAGGAGAAGCAGGGTCAGGCCGCCTCTTGTCTGACACTGGGGCTGGCAGTGTGACGTAGGGAGTGTAGCATAATTTTAAGGCACTCCAGAGTGCAGATTGTCATCTGGCCATCGGGGAGGGACCCCCAGAAACAGCAGACTCTGATCTCCGAGGCAGAGTGCCTGAGCCTCCATCTGTGGGTGGAGGGAACTCCGCGAGGGTGTGGTTAGATGGCGTGGTGAGCCTCCTCAGTGTGCCCAGCTGTCCTCAGGGCGGCCAGCACCAGGAGGTCATGAGGGCTGGGGCACAGGTGGAGAGAGGCTTGGCCCCTCAGACCAGGAGAGGGTAAGAGCCGCAGACCAGCTGCCAGGTTGCCTCACTGAAATGTGCCACAGTTTGTTCCACGGGCAGCCAGTGAAGACTTCATAGTTGGCAGGATGTGCTTAATTTCCCCGAGGTCAGAGCCTTCAGAGCTGACATTCTGCTTTGTGCTTCCATTTTAGACTGTAGGACCAGGGGGCAGTTCAATGCCTTTTCCTATCATTTCCGAGGCAGACGGTCTCTTGAGTTCAGCTACCAGGAGGACAAGCCGACCAAGAAAACAAGACCACGGAAAATACCCAGGTATGGTGGTCTCTGAGGTCAAATGATGTGCAGAGGGGCCCTCGCACCGCGGGCGTCGGGCAGTAGGACCGGCATCCTGCTGTGGGCCTGTGGCGAGGATGGTTCCTGGCAGGGACGTCCCAGGGCACTGGGGGCCAGGCCGCAGCCTGCGTCCTGCTGTGCTGCCCACTCAGAGCATCAGGGGCGGTGCACACCCAGGAAACCTTGAAATGAGACCCAGCTCAGAGCATCAGGGGCGGTGCACACCCAGGAAACCTTGAAATGAGACCCGGCGTGACCTGCCAAGGTTATATTTCCCTCCTCCTCCTTTCCCCTCACCACAGTGTTGGGAGACAGGGGGAACATCTCAGCAACAGCACCTCAGCCTTCAGCACACGCTCAGATGCATCTGGGACAAATGACTTCAGAGAGTTTGTTCTGGAAATGCAGAAGACCATCACAGACCTCAGAACACAGGTGAGGTGCCTGGCGGCCTGTGTCCCCCCACTCCAAGATTCCACAGCAGCACAGCCCTGCCCGAACCTTCTGGGTATAGCATTTTATTCCCAGGCAACTGTTCAACTGCCCACACAGGACCCAGACCCTGGAGCCTTGGGGGTGTCATTTCTGCACGCTGGGTCAGGCCGGGCCATGTGCCACTGGTGTCCCTGGGTTTCCCAGCAGATGGGGGTCACCAGGCAGGGGCAATCTGTGTCACGGCCGTGTGACTGCCAGCCAGGTGACCTTGCTGGAGGGAACACAGGATTAGGATGCTGTAGGAGAGTTCAGACATGAAGTCCTGTTCTTAAGCCTCTTATTCAGGAATAACTCTGAATCATCTCTCCCAGGGCGTGGTAAGGAGGCACTTCCAGGTCAGCCCTCCACAACTGATCCAGCCTCTCCGGGTGTGAGGAAAGTCCTGGTGTCTGTGGTACGACCACAGGGATTTTCAGACGGGGCTCTTCTCTGGCGCTCTGTGGAAATGAGTTCTGTCCTCTCCTTCCTATCCCAGGAACTTACTTCTGCTTTCTTCAGTGCCTGTGGTGGGGGTTATCTCTGGGATTTTACGTAAGGGGGTGGAGATTGAGACCTATGGCTAAATAGAAGGAAGTGCGCTCACTCCGCTGGTGTGGATGGGATTCCCAAGGTGCGCAGGTCCTGGCTGTCTGCAGCACATTTAATCTGTAAGCACAGCTCCTTTCCTACTCACAGGACTCTTAGCCCTTAGGTTTGGGAGAAACTTCCATCATCTCCTAGTGTAGCCCCAAGGTAACCCCCAGCCACAGGGAGAGGTACCCTGACTACTCCTGTGCCTGCCCCCTCATCCCGTGCAGCTGCAGGTCCTCCTGCCTCTGCAGCCTTGAGACCAGGTGCAAGTCCCCAGGCAGCTGTCAGAGTGGACGACATGTGGCAGGTCCTCCTGCCTCCGCAACCTAGAGACCAGGTGCAAGTCCCCAGGCAGCTGTCAGAGTGGACAGCATGCCGCAGGTCTTCCTCCCTCCGCAGCCTAGAGACCAGGTGTACATCCCCCAGGCAGCTGTCAGAGTGGACAGCGTGTGGCAGGTCCTCCTCCCTCCACAGCCTAGAGACCAGGTGTACATCCCCCAGGCAGCTGTCAGAGTGGACAGCGTGTGGCAGGTCCTCCTGCCTCCACAACCTAGAGACCAGGTGCAAGTCCCCAGGCAGCTGTCAGAGTGGACAGCGTGCGGCAGGTCTTCCTCCTTCTGCAGCCTAGAGACTAGGTGTACATCGCCTGGCAGCTGTCAGAGTGGACAGCGTGCAGCAGGTCTTCCTCCCTCCGCAGCCTAGAGACCAGGTGCACATCCCCCAGCAGCTGTCAGAGTGGACAGCGTGTGGCAGGTCTTCCTCCTTCTGCAGCCTAGAGACTAGGTGTACATCGCCTGGCAGCTGTCAGAGTGGACAGCGTGTGGCAGGTCTTCCTCCCTCCGCAGCCTAGAGACCAGGTGCACATCCCCCGGCAGCTGCCCAAGTGGACAGCATGCAGTGTTCACTCAGCTCCACCTGGCACTAGGAGAGAAGCAGAGACAAACCCAGGCTGACCCTTGGGGTCCGTGCTGGGGCCTGGGTGCCCTAGGGGGGTCCACTGGGGAGGGGGGTCTGTGAACCCCAAGGTCATTCAGGGCAGGCCTTGTGCACAGGTGACCCTGGACAGCATAGCAGAGGCAGAGGGGGACCAGCCACCCCACCTGTGTCGGCAAATACCAACGCCCTATGCCCTCCCATGTTGCTGATTCTGTCCACAATGCTGGACTTCCTTCCACCCTCAGGATGAACGGGCAGCTCCCTGGGTGGCAGCGCTGGGTCTGAGAAATGTGGATGTTCCTTGTGATTTTGCAGCTGCTGACAGCACAGGGTGTGTGCCGTCTGTGGTCATTTCCCTGCACCCCATGTGTGCAGAGGTGTTCGTGTATCTTGGTGACTGCAGAGGCACACACAGGCCGGCGTGGTCACTGCTTCTCTCTGGCTGTGAATTAAAGCAGGTCAGCCGCAGACACAGAGGTGACATGCAGGTCACCTGGAACCTCTGCAGACCGTCCTGGCTGCCACCCCTAAGTGCTCTCTGGCCCCTGTGCCACTGTTCCTGAGGCTTCCTTTTTTTTTTTTTTTCCCCCATGGTTTCAGCTAGAAAGTTCTAAGCTTTGATAACTTAAGTGCCAGTTGCTAATGAATGAGGCATGCAGGAAAGATGGCTTTCATTTAGAAGCCGTATCTGAGGCATTTCCCAAAGTGAGTAACTGTTTGGCTAGTTAGGTCCTAGATGTCCAGCTGTCATTATGAAATGCAGATGGTACGGTGAGGGGACGTCCACCTTTTTCAGCATGATGTGTGCATAGGTGAGACACTGCTGCTGCACAGGTTGGGGACCACACACTTATGGCTGACAGGAGATCAAAGAAGATGTTTTAATTGACATGAGTAAGTGGGTGGCTTGCTGAAGTTATTCACAGCCATCATCAGACAGCCTTACCTGTGGCTGAGCATGCTTTATGAAGGCTTATTAGAAGAATTGGGATATTTATGATAAATAATTTGTGTTCATTTCAGACATCACAGACAGTTTAGGTTCAAATGCAAGGGACGGAAAACTCCAAATCCAGGATGGTTTTAATGAGGTGCGAGTTTACTTTTCCCTCAGTCGTGGAGATTGCTGGACCCTCCGCAGTGCAGGGTCCCTGCTGCAGCTTGGTGCTGTACTGTGGGTGGCCTCTTCCCAAGGTCACCTCATGGCCCAGGCATTTCCGGCCACTGTCACCCTGTCTGCCCCCCGGCCCTGCAAGATGCAAGAGAGGGTTTGAGGAAGGAGACCCTTCCAGGAGGCTTCTGCTACCCCTGTGCATGGCACAGCGGTTGGAAAGGTCACCTTGTTATGGGGCCCCGTGCTTCCAGAGAAAAGCCAGTGGTGTTGTTACTCGGAAAATAAGGCAGACTTGACTCTGGGGATTCTGAGTGATCATCGTTCGTTCTGGTGGAAGTGTAGGTGCAGGACGTTCTCGTCATCTGGTTGAATCTTGCTCCCACAGTCCTCTGAGAACGTCGCCTTTGTGACTACGGTTTTTATTTGACAGCACGGTGGTGGGAATGTCTTCCATTGGGGCGTGTGGTCAGCTGCCGCCAGTCTAATAAGGACATTGGAGATTCTGTAAAAGTTCTTCAGAAATATTCCCCTCAAATGTTGTTTATTTTAAGGCATTATTTTCAGTGAAATAACATCTTTTAATACAAGAGCCAAGCTGTTACTCTGAAGTGCCCAATGAATGAATGTTCTTTGCATTGCTGCAGATAAAGAAACTTGAATCACGGCTCAGTACCACAGAGTGCGTGGATGCCGGGGGCGAATCTCACGCCAACAACACCAAGTGGAAAAAAGATGCATGCACCATTTGTGAATGCAAAGTGAGTATGGGGGGCTCTATCTTCATGTCCTAAGGTATACGCAAGTCCGAGAGTCCCATGTGACCACTCAGGTGGGTGGCCCAGATGTCAGGGCCAGGCCCCTCCCCGCCTACCTGTGCTGGCCTCCATCCCTCCTTCACTCCTATGGAAGCACCAGGCAAGCCCAGCTCTCTGTGCACAGAGGACGTGCTAGGAGGCCCAGAACCTCAGCATGGTCCAACCCCACAGAGGGCGGGCAGCCCCTACTCTGTGCAGGGCCACCTGGGGCTGCTTGTGTGCACTGGCTTCACCTCCCACCAGCTGTGGCAGGAATACTCATGCCATGGAAACCCATGAATGGGGTAGATCAGCTCCTCCCTGCAGAGCTGGTGGGTAAACACTGACCTGCCCACCACTGGCCCTGTCCCATCTCCAGTCAGAGCTGGGGGTGTTACAGAGGTCACTGGAGTCCCTGCAAAGGGAGACTGGTGGCAGGTGGAGGGTGCCCTGGTGCCGGCAATGGACAGACGTCTGGCTGGAACCAGGCTCCGTGGAAAGCTTGGGGCATAGTGTGAGGAGGCAGGATGGGGAGGACAGCGCGCCAGCCCGGGCACTTCTCTTGCCATGGCCATTGGGAGAGGACGCGCATCAGTGTCCCTGAGCTGGTCAGGTTTGGGAAGGGCAGACCGGGGAAGAGCAAAGCCCTGTCCCTTCCCCCCTCTCTCTAGTCCCATCCTGCTTCCTGACAACGCCCACCCCCAGACACAGTCCGAGGGGATCCAGGTGTGAGGTGGGAGGATGTGTCCAGCTGGTGGTCTTGGCCCCTCAGGGTGAGAGGACCGTGGGCATGGACGGAAGGGTGGGACGGGAGCCTCAGGGAGACTTGTTATGGGGGCTCCCATTAACTCATACCTGTCTGCAACTATGAAATCCTAAGAGAACCACAAAATCCATGCCCACAGGGCAAGTACAGCGGGCAAGGCAGGGGCCTCAGGGCAAGGCCTGACTCATGGCCGTGGCTGACACCTGTCCCGGAGCTGACAGGCTTTGCTCACCTGAAGGCCATCCCAGAGCTGACAGGCTGTGCTCCGTCTCTCTTCTCCAGGACGGGCAGGTCACCTGCTTCGTGGAAGCTTGCCCCCCTGCCACCTGTGCTGTCCCCGTGAACATCCCAGGGGCCTGCTGTCCAGTCTGCTTACAGAAGAGGGCGGAGGAAAAGCCCTAGGCTCCTGGGAGGCTCCTCAGAGTTTGTCTGCTGTGCCATCGTGAGATCGGGTGGCCGATGGCAGGGAGCTGCGGACTGCAGACCAGGAAACACCCAGAACTCGTGACATTTCATGACAACGTCCAGCTGGTGCTGTTACAGAAGGCAGTGCAGGAGGCTTCCAACCAGAGCATCTGCGGAGAAGGAGGCACAGCAGGTGCCTGAAGGGAAGCAGGCAGGAGTCCTAGCTTCACGTTAGACTTCTCAGGTTTTTATTTAATTCTTTTAAAATGAAAAATTGGTGCTACTATTAAATTGCACAGTTGAATCATTTAGGCGCCTAAATTGATTTTGCCTCCCAACACCATTTCTTTTTAAATAAAGCAGGATACCTCTATATGTCAGCCTTGCCTTGTTCAGATGCCAGGAGCCGGCAGACCTGTCACCCGCAGGTGGGGTGAGTCTTGGAGCTGCCAGAGGGGCTCACCGAAATCGGGGTTCCATCACAAGCTATGTTTAAAAAGAAAATTGGTGTTTGGCAAACGGAACAGAACCTTTGATGAGAGCGTTCACAGGGACACTGTCTGGGGGTGCAGTGCAAGCCCCCGGCCTCTTCCCTGGGAACCTCTGAACTCCTCCTTCCTCTGGGCTCTCTGTAACATTTCACCACACGTCAGCATCTAATCCCAAGACAAACATTCCCGCTGCTCGAAGCAGCTGTATAGCCTGTGACTCTCCGTGTGTCAGCTCCTTCCACACCTGATTAGAACATTCATAAGCCACATTTAGAAACAGGTTTGCTTTCAGCTGTCACTTGCACACATACTGCCTAGTTGTGAACCAAATGTGAAAAAACCTCCTTCATCCCATTGTGTATCTGATACCTGCCGAGGGCCAAGGGTGTGTGTTGACAACGCCGCTCCCAGCCGGCCCTGGTTGCGTCCACGTCCTGAACAAGAGCCGCTTCCGGATGGCTCTTCCCAAGGGAGGAGGAGCTCAAGTGTCGGGAACTGTCTAACTTCAGGTTGTGTGAGTGCGTTAAAAAAAAAAAAAAAAAAGAATCCCTATACCTCATTTGTATTTTTAAAATGCGTGATGTTTTATGAAATTGTGTCCATTTTTTAGGTATTAGATATGGCAGAAAAACCATTTCCACTATGCAAAGTTCTTTTAGACGTCAGTGAAAATCAACTCTCATACCTCATGGTCTCTCTTTAATTGACCAAAACCTTCCATTTTTCTCTAAATACAAAGCGATCTGTGTTCTGAGCAACCTTTCCCCGAACACACAGCTTCAGTGCAGCACGCTGACCTGAGTATCCACCATGTGCCAGGCACAGTGCTGGGCACACGAGGCACCAAGGTCCGGGCCACCTGCCCGCAGCAAGGCCCAGCTGAGGTGGTGGAGGGAGCCCCTGAGGTCAGGGGCCGTTTCGGTTCAGGGTGGCAGGTGTCCAGCACTGGGGTATGGCGTCGAGGCTTCCATGGGGTGGGGGAGGCCAGCTTCCTTCTGACAGGATGGGCGCATACAGTGCCTGGTGTGATTTGTGCACAACCCGTGTTCCAGGTGCACATCCTCCCAAGGAGACACCCAGACCCTTCCAGCACGGGCCGGCCAAGTTGCTGCGGCGGAGGCAGCATTTCAGCTGTGAGGAAGGTCATTGGATTCATGTGTTTTATCTGTAAAAATGGTTGTCTTAACTTCTTAACCTCATATTGGTAAGTGATTGATAAAAATTGGTTGGTGTTTCATGACATGTGGACTTCTTTTGAAATAGCAAGTCAAATGTAGTGACCAAATTGTGGAAGAGATTTCTGTCAAATAGGAAATGTGTAAGTTCGTCTAAAAGCTGATGGTTATGTAAGTTGCTCAGGCACTCAGATGACAGCAGATTCTGGGTTCTGGGAGTGTTCTGTGCCTCTTACATGCCCTGGAGGCCTCATGGTCTCAGTGCTGAGGCGGCACACCTGTAGCACACCTGCGTAATGTGCGGTCTGGGCCAGTCACAAGGAATTGTGTTGTCTAAGCCAAAGGGGGAAGCTGACTGTGATTTACCAAAAAAAATTCTGTAATTCAAACCAAAATGTCTGCGGAATCACCAGTTTGATACTCTCTGTAATCAGAACAGTGGGCAGTGCCTGGGTGAACGTGTCTAGCAGCCACTGTGCGGGATCGCTGTAACAGGAGTGGAATGTACATATTTATTTACTTTTCTAACTGCTCCAACAGCCAAATGCCTTTTTTATGACCATTGTATTCAGTTCATTACCAAAGAAATGTTTGCACTTTGTAATGATGCCTTTCAGTTCAAATAAATGGGTCACATTTTCAAATGGAGAATGGCTTTATTTTTTTTTACCTGAAACCAGTACATGAGGCTAAAACTTTTCCAGGTGAGATCAAAAGCCTGAGAAGGGAAGGAGGTAGGTCCAGGAAGAAGCCCCAGAACTGTCCTAGTCACTAATCATTTTGTGACTAAATGTGAAAAAATTACTAAAAATAAGGTATTAGATAAAGTTGACTTCCTTTTCCGAAGCAGCTGGGATGCTTTAACCCGACTGAATTTTGGCAGGTGGGAGTGAGCTCTTGGGAAAAACCTCTGGCAAATAAATGCCCTTGTCTCCTGGAATCTTTGTGCTGTGGAGAAGGACATTTCTTTGTCAGAGAGGAGTGTACAAGCAATTCACACACCGAGGTGTCTGAGATGGGCAGATGCTTTTCCAGAAGCAAGAGCGCAGGTCAGGAGGGCACAGTGCACGGAAGACAGACACTCCCTTTCCAGGCCTGAGCTATGTGTGGCTCTGGGGCCAGAAGTCGGGGATGACATGTGACAATTGCTGAGCCCCTCAGGCTGTGGTTGGGTGGGAGAGAGGATGCTGCTCTAAAGGAAACTGGAATGGATCTGAGGGCATCTTTATAGGGCCTGGAAAAAATACTACTCATCTATGTAAGGAGAAAAATGAAATATTAACGAAAATTAAATATTATGTTGTTAAAATTGCCAAATCATTTCAAAATTAGAATGATAAATTGAGCTGCTTTCATGGAATGTTTATGAACATGGGATGAACACTCCTCAATCAACAAAAGACAAATTAGGTGCTTTTCTGTCACGAGGGAATGAGTGCCATATACCAATTTTAATTTAAATGAAATGCCTAATGCAAAACTAGCAAAAGTTAACCATATGTATCTTGTTTTAATAATATGTAGAATGCATTGAAACATTCCTATTGCTTTTTGTTATTAACACTTAATACCTGTTTCTGGTGTGCAAAATTATATGTCAAATGACATAAATACAGGCATACCTGGGAGATATTGTGGCTTCAGTTCCAGACCACCGCAATCAGTGACTATCTCAATAAAGCAAGTCATACAATTTTTTTGGTTTCCCGGTGCGAATAAAAGCTGTGTTCACATTACACTATGGTCTATTACATGCACAAAAGCATTATGTCTAAAAAATGTACATACCTTAATTTAAAAATACTTTATGGCTAAAAATAGTGAACGATCATCTGAGCCTTCAGTGAGCTGTAATCTCTTTGCTGGTGGAGGGTCTTGTGTTGGTGTTAATGGCTGCTGACTGATTAGGGTGGTGGTTGTTGAAAGTTGGGGTGGCTGTGTCAATTTTGGAAAGTAAGACAAAATGAAGCTTAGCGCATTGGTTTAGCCTTACTTTCATGAAAGATTTATTTGTAGTAAGGGATGTTGTTTGATAGCATCTTACCCACAGAATTACTTATTTCAACATTGGAGTCAGTCCTCTCAAACCCTGCTGCTGCTTTATCACATAAACTTATGGAATATTCTAAATCCTATGTTGTCATTTCAACAGTGTTCACAATATCTTCACCAGGAGTAGAGTCCATCTCAAGAAACCACTCGCTTTGCTTATCCCCAAGAAGCAACTCCTCATCCATTCAAGATTGATCATGAGATTGCAGCAATTCAGTCCCATCTTCAGACTCCACTTCTAATTCTCTTGCTATTTCCACCACATCTGCAGTTACTGCCTCCACTGAAGTCTTAAACCCCTCAGCGTTATCCATGAGGGCAGGAATCAACTTTTTTAACAGGCACTTCTGTTAGTGTGTATATTTTGACCTGCTCCCATGGATCATAAATGTTTTAATAGCATCTAGAGTGGTGAATTCTTTCCAGAAGGTTTTCAGTTTACTTTGCCCCAATCCATTAGAAGAGTCACTGTCTATGGCAGCTACAGCCTAATGAAATGATTTCTTACTTGAAAGTCAAAATTATAACTTGATCCATGGGCTGCAGAATGGATGTTGTGTAAACATTCATCTCTTTGTACATCCCCATTAGAGCTCTTGCATGACCAAGTGCATTGTCAATGAGCAATAATATTTTGAAGATAATTGATTTTTTCTGAGCAGTAGTTCTCAAGAGTGGGCTTAAAATATTCAGTAAATTGTGCCATAAACATATGTGCTGTCATCCAGGCTTTGTTCCATTTATAAAGCATGGGCAGAGTTGATTTAGCATAATTCTTAAAGGTCTGAAGATTCTCAGAAGTAAATGAACATTGACTTCAACTTAAGGTCACCAGCTGCACCAGCCATGGCAAGAGAGTCACCCTGTCCTCTGAAGCTTTGAAGCCAGGCATTGACTTCTCCTCTCCAGCTATGAAAGTCCGGAATGCTTCTTCTTCCAATAGAAGGCTGTTTTGTCCACATGGAAAATCTGTTGTTTCATGTAGTCATCTTCATCAGTGATCTCAGAGCTTCTGGAGAACTTGCTGCAGCTTCTCCATCAGCACTTGCTGCTTCTCCTTGCACTTTCATGCTGTGGAGACGGCTTCTTTCCTTAAACCTCAGAATCAACCTCTGCTAGCTTCAGAGTCTATTTCTGCAGCTTCCTCACCACTCTCAGCTTTCACAGAATTGAATGGAATTAGGGCCTTACTCTGTGTTAGGCTTTGGCTTAAGGGAATGTTGTATCTGACTTACCTTGTATCCAGACCATTCAAACTTTCTCCATATCAGCCATAAGGCTGTCTCACTTATTATTTGTGTTTCATCATTAGTGTGTTCACTGGGGTAGCACTTTTAATTCCCTTCAAGAACTTTTTCTTGGCATTCACGACTTGGTTGTTTGGCACAAGAGACCTGGCTTTTGGCCAATTTCAGCTTTCGACATGCCTTCCTCACTAAGCTGAATCATGTTTAGCTTTTGATTTCAAGTGAGAGACATGTGACTCTTCCTTTCACTTGAACACTTAGGGTCATTGTAGGATTATTAATTGGTCTAATTTCAACATTATTGTGTCTCAAGGAATAGGGAAGTCTGAAGAGAGGGAGAATAACCCATTCGGGGCCCAAAGCAATTAATAGTAACATCAAAGATCATTGATCACAGATCACCGTAACAGATATCATGAAAAAGTTTGAAATATTGCAAGAATTACCAAAATGTGCCAGAGACACAAAGTAAGCACGTTACTACAAAAATGGCCCCATTGGATTTGCTCCACACAGGGTTGCCACAAACCTTTAATTTGTAAAAAAACAAAACAAAACAAAACAAAAAAAACCTGTATCTGTGGGCCGGGAATGGTGGCTCACGCCTGTAATCACAGCACTTTGGGAGGCCAAGGTGGGCGGATCACCAGAGGTCAGGAGTACGAGACCAGCCTGGCCAACGTGATGAAACCTCGTCTCTACTAAAAATACAAAAAATTACCCAGGTGTGGTGGCGGGTGCCTGTAGTCCCAGCTACTCCGGAGGATGAGGCAGGAGAATCGCTTGAACCCGGGGAGGCAGAGGTTGCAGTGAGCTGAGATTGCGCCACTGCACTCCAGCCTGGGCAACAAGAGCGAGACTCCAACTCAAAAAAAAAAAAAGAAAAAATGCAGTATCTGTGAAGTGCAATAAATCAAAGCATAAAATGAGTTGTGCCTGTGGTTTTTTGTTTGTCAAAGCATTCACCAAAAGATTCTTCCATGCGTTTAGTGAACTTCCCAAATGTTTTCTGACAAAAGTTTCCGGAAGGCATCTGATTGGCATCCACTGAGTTTCATGCAACAGTTTTTCTGGTGAAACCAATTTATCACCACCCACAATTCTAGTCATGACACTCTAGAATCTCGGAGATGGAATAGATGAGTGAGCAAAGTGTATTTGCAAAAGAGTCATCTATTCCTAAGCTATCACATGCTTTAAGTTTATCCAAGTCCCCACCATGTGACCAGTTGGGAGCCTCAGCTTGAACGGATTTAAGATTATCCTGTAATTACAGATGAGGAAAAATGGTCCTAGAAGGCTGGCCACATTGCACCAGGCCACCAAACAATATGAGAGCTCATCCAACATCAGCCCAGCCCCATGCGCTGTTGCACACAGTTGTGAGCATTGCACCTGCCCGATACCCCAGCCTGCCTGTATCCACCCCGGTTTGCACACCACTGTGAGGAAGCACGCCCCATCATGGCTCCTTAGCTCAGTCCTGCTGAGGGGTTGCCATTCCCAAGTTGTCCTTAATGTCCTAGTGGCTATAACAAAGGCACCAAACAGCCACTACAGTTTTGCTTTTCATGTATTCAGTGTTAAGCCTTTGTGCTTAAAGTCTTCCATTTTAGGTTTACTTTCATTTATATTTATGGTAACAAATATGCTCACATCCCAAACCTGGGGATATTGACAGTCAGTTAGCATGTTTGAATCTGGAAGATTCCTGAAACTCCAGTAATGACTGTTTTTAATGTTTGTGGGATTTGTTAAAAATAACTCGGTCTGTGTTCACCATCACAGTATCTGGGGTTTCTTTGTTCCAACTGTGGGGACTCCAGAGGGCGGAAGCCAAGGTTGAAAGCCTAACATCTCCATTGTCCTTCCCATTATGTCGTGAACGTGTCCCTAACTTAACAAAGTGATCCTTTTTCCATCATAACTCTGGATGTCACCCTTATGGTCTAGTACAATACCGCCAAGAAACCACAGTTTTCAGGAATCACTTTGCGGTTACTGGTTTGGTGCTGCGGAGGACGGAAGGAAACACTGTGTACTCCTTTATCAGTTGCAATGACTGTTCAGACATGGACAGTAAATTGGTGTGGCTTTTCTATTACCGTGGTTTGGGGAAGAGAAGGAATAGAAATCTTCAGATTTTCATTATTATTATTTTTTTCTGACCTTGAGCATAATCTTAAGTTATAGGAAAAATTTTATCTTCAATGTGTTTTATCAAAAACATACCTCCTTAATGATTATTAACCCACAATTAAAAGCCGTAAGTGGACCATCCTGGCTAACACGGTGAAACCCTGTCTCTACTAAATATACAAAAAAATTAGCCGGGCATGGTGGCGGGCACCTGTAGTCCCAGCTACTCGGGAGGCTGAGGCAGGAGAATGGCATGAACCCAGGAGGTGGAGCTTGCAGTGAGCCAAGATCGTGCCACTGCACTCCAGCCTGGGTGACAGAGAGAGACTCCATCTCAAAAAAAAAAAAAAAAAAAAGCCCTAAGTTAAGTACTCTATGATGTTATCGTCACATGCTTTTAAAATTGTCTGCATCCTTCCCAGCATGCAAACTGCTTTTCTTGTTGTTTTGTCCTCAAGAAGCAAACTCATCAGGACATAGGATTGGAGCCTGGCTGAGTGACTAGTATGCACCTGTTTATAGAGGAAGTTCCTGGAAAACATTCATGTTTGTATTATTTAAAAATTACTGCACCAGAAATTAACTCAGAGAATGACCACTGGTCATCATTTCTTATGATTCAGGGTGTGTAGGGGAAGGGAGCAGGATGTTTGATGCCGTGTTGTGGCCGCACACTCTGTGGAGACTCGGGACCCTGAGCTTGCCGGGAAGGCTCTGGGCTGGGCTGTGTCCGGCGGCCTCTCTCTAACTCCTCGGTGCCCTGCCTCCCATGCCCTGCAGTCAGGAACTGCTGGACCCAAGACTCGAACCCACTGCCTCTGACCTTGAGTCGGGTACTCTCTTCATTTTACCAAATGTAGAGCAACAACGTGTACATTGAATTAAAACTTTGATATCCGAAACACGGATAGAATTGCAGAGTTCATTGGAAGCTTCGCATCCGAAAGACAAAATCGTGTAATTTTAGGAACCTGAGTGCTTGTAATAAAACGACTGCAATTTATTAGCTCTGTGGCCTTTACCAACTCACGTGACCTTTCCAAATCTTTTTTTTTCTTTGTAAACCAGAGACAATTACGCCGTCCACCTTGTGAGTCTGCTGTACAGATGACCTGAGATGTTCCTATCAAAGTGCTTAGCTCAGGCTAGGAGCTGAATTCTCCTTTCCCGGTCATTTGAGCACAGCCTTGCCCCTAGAGCCCTCAGGCTCAGAGACCCTCCCCCACATCCCATAATTACTTTTAGAAAAACACAGAGACTCACTCATGCTTTCGGGCAGCAGGGAAAAGAGAAGATTCTGGACCTCTTCCCTGACTTCCTACACTGCCTGAAGGTAAAGGCAACGAAGTTATGATGAGAAGCAGCTGAAGTTATGATGAGAAGCAGCTGAAGTTATGATGAGAAGCAGCCGCATCAGACCCAGAACATCTGGCAATTAGAGGCCAGTGGCTAATAGCTCAAGCCTTGCAGAGGCCAGGAATGTGGTTACAAAAGACGGTGCACCTGGGCCCAGCGGGAGCCTTCCAGAAACTGCCGCACAGCCCTCCCCAGCACCCTCCTTCCTGAGTGACTGAGTTCCCCCAGGCATTCCAAACACACCTTTCCTGTCTTTGTGTTTGCTCAGCCTGTCTTCTCCTCCCCTCATCCTTGTTGCTTGAAATATCTCCGTAGCTCCCCATTGCCCACAGCCGGATCCACGGTGACTAATCTCCGGGAAGGCGTCCAGCGTGAGCCGTGAGGCCTGCACCTGCGCCGGACTTCACCACTCACCAGGAGTCTCTGCCCGCCGCCCCCAGCGCGGTTCTCTTCCCTGCTAGACGTAAAGTCCTGGGGACAAGCACAGCCCAGGTGAGCTTTGCTCCACCATCCTTACCTTAACTCGAAATCATGGCTGATTCTGTCCCCGTCCTACTTCGGTAGTGGGGCTCCATGACTTTTTTTTTCTTTTCTTTTCTTTTTTTGAGATGGAGTCTCTCTGTCACCCAGGCTGGAGTGCAGTGGTGGCGCGATCTCTGCTCACTGCAAGCTCCGCCTCCCAGGTTCAAGCGACTTCCTGCCTCAGCCTCCTGAGTAGCTGGGATTACAGGTGCCCACCACCACACCCGGCTAATTTTTGTATTTTTAGTAGAGACGGGGTTTCATCATTTGGACCAGGCTGGTCTCGAACTCCTGACCTCAGGTGATCCGCCTGCCTCGGCCTCCCACCGTGAGCCACCGTGCCCGGCTCCGTGACTTTTTAAGAGGTGAAGATCTTTGCTTATAGCCTGATGGTCACAGAGTCTTTGTATTTTTTGCAAATAGTACACCTGAAGCCGTGAGATTTGGGTGAGCTCCATTCCCGTTAATTGCTATTTGAGCTCAGACAAATTATGTAACTTATTTGAGACTCAATTTTCAGCTATAAAATTGTCAACCTAATAAGAATTTTTTGGCCAGGTGCGGTGGCTCATGCCTGTAATCCCAGCACTTTGGGAGGCCTAGGTTGGAGGATCGCCTGAGCTTGGGAGTATGAGACCAGCCTGGGTAATAAGGTGAAACCCCATCTCTACCAAAAATACAAAAAAAAAAAAAAAATTAACCAGGCGTGGTGGCTTGTGCCTGTAGCCCCAGCTACTCTGGAGGCTGAGGTGGGAGAATTGCTTGAACCCACAAGGAGGAGGTTGTGACAGAGGGAGACTCCGTCTCAAAACAAAAAGAAAAAAAAAGAAAACAGTATATTTTATTTGAACAAAATAAATGTCAGTAAAAAGAAAAAAAATAAAAAGGTTACAGCCGTCTGACCTGCCGGGGGCGGCAGCGGCTTGTTGGGCAGAGTCGCCATGTTGTGCACCCAGATCCCGGCAGGGTCAACCCCTTCCCTGCCAAGAAAGAGCAAGTCCCACCCTCTCAGGGGTCCGAGGGCCACGGCTGTGTCATCTGTGAAGGTAACTGGGGAAAACGGCTCTTCTGGATGCTCCAGAATTGTTTGTCTTATGGACCCTGTGGATAAATACCTCCCTGGTCTCGTGTGTGGAGGTAGCTAGAGCTTTGCCTGGGGCATCGTCGTGCTGTCAGCATGAGTGGGCACTAGAGTAACCTCAGCTCGGTGGTGGAGACTGTAAGCAAGTCCAGATTAGCAATGATCATTCATCTTGCCATCTCTTCCTTCACTTGTTCATTCAGCTACCGGGAGCCCGGCTCTGTGCTCCTAGCTCTGTGACCGAGGTAGATATAAAATAGGCAGAGACTCCATGCAGGTTAGATACAGACTGGCTGGAGACTGTGTACAGTCAATACAGACCAAATATAGGCTAAATATAGGCTATGTATAGACTACATATGGACTATAGACTAGATGGAGACTGGGTATAGCTATACAGGCTTGCAGCCTATATAGCTTAGCTATAGACCAGGTGTAGTTTGGATATTGATTAGATACATACAGATTAGATGTAGACTGCATGTATTAATAGATGAAATATAGAGAAGATATTGACTTGATGAAGACTGGATATAGATGGAAATACACTAGATATGGCCTAGATATAGACTAGATGTAGAGTACATATTGACTAGATACATTAGACTAGACGGACTGAATCTACATGAGATACTGACTAGATATAGACTGGATATAGACTAGATATAGATTAGACTAGATGTAGAGTGGATATTGACTAGATACTTATAGACTAGACGTAGACTGGATGTAGATGAGATATTGACCAGATATAGACTGCGTATAGACTAGACAGCCTAGACGTGGACTAGGTAGAGACTGTGCTGGGTTCTGCTCTATTAAGGAGCATGGAGAAAGAGAAGATGGACGAGTGACGTGTTGGGCTGTGTGATGAATGTGTCAAGGAGAGCACGGGACCACCCAGGAGCACACAACAGGGGCTCCTTGTTCCTCATGGAAGTGAAGAAAACCTCTTGGCAGTGAGGAGCCCTGGAACAGGGCTGGGGCAGCCATTGGAGGGGACAGTGACATCGTGTCCCAGGTGGAAGGGCCTCAGGGCTCCAGGGGAGTCTCCACAGCTAAGCAGGGTCCAATAGCCTCAAAGAAGGTGACCATTTTTTTCTGAGTGGCCTGGGGAAGCCCCTGGCAGGGCTGAAGAGGGGGCGCATCTGAATGGAGCACTCAACAGGCAGCCTTTGTCACATCAAGGTTGGGGTTCCCCTAGAGCTGCAGGGGAAGAGGGCACCGTCCTTTCCACTCCCTGATGTGGAGGAGGAGTCCAAGAGGAGTTCTGGGGCAAGCAGTGTGTCCTGTGAGCATAAAGGTGTCAGATGAAACGCCAGCAGGAGACAGGAGAGAAGGGGACTCCGCAGGCAAGGGAGAGCTGCGGGTCAGCTACAGGGGAGTTGGTCTCAAGGCCACTGATAGGAATGGCAGCAGCTCCACTAGCCCAGACTTCACTGTGATGAATCCCCCTCCTCCAGACCCATGACCTCCATTGGCCGGAAAACTCTCACCGTAAATATACAAACATACTACGGCTGCCACGTGGATCCAGCTCCCAAAGCTGCACGACATGCAACCTGCCCAGTTGCAAGTCATCATATGGGGGCCTAAACTTTGTGCATTAGCCTTGCTTCTGTGGGGCGTTTGTGCATTTGGCATCATCCACACCCACCCAACCCCTGGTTAGGGCGTGCCTTGCTGGTACACTGGGGCTTCTGCCACCTCCCTCCCTGGCTCACTATGTCCCGAGATCCCAGAGCAGCCTCATTCACTGACCTGAGATGCCTGAAGTAGTGCCAGCATTATATTGTTCCTCTGAGGGAGACGACACAGTCAGCCATTGCATTGTTCCTCTGAGGGAGACGACACAGTCAGCCATTGCATTTTTCCTCTCAGGGAGATGATACAGTCAGCCATTGCATTGTTCCTCTGAGAGAGACACAGCCAGCCATTGCATTGTTCCTTTCAGGGAGACGGCACAGTCAGCCATTGCATTGTTCCTCTGAGGCAGATGGCACAGTCAGCCATTGCATTGTTCCTCTGAGGGAGATGACACAGTCAGCCATTGCATTGTTCCTCTGAGGGAGATGACACAGTCAGCCATTGCATTGTTCCTCTGAGGGAGATGATACAGTCATTTGGTCAAAGCCATTGCATGTGTTTGTTTTCTTAGGGCACTTTCTGGAGAGAAGATTTCGATGGGGAAAGATAAGAGAGCATTTGGATATCTACGCACTGTCAACAGAAATGAGGCTTCAGGCCAAGGCTTCTAAAATGCAGGATTCCCAAAGTGGCAGTCACATAAGACGGGTCCCTCCATCGCCTTCTAGAATATTGAGAAGATCATCACGCCTGGGACTGGCTCACAGCACTGATCTTTTTCTTGTTAGCAGAGACTCCAGGAAGCAGATGAGCAGACCTATGGGCCTGCTATGTGCACCGCGGCCCACACTGCCGCCTGCCTGGGATCCTGCATCACCCGAGTCTTCCTGCGGACCACCCTGGGTGGTGCACATGCGGTCATCATTGTGCAAAGGAAGCTTTAGTTCTATAATGAAAGCCCCTTTAGTAAGTGATGCTCCTTGAAGACTCGGTCAGCGTCTCGTTCACCTCTTTATCCCCAGACTTAGCACAATTCCAGCCCCAAATCGGCAACGGACCTTTGACCAAGTGACATGTCAGTGCTTCAGGGAGCTTCACTGATCAGGACAGAAGTGAGTGACTGGAGGAAGGTGACCCGGATGTCTGTAACCCCCAGAAAGGGTGAGATGGCTGTTTTATCAGCCAGCATTGCCGAGTTGGTGGTGTGACGACATCCTGTCTGACTGCTGGGCCTTACCGGTGTGTTCTCTGCTGGAGCCGTGACAGTTTGAGTTGAGGACATTTTACATCAATCACTGAACTGCACGAAAGATGGAAATCCAGCAAGGGACCCCGTCGGACCTGATTGACCGCAGAGCTACCTTTTGCTCTTTCTGGATGCCACACGGCCTCCTCCTCCCACCTGTCCTTGGAGCTTGTGTTGGTCCACTTTCATGCTGCTGATAAAGCCATACCTGAGACTGGGTAATTTATAAAGAAAAAGAGGTTGAATGGACTCACAGTTCCACGTGGCTGGGGAGGCCTCACAATCACGGCGGAAGTTGAAAGGCACGTCTTACATGGCGGCAGGCAAGAGAGAATGAGAGCCAAGCAAAGGGGGTTTCCCCTTATAGAACCATCAGATCAGCTGGGCGCAGTGGCTCACTCCTGTAATCCCAGCACTTTGGGATGCTGAGGTGGGAGGATCACAAGGTCAGGAGTTTGAGACCAGCCTGACCAATATGGTGAAACCCCATCTCTACTAAAAATACAAAAATTATCTGGGCATGGTGGTGGGCACCTGTAGTCCCAGCTACTCGGGAGGCTGAGGCAGGAGAATCGCTTGAACCTGGGAGGCGGAGGTTGCAGTGAGCTGAGATTGTGCCACTGCACTCTAGCCTGGGCAACAAAGCGAGACGCTGTCTCAAAAAAACAAAAACAAAAACAAAAAAAACCATCAGATCTCATGAGACTTATTCACTACCATGAGAACAGTATGGGGGAAACCACCCTCATGATTCAATTATCTCTTGCTGGGTCCCTCCCTCAACACATGGGAATTACGGGAGCTACAATTCAAGATGAGATTTGGGTGGGGACACAGCCAAACCGTATCAGAGCTGTGCTCCCAAGCACCCAAGGACTGCCGAGTTCTCAGGCTGGCAGCTCCAGCTGATGGCACGTCACTGGGGGGTGAGGGGTTGAGGACCTGAGCTGCCCCCAGGCTCTGCAATGGAAAGCATCAGGCTGGACTTGGACATTCTGGGTGGGAAGTGTCTGGAACCTGGACGCTGGCTTGGAGAGGAGCCTCAGGAGGAATCGCCAGGATTCTCAGCTGTCGAGAATGTCACCCGCTGCTGTACTCCCAACAGCAAGGGAGGCACCTGGCACGTCGTGAGCAACTCTCGTGTATTTGTTGCATGATCTAGTCCAAGAATGGCCAATGAGTTTCACCTGCCAGTTTTCACAGGCCTGTGTGCCGAGAGTGTTCCTTACCATTTTTTCATTATTATTCTGCTAAGGAGGATTTTTAGACATTATGTTCCTAGTCAAGCCCTCACCTCTGCAATGAAATTATAATACCACTGTTGACCCAAAGATGAGCAGCAAGCGCTAGAACTGAGGGAAATCATGGTGAGATTTATTCTGAGCCAAGCTGGAGGACTTAGGCCCAGGAACACAGAATCTGTGTCCACTGAGAATGTATCTCAAAGCAGGCTCCATGAGGCACCGTGCACTTACATTTTCTAACAGGCGGACGTATGTGGCCCAGAAGGTGGGAGAGGCAAGCGGTGAGCAGCCGTGACGTTCCTGAGATTCTGATGAGCGCTCGGTGGCACTGCCCACATGATAAGGTAAGTATGCAGCTGAGTGGGTGCTGGAGGGAGACTGGTTCCCTCCTGTATGCGGTTGAGTGGGGGCTGGAGGGAGACTGGTTCCCTCCTGTATGCGGCTGAGTGGGGGCTGGAGGGAGACTGGTTCCCTCCTGTATGTGGCTGAGTGGGGGCTGGAGGGAGACTGGTTCCCTCCTGTATGTGGCTGAGTGGGGGCTGGAGGGAGACTGGTTCCCTCCTGTATGCGGCTGAGCGGGGGCTGGAGGGAGACTGGTTCCCTCCTGTATGCGGCTGAGCGGGGGCTGGAGGGAGACTGGTTCCCTCCTGTATGCGGCTGAGCGGGTGCTGGAGGGAGACTGGTTCCCTCCTGTATGCGGTTGAGTGGGGGCTGGAGGGAGACTGGTTCCCTCCTGTATGCGGCTGAGTGGGTGCTGGAGGGAGACTGGTTCCCTCCTGTATGCGGTTGAGTGGGGGCTGGAGGGAGACTGGTTCCCTCCTGTCTTTATTCTGCAGGTTTATGATAAACAGGTTTATGACCAGTACCTGCCAGTGAAATATTTAACAAACCCCAGTTACATGGGCAAGAGGCCAGTTTTAGGTTAGAGGCCTTGGTTTTATTAGCTGTGGGTCCCAATGCAGCCATTAGAGGCTACTATCAAGATCTTCTTTTCAATGTTCCTTTTCTGACCCCACACAGGAACTATAAACCTGTTCATGTGTTGACCCTCCCAAGAATCACAAATATTGCAATGGCCAAGAATTTTTGGCCACCACGAACTGTTGCCCCCTTGGGAGAGACTCTGCCGGACTAAGGATGCCTGGCCTGGGTGTAGGGCTGCTTTGGGTGTGAGGACAGGAGTGACCCGCAGCCCCGTGAGCAGCCACCACCCGTGAGAAGCCCAGGCTGCCAGCAGCAGGGGGCCTTGTGTCTCTGCCCCTAGGTGGGTGCAGACGAGGGCCAGGGTCTCCACCCGCCAGCCTGGTGCTCACTGCACAGCAAGAAGGTTTCCCAGTGGGAACAGACTGAACCAGGCCCTGGTCCTCCAAGGACACAGAAGTCAGGGACGGAACTGAACCGTGACCAATCGATGGATCTGTCGTCGTTGATCTCAGGCTGCCTTCTTATCAGAAGTTCAAAGTTCTTCAAAGTGAGGAAGATCAACTGGAGGATTTCAACTGTTCTTTTTTTTTTTTTTCTCAAACCTAACTGTTGAGTTCAGGGTTTCCAGCCGTCTCTGTGCCCAAGTGGGGCCGTTTCTGACGGCAGCATCACTGGTGCACAGCAGTGGGTGACAGGGACCTGGGCCGCATTGCGCCCACACCGTGCAGGATTACAGAGGTGCTGGGAGCTAGGGAGACAGCAGTGACCCTCCTACAGCAGTGATCTTGTTCCCAGTCACAGGGCATGTCCCAGTCACAGGGCACGTCCCAGTCACAGGGCATGCAGTGATTCCTTGTGTGCTCAGCGAAGGCAGATCCAGGCTCCCAAATAACCAAGGGGGAGGAGAGGATGGCGGCAGCAAGGCCCATGCTCCTGAGTGCCATCTCGGGACATTCTGACTCTGGTTTTGGGAGGGACTCCAGCATATGCATTTGAAGCAACCTCCCCAGGTGATTCTGAGGCCCGGGTAGTTTGGGGGATCCCAGATCAGCCAGCAGCACCCCAGGTTCAGCAAGGATGCTGGGTTTCTGCTTGGCAGCTTCCTAACCTGCAACAGGACAGGTGCTTCCACCCTACTCCGGTCTGCAGGGAGCCCTAAGAAACTGGTCTCAGCCAGGATCCCAGGAGAGACAAAAGCGCCCTGGGGCTGCGTGGCTGGAGGACAGTGTCAGGACAATCCACAGAGCAGGAAGTAGGGAACCCAGCCGAGGGCTGGTGCACTCTCTGGGTCAACAACAGGTGGCTGTGGGGCCTGAAGGGGCAGGGGAAGAAGACACCTGGGGAGACGGTGCCTGGGGAGCATCTCTGCAGTGACCCCGCCCCAGGGCGGCACAGGGGCCAACTCCAGCCAGCTCCAGTGACTCCTCTAGAAGGAGTCTGGGCCAGTGAGAGCTCTCACTACTCTCCATGCTCCAGTCTCTAGGGCTGCCTTTCGGGCCACACCTGATTGCGGCCAGGGCAGAGGGAAAGTGTGGGGTGGAGCCACCCTGCAGGAAGGCACACCATCCGTTCTGTGCAGCCAACCACTCTGGCTGAGGACCCCTCTCTAACCTGTCTCCCCAGCCTGAATTATTGAAGTTACTGAAAGATGACCGTTTTGAAATCATCTGCTAATCTTGTCTATTGTTCCCTTCTTTGTGTTGTGAACCTGGAAAATTTGAGCCAGGCCTCAGTTAATTTAGAAAATTTATTTTGCCAATGTTGGGGACGCGCACCTGTGACACAGCCTCGGGAGGTCCTGATGACAGGTGTCCAAGGTGGTGAGAGCACCGTTTGGTTTTATACATTCTAGGGAGACATGAGACATCAATCAACACATGTAGGATGAACATTGGTTCGGTCTGGAAAGGCGGGACAACTCGAAGCAAAGGCAGGAAGACTCGAAGCAGACGGGGGCTTCCAGGTCATAGGTAGGTAAGAGACAAATGGTTGCCTCCTTTTGAGTTTCTGATGAGCCTCTCCAAAGGAGGCAATCAGATGTGCATTTATCTCAGTGAGCAGAGGAGTGACTTTGAATAGAACGGGAGGCAGGTTGGTCCTAAGCAGTTCTCAGCTTGGCTTCTCCCTTCTCCCTTTAGCTAAGTGATTTGGGGGTCCCTGGATCTATTTTCCTTTCACCGTGTCTGTGAGTGTCCAGCGTTGACTCCCACTTATAAGTGAGAACATGTGGTATTTGATTTTCTGTTCCTATGTTAATTTACTTACTACAATGGCTTGCAGCTCCATCCATGTTGCTGCAAAGGACATAATTTTGTTTTGTTTTATGGCTGCATAGTATTCCATGGTGTGTATGTACCATATTTTGTTTATCTAATCCACCAGTGATGGGCACCTGGGTTGATCCACATCTTTGCCGTTGTGAACTGTGCTGCAGAACATATGGGTGCATGTGTCCTCTTGGTAGAATGATTTGTTTTCCTCTGGGCATATACCCAGGAATGGGATTGCTGGGTTGAATGGTAGTTCAACTCAGAGTTCTCTGAGAAATCTCCAAACTGCTTCCCACAGTGGCTGGACTAATTTCCATTCCCAACAACAGTGTATAAGTGTGTCCTTTTCTCTGCATCCTCACCAACATCTGCTACTTTTTGACTTTTTGGTAAAAGCCATTCTGACTGCTGTGAAATGGTGTCTGCCTACGGTTTTGATTTCCATTTCTGCGATGATTAGTGATGCTGAGCATTTTTTCATATATGTGTTGGCTGCTTGTATTTCTTCTTCTGAGAAGCGTCCATTCATGTCCTTTGCCCACTTTTTAATGGGGGTTATTTGTCTTTTGCTTGTGGATTTAAGCTCCTTATAGATACTGGATATTAGACCTCTGTTGGATGCATAGTTTGTGAGTATCTTCTCCCATTCTGCAGGTTGTCTGTTTACTCTGTTGATAGTTTTTCTAGCTGTATAGAAGCTCTTTAGCTTCATTAGGTCTCATCTGTCAATTTTGTTTTTGTAGGAATTGCTTTTGAGGACTTAGCCATAAGTCTTTTGCCAAGACTCATATAGAGAAGAGCATTTCCTAGGTTTTCTTCTAGGATTTTTATAGTTTGAGGCCTTACGCTGAAGTCTTTGAAATCCATCTTGAGTTGATTTTTGAATATGGTGAAAGGGAAGGATCCAGTTTCAATCTTCTGCGTATGGCTGGCCAGTTATTCCAGCACTATTTATTGAATTAAGGGCCTTTTCTCCATTTGTTGTTTTTGTCAGCTTTGTTGAAGATGGGATGCGTGGCTTTATTTGTGGGTTATCTTTTGTGTTTCATTGGTCTATGTGTCTTTTTTCTACCTATACCATGCAGTTTTGGTTGCTGTGGTTTTGTAGTACAGTGTGAAGTTCGGTAATGTGAGGTCTCTGGCTTTCTTCTTTTTGCTTAAGATTGCTTTGGCTATTCGGGCTCTTTTTTGGTTCCATGTGAATTTTAGAATAGCTTTTTCTAATTCTGTGAAAATAATGTCATTGGTAGTTTGAGAGGAATTGCACTTAATCTATAAATTGCTTTGGACAGTATGGCCATTTCAATGATATTGATTCTTCCAATCCATGAGCATGGGATGTTTTTCCATTTTTTGGTATCATCTTTGATTTCTTTCAGCAGTGTTTTGTAGTTTTCCTTGCAGAGATCGTTCACCTCCCTGGTTATCTGTGTTCCTAGGTATTTTACTGTTTTTGTAGCTATTAAAAATGGGATTGTAAATGCAAATTTCTTCATGCCTACTCCTGTCCTATCAAGGGGGGATTACTGGGGCTGGGGCCCAGCAATGTGTGTTTCAGTAGAGCCCTTTAGGTGATGTAAAAGTTTGAAGAACATTGATGATGAGAGAAGGGGGGGGAGGGGCAGCACAGGCTTCCATAACTGTGCGGAGGGAGACCCCACTGTCTATCTCCTGCTCCAGACCCCAGCACTCTGCACCCTGGCCCCTTCCCTGAAGGGCCCTCCCCCACCCCACCTTGCCCTCCCCTCGGAGGCTCCTCCTGGAGCACTTGCTCCCCTCACCTCTCCCAGCAACCTGGGTTCACACCCCTCCTTGGCCCACTCCTCTCTCAGGCCAGGCCATTCCAGAACGAAGGATTTTGGAAGTAGAGCCCCACTCCCTCCCCTTCCAAATTTGTTATTCCACAATAAAGATGTGCCACTTAGAGAGTGGAACTGACTTGCTCAAGGTCACAGAACCAAACAACTCAGCCCTGGAGGAAAACCCAGGTTGATTTGCATGTGGGGCCATTCATGTGTGAGCGGATTTCCTGAACTTGATGGCAGTTCATAATGGCAGCGAGCCTGACTCGCCCCGTCTCTTTTTCTCTTGCTCTCTCCATCCTCTCCCCTACCCTACCAACACATCCCCTTTCCGCCCTCAGCGGGGGCAACAATAATCGCAGCTGAGACGCATGGTTAAATCCAGATTGAAGTAATTTGTTATATTGTGAGAACATTCACATTGCATTTCAATCAATGTCACACTTAATTGAGGAGTAGAAGGCTTCGCATTCTTTGTTTGTTTACGATTCCTTCAAGAGTAATTAACATAATAATTAAGATATTTATATTCTTGTTAAATTTCAAAAACAAATTCTTCTTTTATTAAAGATGAGATAAATTCAATAGCCTTAATACTAAAGGCCTATGCCTCTTGTAAAAGACTCATGGAAGTTGACATTTTAGAACATATCCAGAGGGAAAATGCGGTTTTTAAAACTTATAATTGTTCCCATAGACAAAGCCAAAATTCCTTTTGGCAACTTGTATTTGAAGCGAGCCATTGTGTGTGCATGGCTGCATGGGCTGTGGGTCCCGCCTTTCTGTCCCAGGAACCCAGAGCCCCGGCTTGGGCACAAGGTCCCCACACCCGCAGTGGGAGAAGGCTAGGCAGTGACTCCACCCAGTGTGCTAGCTCTCCTTGGAAGTTTCCAGCCAACAATTTTAAAACTCGGTCAGAACTTGGTTTTCATTGTTCACTTCTGAATTACCAAAACATCTCCTGGGAGTTCATGATCCACTAAGATTTTGTGTAGGGATTGTTCTGTTCATTTGGTGATATTGGCTCACAGGCATGAGTAATCACTGAACTCTGTCTGTCTGTCTCTCTCCCTCTCTCTTTTTGTCTTTCTCTCTTATAAGAGCAGATGACTTAGGGAGGCCAGCTGTCCCTCCCTCTCCCAGCAGGAGGTGTGGGTGCGGTTTTGCTAACTTGAGGCTGAGTATAGGAAAGTGGGAAGGGTAGGTTCAGGGCCAGTGCTTCTGGATCTGGGCCCAGCTCCCTCCACCCCATGACTGTCTCAGGCCCGCAGGGTCTCTGCCCTATTGAGAGATGAGGATGGGGAAGCCCTGGGCCTCACAAACAGTGTGGGGAGGGCTAAAGTCACCATGTGAAATGTGAAGGCATTTCTATAACCAAAGCGCTGTCTTCCAGGAGGGAGTCCTCAAGGAGCCGCAGCTCTGGCCCCGTGAGAGGGAATGCTCTCGGAGTGACCCACGTTTCCCTTACTGCAAAAAGGCACCTGCAATCAGATAATAGATTTTTTGTTTTAGGTTTTCTTTTCTCTGATTGTGGATTACAATATAGATAGTTTTTAATTCTGGTAAGCACAGGTTAGAAAATTTCATCTCAAGCAATGATCATTGTTGCTGTTTTGAATCTTTTTTTAATAGATAAATGGACCCCATAGCTCCTTGTTGCATTTCTTTGTTGGTAATTTTCCCCCAAGCTCTCAGGTAACTTGGTTGTTGCCTCCCAAGTGAATGGGCTGTGGTGTGTTCCATGCCTGTGACACCTCAGAAGGACACAGAGCAGGAGGAGACGAGGTCGGGTACGCTGCCGTGGGCAGCCTTGTGGACACATCATAAAAGAAACGCTCTGACCGGCGTGGACGAAGCTCTGCTGGTGTGGGAGTGGTGTCTTTTTCTGCATGGAAACTACAAGAATAACTACGTCTCTTTCTGCACATCACCCAATTAGATCACCCACAGAAATGATACCCTGAGTGGGGGATTTGGCCAGCCTCTTTAAACATGGGAGGAAGCCCTAAACCAGAATTCCTTGAGGATGAAAACAATCTTTTTGTCCTTTGGAAGGGGCTCTGGCCTCCAAGACTTTTGTAAAACGGAGGCTGTTCACTCCTTGTCCTCCTCAGTCTCCTTGTGTCCTCCCACCCCAGTCAGGGCCCAGCACCTTGCCTGGGTTCCACCCTGAAACCACCCCTTCCAATCTCCTCCCCTCATCACCGCCTCTCCTGAGCCTCTTTCCTCAGTGGTCTGCTCTGAGATGCCCGTAGGAAGGAGACTGGTAACTGGATACTCAGCACATACTTACTGAACATTGATTCTTTGTCAAATGTTGATGAAAAAGGTTATCCTGAAACTTGTTTAAAAATAGGAAGGCAGGCTATATTCACGGGACTGTGAGGGGCACTGGGATAGGTGCAGGGACCATGACAATGGGGTTTGCAGTGGGGAGAGATCAGGGTCAACTCCAAATACAACAAGGACATGGGGGGTTTTACAGCCAGGAGCAGAGGGTGGTCAGTGGGTGGAAAATTGGGAGAGGAAGTATCAGGGTAAGCCACTGAACAGGGTCCCACAGAAGCCAGGCCAGGACAACGGGAGGATGAGGAACTGGTCGGATATCAAGGATAACCAGGCAGCAAGGGCATGGGGTTCCACTTAAAATGATTTAGTGGGATTTTTGATAAAGTTGGACACTGCATAAAAGAACACAAAAGCCCCCAAATCAGGACCCTGTTGAGAGAAGAGTTCAGAGGAGCCCGACTAGAATTACTCAAGGAGAGGATCTGTGTCACAGCCTTGCACTGGAGGTATTAATGGTGGGAAAGATGAAGCTCAAGACCATGCAATGCAGTGAGAAGCATGGAGAAGACTGAGCCCGTGGGCCACAGTGAGGGGCGAGCGGGGGCGTTGGTGCAGAGGAAGGTGGGGAGGGTGAGGATGGCCTTTAGAGGAGGAGAAGTGGGAAGGGAGAGGAATGCTGGGCCGCAGATCTGTGGGGAATGGGTGAGGAGGTGTTGGAGCACTAGGAACCCTCAGCCACCACCTGAGAGAGCAGCCAGTCAGGGGAGACTGGGCCACAGGCGAGGTGCTGGTTCTATTTTATCCCAAGGACAAGCGGCAAGTCACCTTGGGCACAGCATGCCACCATGCTTTGCTTTCTGAAAAGCCATCTTCCCGAGTCACTCCTGGCCTCATCCTTCCTCCTCCCCAGGAACAGGAGGCAGCTGGGGACCCTTCTCGTTCGGTGGGCTCCTGGCCTCATCTTTCTTCCTTCCCAGTAACAGGAGGCAGCTGGGGACCCTGCTCATTCGATGGGATCCTGGCCTCATGCTTCCTCCTCCCCAGTAACAGGAGGCAGCTGGGGACCCTGCTCGTTCGATGGGCTCCTGGCCTCATCCTACCTCCTCTCCAGTAACAGGAGGCAGCTGGGCACCCTTCTCATTCGGTGGGCTCCTGGCCTCATCTTTCTTCCTTCCCAGTAACAGGAGGCAGCTGGGGACCCTGCTCATTCGATGGGATCCTGGCCTCATGCTTCCTCCTCCCCAGTAACAGGAGGCAGCTGGGGACCCTGCTCGTTCGATGGGCTCCTGGCCTCATCCTACCTCCTCTCCAGTAACAGGAGGCCGCTGGGGCACCCTGCTCATTCGATGGGCTCCTGGCCTCATCCTTCCTCCTCCCCAGGAACAGGAGGCAGCTGGGACACCCTGCTCATTCGATGGGCTCCTGGCCTCATCCTTCCTCATCCCCAGTAACAGGAGGCAGCTGGGGCATCCTGCTCATTCGGTGGGCTCTGGGCCTCATCCTTCCCCCTCCCCAGTAACAGGAGGCAGCTGGGGACCCTGCTCGTTCGATGGGCTCCTGGCCTCATCCTATCTCCTCTCCAGTAACAGGAGGCAGCTGGGGACCCTTCTCATTCGGTGGGCTCCTGGCCTCATCTTTCTTCCTTCCCAGTAACAGGAGGCAGCTGGGGACCCTGCTCGTTCGATGGGATCCTGGCCTCATGCTTCCTCCTCCCCAGTAACAGGAGGCAGCTGGGGACCCTGCTCGTTCGATGGGCTCCTGGCCTCATCCTACCTCCTCTCCAGTAACAGGAGGCAGCTGGGGCACCCTGCTCATTCGATGGGCTCCTGGCCTCATCCTTCCTCATCCCCAGTAACAGGAGGCAGCTGGGGCATCCTGCTCATTCGGTGGGCTCTGGGCCTCATCCTTCCCCCTCCCCAGTAACAGGAGGCAGCTGGGGACCCTGCTCATTCGGTGGGGTTCATCAGAGAAGAGTTCCATCTCTGTTTCTCCTCTCTGGATGGTAGGAGGCAAATATCATGAATACAGGTCACCTCTGTGGACCCAAGCTGCCCTTCAGGTGGACTGTCCCAGGATCTAGACTGAGGGACGCAGGGTGGAGGAAGGGAATTCTAACACACTCACCAGGCAACCAGGAAGAAGCCATTTTCTTCGCTATCAATTGTCGGTAATAATATTACATTTCGATCTTCATTCGTGTGACTTCTGAGCTTCTGCCTCGATGGGTTTTGAACTCAGGCTTTAACTTCCCCCAGTGTTGAGGAACAGCCACATATCTCAAGGAGCAGAATCTGGGGGCCAGAACGACGCGTGCACAGACCTTTGGCTGAGTGAAGAAGCGTGACTTGAAGCCTCAGGTAGGACCATGCGGGGTTTGGATCTCGGTGGACAACTGCGGTTGTGATGCTCAGTGGCGGCTGCACTGCAGGGGCCAGCGGGTGTCCAGCTGTGGCGGCTCGGCTGTGGCGGGCTGTACTGCAGGGGCCAGCGGGTGTCCAGCTGTGGTGGCTCGGCTGTGACAGGCTGCACTGCAGGGGCCGGCGGGTGTCCAGCTGTGGCGGCTCAGCTGTGACAGGCTGCACTGCAGGGGCCAGTGGGTGTCCAGTTGTGATGGCTCAGCTATGGCGGGCTGCATTATATGGGGCCAGTGGGTGTCCAGTTGTGGTGGCTCAGCTGTGGCAGGCTGCATTATAGGGGCCAGCAGGTGTCCAGTTGTGATGGCCCAGCTGTGGCAGGCTGCATTATATGGGGCCAGTGGGTGTCCAGTTGTGGTGGCCCAGCTGTGGCGGGCTGCACTGGAGGGGCCAGCGGATGTCCTGTGCTTTGGGGACAGGGTGGCTGTAGCAGATGGGCGTGGTCTGGAGCATCAGTAAATAAGGCACTCCGGCGAGCCTCAGCAGGCACAGCTGAGCAACGTTAGGAAAGAACCACTTCCTCCGTCTCTCTGACATTCACAGGTTACAAAAAAAATAGCTACTTTTACTGTGTTTCTTAGCCAGTAAGCATATAATTTAAAATTCAAAGAAAGCAGGTTTCCATCTGTTCCACATTTCGCGTTAAAACTGAAAGCACAATTACATTTAGTGGAGGTATGATTTGAGTGACTGGATTTCTCTCTAGAAACCGGCACATGAAGGTGCAGCTTGAAAGTGTTAGGAGACTGTCAACAACAACAACAAAATCCATCTGACGAAGGCAAAATACATTTAGTTCCAGATGACCTTAGCAAAATACAGAGAATTTGTCACTAACAGACCCGGCCTAGTGAAAGTCTTCATATGGAACTTGTTCAGCATGAGTGAAAAGAGTGCCAGGGCAAACTTGGATATTTAGGAATGAGGAAAGAGAAGTGGAAACAGTAAATATCAGAACAAATATAAAAGACTACTTCTTTTTCTCTTAGTTATTTAAAATTTGTGAGCGTGGAAAGGAACATTCATACTGTTTGGCGTGGTTTTCAATATACACAGATGTAAAACACCTGACATCCATGACAGGAAGGTCACTGAGGAGGACTGTGGAGCTGCAGGTTTTCCACACTCTACAGGAAGTGGTGTCCGATTAATTCCAAGCCAACTGTGAAAGATGACATGTGTCTATTGCAATAATTAGAGCAGCTGTTAAAAGAATGATTCAAAGAGATACAGCAAAATGCAATATAAATTTAGATGGGATACTAAAAAGATTTAATCTGAAAGACAGAGGAACAAAAGCAGAACAGACACACAGAAAAAAATGGTAATTTTAAACCAAATTGTATCCACGATGACATTATATTAATTAATAATTACACATTGTATATTAAAAATAATTTAAAAGGAGACTGAGCGAATAAAAACAACCCCAGTATTGTTTTCAAGAGTCATGCTTTAAAATTAAAGATACACATAGGTAGAAGTTCAATAGATGGCAAAAATCATACCATGGAAACATTGAGCACAGAAGACTGGATGGCTATGTTAATACCAGATAAAACAGACTGAATACAAATAATATTACCAGAGACAAAGAAGGACATTTCATAGTAATAAAAGGAAAAATTATCAGGAAGGCATAAGTTACCAGTGTGTAATTATGATTACATGAATTAAAGGGAGAAATAGACTTTTTCACAAAGCAGAAGACTTTAATACTCCTCTCTCGGCAATTGATAAAATAACTAGAAAAAAAATTAAGACCTAGATGATCTTCAAGTACTGCCAATTCCCGTGATCCAATCAGCATCCATGTGACACTGCACCCAACAACTGCACATGTGGTTTTCCAGGGCACATGGGGCATTCGCCCAGGGGATGGGTGTCATCCTGCGGAAGGAGAGGAAGGGCAGTTGTGAGGCTGGAAGCTGTGGCAGGTGCATTTGCAAGTGCTTTCTACGAAGGCAATGGTGAGAAGATGATGAGTGCCCTTTACCTGGACTGGGAATCTTTATTCCGAGTTGAGATGGAACTGGATCTGTGTTCAGAGCAGAGTTGGCCTGAACTTGTCTCTGAGAAGTGGTTCAAGGCAGGGCTGCTTTTGCATCTGTGTTACTAATCATCCCCTCTCCATTATCGGACATAAACTAGGGAAGGATAAGAATCATTCAATGAGTCAAACTCTTGACTCACCTTCCCCAGCTGAAAAGCACCACCGTGCAGAAGTGGTGTCTCCAAGGGTGGAGGCAGGGAGGGAGAATGTTTCCTGTTAAAATTCCCCAGAAGTACTTTTTCGTGCCCATGGGCTTGGGTTTTACCTTCCAAGATTATGACATGCCCGATGGCCGAGAGCCTGCTTGTGCTGGGAAAGAAAGGATCTTGGTGTTCTGATTATTCTTCCTAATGATGGTTCTAAATCAAACCCTAATGGCTGTATTTCTGCCAGACTGAGGGGAAGTATTTTAGATCAGTGCTACTCAACTTTATTGCACTTAGAAATCAATAACATCTAACATCTGCAGATCTCAAAAATGAATGTGGCCTCAACTATCAGCAACACTCAGTCCCTGGACAAACCAGAAGACTGGCCAAGCAGCTCTGGTGCATTCTCACTGCTCCCTTCCTCTCTGCCTGCCCAGACTCCTACACACTGCACCTGCATCTGGATTGGTCCACAGGGAACTTCCGTGGGTTGAGAGAACCCTGCTGTTGTGGGCACAGGATGTGAGGCCACAGGGGTCTTTTCTGTTGCTTTTGGTGGCTGGGGTGACCTCAGAGCCCATCCTCATCTTTCCTGTCCTTCATGGTCAACCCCAAGGGCCTCTCTCCCCAAAATTTCCTTCATTCCCTCTCTGGGAAAGGTCTCTGCCTGCTGTGAGCATTCTCGGACTTGCTCTGCCCTCCTTGGGGTTCCTTCTGATATGCCTTGGTTTCCCTCCCTGCCCTCTACCACCTGGATCTCTGCGAAGAATGCCTGGCCTGAGTCCTCCTCGAGCCGGGGTGCCCAGTTCCGCCAGGCTGTGTCCTGGCAGCTACACTTCAGTCTTCCCCTATTCTCAGTCCAGGTTGCTATGGTGGGGATGTTCGCCCCTGCTATGCCTCCAGGAAGAGCACATCACCAAAGGTGGTTCAAGTTTTTATCCAGGATTTTTTGGGGAAGTCTTAGGAAGCAGAAGACCCCTGTCTACTGGGACAGCCAACACTCAGGTTAACGTGCATGTGGATCTGCTGGGAGCCAACGTGTGGAGAGGGGTCTTGTGCGGAAGGTGAAGGCAATGAGGATGAGAGTAGGAAAGAGAGCCGGAAGGAGCAGAAAGGTGGAGGGGAGAAGCTGGTGCAGATGTGGGGCTAGAGATGGGAAAGAGATGGCAAACTTCAGAGAGAGAGAGGAGCGAGGGAGAAAGGAAGAGAGTCTGGGACCTACAGACACACTTTGAACATCTGGACCCAGCTGTCATTTCGAGCCTGCCCAGGAGCTTTGCATTATATGAGCCAACAGACTCATTTCCCTTTTTACTTAAGATCATTTCAGTGGGGTTTTCCATCCCCTATGCACACACGTCTCCCATTCCTGCTCTGCAGGATATAGCCCAGCATCTGCACCTCCTGCCACGTCCCACACGACCGGACTCTGCCCCTCCCCAGGCTGGTTTCCTGTGATTGCCCCTGCCTCCACTCAGATGCCCTTCCTCCTTTCAGGACCTCCCTCCAGGTGGACCTCCCACCGAGATGAACCTCTCACCCACGTGGACCTCCCACTCAGGTGTGCCTCCCTCTCAGGTCCTTTACACTCAGGTGTACCTCCGCCCCCCTTTCCAGCCTCAGCCTCCAGCCTTCCCTGAGTTCCCCACCACATTTGGTCAGAAGCACTCCTTGGTAGCCCAGGACTGGGTACAACGTGTATTGTGTACAAAGTGCTCAGTCCATGAAGGCGGCTGGACCCTCCCTTGGCATTTTGTGGGCTGTTGTATTAATTGGTGCAAGCTCTTACCCGTCATGTACTTTAATATCCCAGAGGGGGAAATTTGGGGTCCGCAGAGGGGTTGTTCCCTGTTTTAATGGAGTGTGAGTGAACACATGATAAAGGGAGCTGAACAGAACTCGGCGCAGGGTCCTCTGGACTCAGCACGCTCCGGAGTGTGGGCAGATGAGCAAGGAGAGCTGCACAGTTAGACTCAGGATCACCCAGGCCTTCCTTCGAACCCGCGTCTGCAGGTAGCTCTGTGGTGGTCAGCCAGGTCCTTCTGTGAGCCGGGCAAACCTTGAGTGCAGGATGGCTGTAGGAAGGCCCTTCGTTCTACGGAGCCCCTCGGCCGTCCCCTCCCACACATCCTCCCAGAGACAGGCAGGCGGAGCAGACTGCCCCAGTTTACAGATGGAGAAGCTGATGCTCAGAGGATGAGGCAGAGCCGTGGCCAGACAGGAATTCCTTTCTCTTTTTCTTGCTTGTCGCTGCGGGAAATGTGGATTGGCGTCGGCTGCTGTCTGGGGACTTTCCCCCAGGGCTGCCCCCATATTACCTCATCCTGAGACACCACGGGGAAGTGTGAGCGGTCCGCAGACTGGGTTTTGGTGATTTGGCCGGGTCGTGCCCTGTGTTTAGATGTGGGGCTAAGAGGCTTCCCGAGGATGGACAGATGGACATGCTGCAGCTTCCGGCCCAGGGCAGTGCCTGGCTGGTGGCAGCTGCTCAGATGGCGTTTGTTGCCTGTCTAATGAATCAATGCCCAGAAATAATCTTGGGCATCCAGCATCACTTTAAAGGTGCCGCTTTCAAGCGTATTTCCCACATAATCTAGATTTTGCCTGTTGTCACTTTTAAAAATTATATTGCCCTCTTCTTCACTTTCTTAAAGAGACAGACTCTGCTAAGCTGAATTGAATTATCTGTGGTGGCGACCGTTGAACAGCTCTTCCACACATGGGTGATGCTGAAGTCGTTCAGGCTGGGGGAGCTATTTGTCCCCATGTCAGGGCTACAGGCTGCCTGTGACGTCAGCACTGCCTCCTGCCCGGCGCGCAGAGGCCGCTCTCAGACAGCTTTCCTCACCGTTTTCCATGCCAGGAGGCCGCCTCTCCCCACCTGCTGTCCTGTGTGGGGCAGCGGCTTCCAGGCGCCGGGAAATGACTTCTCTGCCTCACTTCCTATGCAATTCCTGGAAGCAGACGCTGCCTCTCGTGATGTTTTTATCTTAGGCCCATGCAGAGTCCCTGTCACACGGGAAGTGGCCAGCCTGTGTTTGTGGAAGAAACAAACAAACAAAATCATTTATCCACCTCCACTTTCCAGCCGTCCTGTCTGCCAGGGGGGTACCAGACGCAGGCCCAGGAGTCCATTCGCCCCTTCTCAGCTGAGATGTGTCAATGTCGGTGACTCCGTCAGACCCTGTGGAATAGTGTCCACGTAAAATCTCAGAGAGTTAACAAGGCACAAGGATTTTAAAAAATGTGTATCTGTGTGTCTATGGGTCTGTGTGTCTCTGTGCCTGTGTGTTAAGTATGTACCTGCTGTCTGTGTATCTGTATGTGTGTCTGTGCATAAGTGTGTGTATCTGGGTCTTTGTGTCTTTGTGTCTCTGTGTGTGTTTGTGTGCGTGTAGGTGTATGTATGTGTCTTTGTGTGTGTCTATGTGTGTGTGTCTGTGAGTTTGTGCGTATGTCTGTGTATCTTTGTGTCTGTGTGTTGTGTGTGTGTAGGTGTGTATAAGTGCGTGTGTGACTGTGTATCTCTGTGTATCTGTGTGTGTATAGGTTGTATATGTCTCTGTGTATGTAGGTGTGTATTTGTGAGTTTTTATGTCTGTGTGTGTGTAGGTTGTATATGTATGTGTAGGTGTATATATATGTCTGTGTCTGTATGTGTGTGTGTCTGTGTATATGTTGTATATGTGTGTGTGTCTGTGTCTTTGTGTGTTTTTGTCTATGTCTGTGTATCTGTATGTGTGTCTTTCTAGGCTGTGTGTGTAGGTGTGTATATGTATCTTTGTGTGTTCATGTGTGTGTCTATGTCTATTGTGTGTGTATGTCTTTGTGTGTAGGTTGTATATGTGTGTGTAGGTGTGTATATGTATATATGTGTGTCTGGTTTTTTTTGTGTGTGTCTGTGTGTATATTGGTGTATATCTGCGTGTAGGTTGTATATGTATGTGTAGGTGTGTATATGTGTGTGTGTGTAGATTATATGTGTATAGTTGTGTATATGCGTGTGTGTTTGTGTGTGTGTATGTAGGTTGTATGTGTATGTCTGTGTGTGTATGTGTGTAGGTTGTGTATGCTTTGTCTGTGTGTGGGTTATATATGTATGTGTCTGTGTGTGTCTGTGTGTAGGGGTGTGTGTGTGTGTCTGTTTTGTGTGTATGTCTGTGTCTGTGTTTTTGTGTGTGTGTGTCTGTATGGCTGTATAGCTCTGTGTGTGTGTTTGTGTGTGTGTGTGTGTGTGTGTGTGTGTGTGTGTGTGTGTGTGCGGGTTTAGGTTCCTGACTGGGGTCTAAGAAGATGTCGTTGTTGGACAAGAGGTCTGGGGCTTACTCACTCATTGGAAAGTTCTGTGGGCACGTGCAGCCTTTCCTGTCACGGCCATCCCTGCTTAGCCCCCGGGGCCCACGGGGGACCCCGTCTTTGGGATGGGGATCGGCGGGGGGATCCTCTGCGTGTTTGCACATTCAGGACCTGCAGTGTCCTTGTTGGATGCTCCGCCCTGGCATGGGGGCTCACTAACTGAGAGCTTGGGCAGAACGACAGCTGTTGTAACACCCTCTATCGACAATTTGAACAGGTTGGACAACCCTGTTGTCCAATCTAGTTACAATGTATTTTCCTGACAGTGAAAATACGAAGAACGAGTACATTTGATTCCTAAGGCGGTCTAAGTTAGTAGGTGTGGTAGCTGATTCAGACCATCAAAACAACCCCACACTCGCGTCTGTTACGTTCTCTCTACCTGACGCCTTGGAGAGTCGGGCACCATGTCAGGCAGCATCTGTGTGCAGAAGGCACAGGTCCAATGGCAGCCCCAGCCTGGCTGATTTGGTGGAAAATCCAGCGAACCCAGGCACAGGCAACCAAGGCCGAGGGTGCTCCCAGGTGTGCCGATGACCCCGTCTGCTCCTGTGACTTGGGAGGCGTCACCACACTGAGCCGGAGAGGAGCAGCACCTCCGCTCTCTGGACGGTGCAGGGGTCTCCCCAGCTCGCCCCAGCAGACGGGACCTGTGGAATCTATTTTGATGAGAACTTAGCAGATGGTGCTAAGTTCAGTAGTACTGGGGTTTGGTGTGGGAAATTCACTTTCTTCCTTAAAATCTTGTTCTAAGTTTTTTCTTAATTCCTTCTGGTGACATTTTTTGTACCGATATCACCCATGGGTTGCCCTTGGGAAGAATCCAGGGATGGGGTGAGGTTATGGTGAGAAGACGGAGATTCCAGCACACTGGAGACCCTGGGGGAGGAGCGGGGAAGGGCCTTGAACCTGGGCCCCTGCGGCAGCCTGGGGCCTGGTGGGCTGACCTCCCAGAGTGACCTGGACAGGGAAGCATGACCCGACAGCACGGGGCAGGCGCTTAGCTGCGTAGACTCCACACAGCCTCCATTTGCTGTGTGACTCTCGGAAAGCTGCTTAGCCTCTCTGAACTTTGGTTATGTCGTCTGTAAAGTAAAGATAATGATTTCTAGTCTAGGATTATCTTCAGATTCAATGACACAGTTGTGGGATACTTAGTGCAATGCCCAGTAAATAATCCATTATTCTCATGGTCATCATCCCCTCTGTTCTGTCGGGTTCATGCACGTTCCTGCTCCTCCCCTTTCCCCTCTCACGCTGTCCTTGTAAGCAGGTGGCCGATTCCACTTCAGCACCAAAGGGGAGAAAACAGCTGGCCCAAAGCTCAGGAGTCCTGCTTTTTTTTTTTCTCTTGCCTGTGATTTTCCAAAAGCCTAGATCCTTATGAGGATTTAGAGCACTTTAGGAGAAGGTACAAGGCAGAAGAGGCAGAGGGCCAAGCGAGGAGCAGCCTGGCCTAGAAGAAATGTGAGCATCTGGGTGGGAAATGAGAGGGGCTGTCCAGGGAGCGGAGAGAACCCTGGAGGCCCGAAGCGAAAGGGCCGGGGGCAGCTGAGAGCGTCCTGCGTCGGGTGGGTGGGGAGGAACCCTCTCCCTGACTCCTCATGCTGGCTTCCATCCCGGGCGCCTGACATGACCCTGATTGAACGCAGGGACAGGATCTACAGGGATTGAAGCGGGTTTCCGCTCATGCAGAGGGTGTCGTTGGCTTATAGAAAATAACGGCAGAGGTCAGTTCTTGCACACCCACTCCTGGGCATAGAAATCCATCCCTGCACGTTTTAAATTACGTCATAGTCTTCATATTGCTCCTTCAAACCCACGTTCATTTCAGTGAATGCCACCTTTTCTGTCCAGCTGCAGAATGTGCTCACCTGTCTTTCCGACCACTGCCTCGTGTCCTCTTGCCTCTCTGAACCTTGTGCTCCCAACCACTCTCTGCTCTGCTGCCCACATGATCATTCTAAGAAGCAAAACACATTACACAATTTCCCTGCTTCACATCGGCTGAGTCCAAAGAATGAGTACAAGGGGCATCGTAGCTTGGCCTTGACCCCTCTGCAGCCCAGCTGGTTCCATTCCCCGAGGCCTCAGGGGCTTCCACACTCGGCCATGTCTGCCAGGGACACCCTCCACCCACTCCCCATAGTCAGCGGACAAAGCCTCATTTATCCCGGAAGGCCCAGCTCCGAGACCAAGTGCTCGGTGAAGCCTTCCCCAGCTTTGCTGAGCTGAAGAGGCTGTACCCATCCCTGGCAAACCCAAACCTTCCCTCTTTCTCAAAAGGCACCTGGGGAACCCCGTTTTTCCCAGGGGTGTTCAGGGAGGAGGAGGAATGCCTGCCAGCACCAGGGGCCCTGGGTCTGCTACACACTGGGCCAGACAATTATCTATCCACCCAGATAATTATTTTAAAGTACATATTTACATAGAACATGTTTATGCAAATATCTATAATATAAACTGATAAATATTTATAGAGGTATGTTCACTTGTAGTAGACACTTCTCTGTATGTGCATATTTACATTTGTAATCCAAGCCTTACGACACAACCAGGGCAAGTGCAGGAGGCTCCCCCGAGTGGAGGTGGAGGAACAAGTGTCCTGAAGGGAGCTGGCACCATGGGCAGTGTCTGGGAGCCTCAGCCACCTTTGGGTGGAGTGTTGGACAGTCCTGGAGGGAGCTGGCACCACGGGCAGCATCTGGGAGCCTCAGGGCACCTCCGGGAGGAGCGTTGGACAGTCCTGGAGGGAGCTGGCACCACGGGCAGTGTCTGGGAGCTTCGGGGCACCTTCGGGTGGAGCGTTGGACAGTCCTGGAGGGAGCTGGCACCACAGGCAGCGTCTGGGAGCCTCGGGGCACCTCTGGGTGGAGCGTTGGACAGTCCTGAAGGGAGCTGGCACCACGGGCAGCGTCTGGGAGCCTCGGGGCACCTCTGGGTGGAGTGTTGGACAGGAAGCCGGGAGGAGGCTTGTTTGGATTTCTGGCCTGTTTCCCCAGCACCATGTTTAGACCCTGGTAAACAAATGACTAAGCCCTTAGACTGCCTCTTCCATCTCCAGGTCTCATGTGGGGTCACAGCTTCTCCCTAAGAACGGCTAAGGAGGTCACGGCAGGTCAGCTATGGCTTGGACTTTGGACTTAGCAGGCCTGACATCACCGGGTTAGGGGGCACACACACAATGACGTCACCTCCAGATGTGGGGCCCTGTGGATCCCTGCACGTCTGTGGTTTGCAGGCTGATGAGCCGGGTTTTTTCTGGGAAGGCAAATCTTCCACATCTGGGAAGAGTCCGATGCACACAGAGCGCCCTTCCCCTGCTCGTTCATCAGCAGATGCGACGCTGCTGACCATCCTTGCTGGAAATGGTCAGCAGATGATGGAGGAACAGGCCCCGGGGGTCCCAGGCCCAGCTCCGTGAATAAGCCCCATCCTCATGAGCAACACAGATCCATGCCTCCCCGAGACCAGGGGCTCCTGAGGGCACAGGCCGCGGCTCATCCACTCACAGTATTGTTTTTAAAGTCCAGCTCTCATCCCGGGGCCCAGCACAGTTCCTGACATGCGGGAGTGTCAGTCAGCACTTGTCCAATCTCTCATCCTTGAACACATATTTATTGAGGGCAATGTTCTAGGCACTGGCGATGCCTCAGTGAGCAAAACAGACCCTGCCCCAGAGAACTTCCCTTCTAGTCAGGTGGGTGTGGAGGGACAGGTGGCAATCAGTTAACAATAAGCATCATCAATACTAACATCACATCGAATGCTGGAAGATGATATGTGTTATGGAAAAAGACGTTGAACAGGGTGAGGGCCCCAGGGAATTGGAGGGTGGTGGGGTGAGCTAGGTGCGGGGTTAAACCAGGTGGTCGGGGGATCGGAGGAGTGTGGCATGCACAGAGCTGCGGAGGAGACTTGCTGGCAGAGGGAAGGGGCAGGCAAAGGCTGTGGCAGGGAGACCCCTGAGCTGGGTGAGCAGGGAGCAGCAGGAAGAGGAGGGGCCAGGGCACAACACAGTTGGGCCCTCCAGGGCATCCCAGGCCACTGTGAAGACGGCTTATCCTGCCAGTGGAGAAGGAAGGCTTTGCTATTCTTAAGCCAAAGAGTGAAATGCCCTGGTTTGGGTTTGGTGACAGAGCAGAGGGCAGAGGCCATGAGCAGAGCTATCATGAGCGACCTTGAGCCAGTGCCTCATCCTGGGTGCCTGGAGAATAAGCTTCTCCCCAGGAGGGCTGCAGCCAAGCTCACTGAAGACATGGGAATCGCACTGCTGTTTCTGTTTCTCTTGTCCTCGTGGTCCCATGACTTTGCCAGCAGACTTTGCAGTACCCGGAGCTGGGAGGTGGCAACTCCTCTGGCCAGGAGACGCCGTCCACGGCCACACGGGATGGGGGACAGGCCAGGGCACCTCTCTTCTCCTCCTGAATCTTGTTAGTTTCACCTCGTACAATGCGTCTTGTTCCTTAATGCTCACCCTGAAATGCTGTGGGATTCAGTCCCCAAAATCATGCACAGTAGTTTTGAAGGTAGAATCAGCATGATTTCTAACTGGTTAAGTGAACTTTATTAGAGAAAGAGAGGGGCCAAGAAAGGCTCCAAAGCTGATGGCCTGAGCAGCTGGAATGAGATGCTCACCAGATTCACCACCTACTGAGGCAGAGAAGGCAGTTCCCAAGCCCCCTTCCCAAATCCGGAAGGGGCCCTGGTGCCCTCTGGTGAGATGAGACCATTTCTTTACATAGTTAGGAAAGTGAGCCTGGAGCCAGGTGCCAGGCTCCATCTCGGAGGGACACAGCCAGCCCTGGGAAGGCGCGTCTACTCCCCAGATGACCTTCTCCTAACTTTATGAGCCGGTGAAACGAATTTGATGGGCTTAGTGAGCTCGGATCTGATTTTCGTCAACAACTTTGAGGACAATCCTCATTTTCAGGAGATTCTGAGGTTCCCTTTGCTCAATGACTTTTCTAAGTTCACCGAGCGAGGCTGACAGCTGGGCTTCTGCCTGCAAATCCATGTTTGTTCTGATGGAGCTTGACAGCATAGACCTGCTCAGATACAGACTCTCCAATGCTGCCTACAAGCCCTGAGGAGTGGGGACCAGAGGAGGCATCACGGGATCTCCCAGGGCCAGGCCAGGGAACACCTGGAGGTTCTGAGACTCAGGGGAAGCTTTGACACCAAAGATGCCGCCGAGAGTGGGGAGCCCAGAGGGTGTGCAGGGCCACGCAGCCGGTGCCTGCATGTGTGTGTCTGTGATCTCTTTGTGTGTATGATCTCTGTGTATGCATATGATCCGGTGCCTGGTGCAGCCTCCGCGTGCTCAGCTTCTGCTGTGGGTGCCCTGCCCTGGGGCCCAGCCCGGTTTGGGACGTGAGAGACTCGAGGGTGCTCTGTGCCCATCAGCTGCCTGGCACCTCCCTCGTTGGCTAGGAGTCAGCAAGGCCTGTTTTCCGCATTGCCTATTTCCCACTTTCCTGGGACAGCTGTGTCTGCAGTCGTCACCAAAGGCACGGATGGTGTCCAGCTCCTCAGCCCTGACCCCACAGGGACCTCCTCCCACTCCTGGGGCAGTGGTTGCCACCAGCTTGCTGTGTCCCAGCGCAGGGGCAGCACCCTCCTTCCCCTCTGCACGCCGTCCTGCAGGCATCTCTTCACTTCCCCAACTCTTAGAGCTGCAAGTCGTCACAAAAAGGAAGATTGAAAGGCAGGAGGCTGTGTGTCTGCATGTGCACCTGCGTGTGTATGATTGTGTGTGCATGTGTATGTGTGTGTGATCTGTGTGTGTATGATCTCACTGTACGCATATGATCTCTGCATGTGTGTGTGTCTGTGATTTCTATGTGTGTGAATGTGTATGCATGTGTGTGCATGTGTGATCTCTGTGTGTGTGCATCTGTGGTGTGTGTGTTTGCGTGTGTGTCTGATCTGTGTGTGTGCATCTGTGGTGTGTGTGTTTGCATGTGTGTGTCTGATCTGTGTGCGTGCATCTGTGGTGTGTGTGTTTGCGTGTGTGTGTCTGATCTGTGTGCGTGCATTTGTGGTGTGTTTGCATGTGTGTGATCTGTGTGTGTGCATCTGTGGTGTGTGTGTTTGCATGCGTGTGTCTGATCTGTGTGCGTGCATCTGTGGCGTGTGTCTGATCTGTGTGTGTGCATCTGTGGTGTGTGTGTTTGCGTGTGTGTCTGATCTGTGTGTGTGCATCTGTGGTGTGTGTGTTTGCGTGTGTATGTGTGATCTGTGTGCTCGCATCTGTGGTGTGTGTGTTTGCGTGTGTGTCTGATCTGTGTGTGCTTGCATGTGTGTGTCTGATCTGTGTGTGCGCATCTGTGCTGTTTGCATGTGGGTGTGATCTGTGTGTGTGCATCTGTGGTGTGTGTGTTTGCATGTGTGTCTGATCTGTGTGTGTGCATCTGTGGTGTGTGTGTGTCTGATCTGTGCGTGTGCATCAGTGGTGTGTGTGTGTCTGATCTGTGCGTGTGTATCTGGTGTGTGTGTTTGCGTATGTCTGATCTGTGTGTGTGCATCTGTGGTGTGTGTGTTTGCGTATGTCTGATCTGTGTGTGTGCATCAGTGGTGTGTGTGTTTGCGTGTGTGTGTCTGATCTGTGTGTGTGCATCTGTGGTGTGTGTGTTTCCATGAGTGTGTCTGATCTGTGCGTGTGCATCTGTGGTGTGTGTGTTTGCATGAGTGTGTCTGATCTGTGCGCGTGCATCTGTGGTGTGTGTGTTTGCATGTGTCTGATCTGTGTGCTTGCATCTGTGGTGTGTGTGCGTGTGTGTCTGATCTGTGTGCGTGCATCTGTGGTGTGTGTGCGTGTGTCTGATCTGTGTGCGTGCATCTGTGGTGTGTGTGTTTGCGTGTGTGTGCCTGATCTGTGTGTGTGCATCTGTGGTGTGTGTGTTTGTGTGTGTGTGTCTGATCTGTGTGAGTGCATCTGTGGTGTGTGTGTTTGCATGTGAGTGTGTGTGCATCTGTGGTGTGTGTGTGTGTGTCTGATCTGTGTGTGTGCATCTGTGGTGTGTGTGTTTGGGTGTGTGTGATCTGCGTGTGTGTGTGCATCTGTGGTGTGTGTGTTTGCATGTGTGTGTCTGATCTGTGTGTGTGCATCTGTGGTGTGTGTGTCTGATCTGTGTGCATGTATCTGTGGTGTGTGTGTTTGCGTGTGTGTCTGATCTGTGTGTGTGCATCTGCAGTGTGTGTGTTTGCGTGTGTGTCTGATCTGTGCATCTGTGGTGTGTGTGTTTGCATGAGTGTGTCTGATCTGCGTGCTGGTATCTGTGGTGTGTGTGTTTGCGTGTGTGTCTGATCTGTGTGTCTGCATCTGTGGTGTGTGTGTTTGCATGTGTGTGTCTGATCCGTGTGCTCGCATCTATGGTGTGTCTGCATGTCTGTGTCTGATCTGTGTGCATCTGTGGTGTGTGTGTTTGCGTGTGTATGTGTGATCTGTGTGCTCGCATCTGTGGTGTGTGTGTTTGCTTGTGTGTGTCTGATCTGTGTGCTCGCATCTGTGGTGTGTGTGTTTGCTTGTGTGTGTCTGATCTGTGTGTGTGCATTTGTGCTGTTTGCATGTGTGTGTGATCTGTGTGTGCATCTGTGGTGTGTGTGTTTGCGTGTGTCTGATCTGTGTGCATGCATCTGTGCTGTGTGTTTGTGTTTGTGCGTGTGTCTGATCTGTGTGTGTGCATCTGTGGTGTGTGCGTGTGTGTGATCTGTGTGCGTGCATCTGTGGTGTGTGCGTGTCTGTGTCATATCTGTGTGTGTGCATCTGTGGTGTGTGTGACTGTGTGTGATCTGTGTGCGTGCATCTGTGGTGTGTGTGTTTGCATGTGTGTGATCTGTGTGCGCGCATCTGTGGTGTGTCTGATCTGTGTGTCTGCTTCTCTGTTGTGTGTGTTTGCATGTGTGTGTCTCATCTGTGTGCTCTCCTCTGTGGTGTGTGTGTTTGCATGTGTGTGTCTGATTTGTGTGTGTTCATCTGTGGTGTGTGTTTGCGTGTGTCTGATCTGTGTGCGTGCATCTGTGTTGTGTGTGTTTGCGTGTGTGTGTCTGATCTGTGTGCGTGCGTCTGGTGTGTGTGTTTGCGTGTGTGTGTCTGATCTGTGTGCTCACGTCTGTGGTGTGTGTTTTTGCGTGTGTGCGTCTGATCTGTGTGCGTGCATCTGTGGTGTGTTTGCTTGTGTGTGTCTGATCTGTGTGCTCGCATCTATGTTGTGTGTGTTTGCGTGTGTGTGTCTTATCTGTGTGCTTGCATCTGTGGTGTGTGTGTTTGCATGTGTATGTGTGATCTGTGTCCTCGCATCTGTGGTGTGTGCGTGTGTGTGTCTGATCTGTGTGCTCGCATCTGTGGTGTGTTTGCGTGTGTCTGATCTGTGTGCGTGCATCTGTGGTGTGTGTGTTTGCGTGTGTGTGTCCGATCTGTGTGCTCGCATCTGTGGTGTGTGTGTTTGCATGTGTATGTGTGAACTGTGCGAATCTGTGGTGTGTTTGTATGTTTGTGTCTGATCTGTTTGCATGTATCTGTGCTTTCTGTGTGTGCATGTCCATGGCCCATGCATGTGCCTATGCGTGCACGTGTTTGTGCTCTGTGTCGTGTGCCTGTATTTACGTGAGTCGTTTGGTAGGAGGCTGCAGCTCAATGCTGCTGTGCGCTCCATCTCTGGGCCCTGCACAGAACCCCGGGGGGCTTCCTCCCTCACGGGCCCCCCCTCCGGGAACACTGCCAGCCTCCTGCCTGCTGTGTGCAGCCCTGTGGACACACGGACAAGAGCCACTGTCCCCACCCACAAGTCTGCCCTGGTCAGTGGGGCAAATGAAAATGTCCGTCCTGATCACAGAGTAGGCTCAGGTGCAGGGATGGGCTGCCCAGCGTGTCCAGGAGAAGAGGGCAGTAAGCTCTCAGCAAGGGATGCTCTGGAAGCTTCCTGGAGGGTGAAATGTCTGCTGAGCTGAGGTCTTGGAGAGAAGTGGACGCTAGCCTGCGGGGTGGGAGACCAGGGGGCAGCAGAGCCTGGTGCAGGGCCTGAGGCTGGGCCTGTGTGCTGCGCGTACCGGGTGCTGTGTCACAGGCCTGGGAGGATCCCACTGTGCTGAAGCGCTCACAGTTTAAAGGACCTTCTGGCGGCTTCGCGAAGAGCAGAATGAGAAGGGGCTGGGGTGGCCGTGGGAGGGAGGCGGGCCAGAAGGCCTCGTTTGAGGATGAGAATAAAAGACGAAGGCAGAGGTTGGAGAGATGCGGCTTCCAGCCCAGGAGCACTGGGGTGTGCAGGGGCGGGTCCCCAGGTGCTCGTGGAGCAAGGGGACCTCGTGTCTCAGGTCTCAGCTCAGCCCGGTTGTTGTTTCCGTGGCAGCCAGCCCTCAGGGCCTGTCTGCAGGAGCTGCCCCTCGGTTCAAGCACCAGCGGTAGAAGCCTCTTCCTTTTCTAGGCGTTCCTGAAGCACCAAGCTCAGCAAAATTCCCTCTCTCCTTGTTCATTATGAGTCGGTGTGCTGTGGTGGGAAAACAGTCTTTGGAGGTTTTTGTTTGAGGCCATTTACTATGATGTCGTTTGACACTTTATCTCTTTGGACCTCCTTTCTCTACAACTTGTATCTGTGGATTCCTACGGACCTGAAAGGCTCTAGATGCCGAGCTGATGGCCTTTGGCTGACGTTCAGGAAACTTCAGATGAAACGTTAAGTGCCCGAACCACAACTTAAGCAGATGTGTGAGTCAGAACCCTTATTGTCAGTGACAAAACCTCAGTTCAAAGGAACAGAGATGGGAGTGGGGCCCAGGCCTCGTCTCTGCTTCTCCCCGCCATTGGCTTGGGCCTCTCCGCCAGGCCCCTCTGCTCGGCTGGGAACAGGACTCCTGGCGGGTCCCAGCAGGCGACATCTGGCTCTTGGCAGCAAGTCCAGGATTCTCTGTGGCCAGATGCCTGCTCACAGCCCCAGGGAGGGGCAGCAACCTGGCGGCCTGAGTCAGTGCCTGCGGCTGGGCTGGTCACTTGTGGAGTCTGTAAGATGACAGCAGCTTTTATGCAAAGCACATGCTGGAGTGTCAGGGCTCTTCCTCACAGCAAGGGCTCTTCCCAGAGGACAGGGATGCTGTAGGCATCGTGAGAGGCCTGGACGGAGCAGATGTGCAGCGAATCCAGCTTCCTCTGTCACCTGCCTTGGTCACTCGGCAGCTGTGACAACCACAGCAGATGGGGCTTACAAGCTGCAGACACTCGTCTCTCTGCTCTGGGGGCTGAAGTCCAAGACCAAGGCCCAGTGGGTTTGGTGTCTCGTGAGGACTGCTTCTTATTTCACAGACCTCTCCTGGGGGAAGGGGTGAGGGTCTCTCTGGGGTCTCTTAGAAGGGCACAGATCCACCCATGGGCTCCACACCATGACCTCATCACCTCCCAAAGGCCCCCAGCTCCTGGAACCATCACCTGGGGAGTCAGACACTTTGAGGGATACTGACGTGAAGGCCAAGGCACCGCTTTGCATTTTAAGGTTTATTGTGTTTATAAACCACAGGCACATTTTTTTTGTTTTTACCACAATGGAGCATAGCTTCTTTACAGGAAAGGTGTAATAACAGTATGACGTTTGCCTACTGTTAGAATAACTAACTAGTCATTTAGGTTTGTTCACTTTTTAAATTATTTTGCCCTCCACCATTTTAATTTTTTGCTTTTTTTTTTTTTTTTTTGAGACGGAGTCTTGCTCTGTCGCCTAGGCTGGAGTGCAGTGGTGTGATCTTGGCTCACTGCAACCTCCATCTCCTTGGTTCAAGTGATTCTCCTGCCTCAGCCTCCTGAGTAGCTGGGACTACAGGTGCCTGCCACCACGCCCAGCTAATTTTTGTTTGTTTGTTTGTTTTGGTATTTTTAGTAGAGACGGGGTTTCACCATGCTGGTCAGGCTGGTCTCGAACTCCTGACCTCGTGATTTGCCTGCCTTGGCCTCCCAAAGTGCTGGCATTACAGGCATGAACCACCACGCCCAGCCATTTTTTTTTTTTTTGCTCTTTTACTGCATTTAATGTGATGTCTATTTCGTGAGCAATAGTGAGTGTTAGGAAACTCAAAAGCCTTTTCTCCAGTTTTGCCCAAAGTATTCCCCATGAGTGTGGAATTATTACTAAGTGCTACTTTTGATGGGAAATATTGGCGACCTGAGCTATCCATCACCTTGACTGACGTCTTTGGTCCTGCCAAGGTCTTCTGGAACCTTCCAGCGTGTGGTGGGGTAGGGGTGCTGTTTCTGTTAGGAGGCTGGTGTGTCTTGCCCTCGAGTTCTTGGAAGTGTTTCTTAACATCTGCCAATAGCTGGGGCAGTTTATCCTGAAATTATCCTGAACCAGCAGTGCTTGCTCTTTGGGCCAATTTTTTTTTTCTAGGCTCCTTTGCATCTTATCAGGGGGAGTTTTCCTCCCCCTGATAAGTTTCTGGTCTGTGTTGCTTTCCCACACTTGAGAATACTCATCTGTTGTGAGACAGATGGAATTTCTGCCCCCAGCTGGGACCACTGGGAACCAACCCGGAGGCCGCTTCCCACTCTCCCCTCCCAGCAGGGCAGCCTGCGGGCTTAGGGGCCGCGCTCGCACAAACGGGCCAGGCTGGCTTCTCTTCCACCACGCGCGGTCCTCTGTGCATCCTGTAGTCCCAGCGCCAAGGCACCCTGGTGGTGCAGCAGGAAAAACCACCACCCAGATGCGAGCCCAGGCGCCGTGTTGGGGGTGGCCAAGGCCACAGCGCCCTCATCTGGGATTTGGGATGAGGACGCGTGGGATAGCAGCAGGCAATGCTCTTGTTGGCGCAGCAAAGCCGGAGATGGCCGAGCCTCACTGCAGCCCAGACCCGGCCCCCGAGCCTCAGGCCCAGCCGCTACCTGACGTCTCCCTGTGAAAACCCGAGGAGTGGGTCACCACCACGCACCTGCGAGGAACCTCTGGATTCTCCTCCAGCCCCTCCACCTGCCCCGGCTGGTGCTTCCATTTCAGCCTGGGTGCGTGTGTGAAGTTAGAGGTCAGGATCCGTGTTCGTCAGGTTAGCGGACGTGTGCTGGCAGCTGCGGCAAATAAATGACCAGCATCACGCACCGCGGGCTTGCTCCCCCCTCGTTCCCTTCTGTTCAGGCTGGGCGCTCGCAGGGACAACGCTCCTCCACGTTTGCCAGGACCTGGGCTCCATCCCCGGCGTGGAGCTGAGTCCTGCCGGCTGGGCTTCCTCCTGCAAAGGCCAGAGAGGTGCACAGTGGGCAACCGGCCCAGCTGGCCTAACCTGGCCGGAAATGACACATGTGACCCATTCACAGTCCAGCACCCACAAGGCAGGCCCCGCCTGGCCGTGGAGTGTGGCTGGAACACAGGCCTGCCTGCAAGGTGCCTTTAGGCTTGTCCCCTTCATAACCACAGAATGTAACATACCAGTCAATTCCGCAGGATTTTCTCCAAGATGCCTCTTGAACATCTGCATTTCTCCCCGCATTCTCTGCCCGGCTGCCCGGTGTCCCCTCCTCCACTCTGCCATTTCTCTGACTTTCCTCTCTTTACAGAAGACATTCTGCAGTGGTCCTCAGCTGGAGGCATCGTGCCCCCAGGGGACACTGGACATGCCCGGATCTGTTATTTGTCATTGTAACTAAAGAGGGAGCGCCTGCTCCCAGTGCAGGGAGGGCAGAGATACAGCAGCACCTCCCGCATCCGTAGGCCTGGCAGGTATCCCGGCCAACACAACAGGCAGAATTCAGGGGGCAGCCCCTGGGCTAGCTCATTTTCTCTCAGCGCCCCCCAGTGACTTCTTACTGCTTAAAGAATAAAATCTGCAATCTTTTCTCGGATCTACAAGCCCCTGCCTTGTGGGCTTCTCCCACTCCAACTCTGTTGACTTCCCTGCCATGCATGAGGTGCCGTCTAGTCTACGCAGCTTTCTCAGGTGGCACGTGGCTGGATGGGATTCAGAACCTCTGGGTCTGCCAAGACCTCTGCCTGGAGAGCCTATCTGCGGCTGGGCCCTCACCATCTGCACAGCCCTGCTTGGCAGTCCTTCCTCCTGCAGACCTTCCGGTCCAAGCTGCCTTCCTCCTGCTTCTGTGCTTTGTGTCCTGGTCATTTCCTTTGCAGCATTTAGGCCAAGCAGAATCATCTGCCGGATTTATTTGTTTACTTGTGTTGCACTAGTGATTGAGTTCAGCTGCTGATTTCCCAAAGAACAGTGGATTATTACAATAGAAACCCCAGGAACAGTCACTTTTATAAAAATACATTTTTCACTCATAAATCTGGGGGTGGGAGTGTCAGGCTGGTTTGGCAGCCCCATGTTTCTGCTGCACTGGGCCCTGTGCTCATGTCCTCATGGAGGCTGCTGGAGCTCCTGCCATTGTTTATTCGTTTCAGGCAGCAGGAAGAGACAAGGTCCAAGAGCAAAGTGGTGCCTGTTGGTTGGGTTTGTCCCCCTTTTAAGACAGTCTATAGCAATCCCTCCACAAAGCTTCCACCTACCTCTCTCTTGCCAGAGTATGACATGGGCTATTCCTGTCTGCAACACGGACTGAGAAAGACAAGTTTTCAGATGTGCAAATTGCTGCCTGGGAAATAGCAAACACAGGTCTTATTAGTAAGAAAAAAGAAAATGGCCACAAATTGTTTTTGTCTGGATTTCTGTCTGAAATTTATGCTCTCAGAAGAGAGAGTTTGAATTGTTCCCCCCTAGATCTCTGGCACTTCACACAGTGTCTGGAACGTGGCAAATTCTCAGTTAACCTTTGTTAGAGTCAAAGTAGATTTCTCATCTGCCTCTGTGGGTTTTTCACTCAAGACTCCAATACAGCCTCAGAATTCTCTGCACACAGGCAGTCAGACTTGACACTAGGGATTGCGATTTTTTCACCATATTTGCTGTTGGTGGTTTTTTAAACAGCAAATCTGGGGGCAGTGAAGGGGCATCAGAAGCTTTGCCAGTGGCCGGAGCAGCGGGGACCTCTCAGCTGCTCTGTGCAGGGGCCTCGCAGGTGCAGGACAGAGGGTCTTTGAAGGCAGAGACCGCAGCACCTTTCACTCCCACCCCTGAGAGAGGCATCATTAGGTTGACTCTTCACCAAAGGGTCCCTGCTGGATAGACTTCAGTAGGTTTGTGTTTTCAGGTTGACATGGGTTTGGGCACCCTGGTTCAATTGTCTTTTATATAGTTTCGGGGCTGGTTCAACTTGAAGCTGCGGCCAGAAGGACAGCCCCTTATTGCCTGGGCCCCTCCCCTGGGAAGGCGCTTGGCACTTCCTGGCCTTCTCCGGACCCTGGGCTTTTGAGCTGTCTCCTCTGAGCCAGGCTGCTGTCTGTTCTCATGATGTCTGTGGTCTGTGCCCCTCCTGCAGGACTCTTCTGAGATTTGCAGTTTACATCAGCATAGACCCAGCAGTTACAGTCACACTGGGTGTCTAAATGGGACCCACTGGGCGCCTGCTCCTGGGCCCTGCATGGTCTGTCTGCTCCACCACGGACATGCCGCTGCCCGGGGCTGGAGGCCAATGCATCCGCACACACAGGTTGCAGGCAGAGGCTCCGTTCAGCCAAGGAAGGAGCGAGCAGCTCTGCCCAGGTCTGCGCAGGCCTGGGGCCCTGGTGGGGGATTCGTGGTATGACCCGGCTCTGCCACCTACCGTCAGACCCTGCTTCTTCCTCCACACCCCCAGCCTCCTTGTCATAAAGGGTCCAGCCTTGGCCTTGTGGCCCCTGATAGTAACATCTCATGTGATATGTGTATTAATCTACTGGAGCAGCCATGACAAAACACCACAGGCTTTGGATTGAACCACAGGAATTTACTTCCTCTCAGTTCTGAAGGCGGGAAGTCCAGGACTAGGGGCCGGCAGAGCGGGGTCCTCCTGGGCCTCTCTGTGGGCTGTGGGCTGCGGGCAGGGCAGGGCCCTCCCCTGTGTCCTCATGTGGACCCCTCTATGCCCTCTGTGCGCCCTCCTCTCATGGGCCGTCGCCAAGTACAGTCGAGCTCCGAGGGGACCGGAGGCCACAGTGCAGCCCATGGTGCTGAGCAAGGCTGGAGCTGGAGGTGTCGGGGACATGGGTGTGGGGACATGGGTGTCGGGGACATGGGTGTGGGGACATGGATGTGGGTAGGGGACACGGGTGTGGGGACACGGGTATGGGGGACATGGGTGTCGGGGACATGGGTGTGGGGACATAGGTGTGGGTAGGGGACACGGGTGTGGGGACACGGGTGTGGGGACACGGGTGTGGGGGACATGGGTGTGGGGGACAGGGCAACAGACTGAGTGTCTTCAAGGCCCTGCCCAGCTCTCACGTCCAGGAGCCAAGTGGAGCCCAGGGTGGCTTCCGGCCGGTGGAGACCTGAGTGGGGGGAATGGGTGGTGTTGTCCATGCCCTGGGGTGGCAGCCCCTCTTGGAGAGCTTTGGGGAGCACTGTTGACCCAGGGTTCCAGGCTGAGGATCCGGCGGGGGCCATGGAAGGCTTTGGAAGGACTGAGTCGTCCTTTTGAGAGGTGGGGCCCTGCCCTCACCCAGAGCTGCATTCGCTTGTTCATTGTGTGAAAATGAAAGTTCCTGTGAGGGAAATCCATGAGCACAGGGCATAGACTGGCAGGGACAGAGGGACAGAGGGACGGGGGACAGAGAGACAGAGGGACAGAGGGATGGGGGAGAGAGGGACAGAGGGACAGAGTGGAGATGGACAGAGGGACAGGGCGGGGACAGAGGGACAGGGCAGGGATAGACGGACAGAGTGGGAACAGAGGGACAGGGCAGGGACACGGACAGAGGGACAGGGTGGGGACAGAGGGACAGGGATGGGACAGAGGGACAGGGTGGGGACAGAGGGACAGGGCGGGGACAGGGACAGAGGGACTGGGGGACAGAGGGACTGGGTGGGGACAGAGGGACAGGATGGGGACAGGGACAGGGTGAGGACAGAGGGACAGAGCAGGGACAGAGGGACAGAGCGGGGAGAGAGGGACAGGGACAGAGGGACAGGGCAGGAGGAGATAGGGACAGTGTTCGGACAGAGGGACAGGGTAGGGACAGAGGGACAGGGCGGGGACAGAGGGACAGAGGGACTGGGGGACAGAGGGACTGGGTGGGGACAGAGGGACAGGATGGGGACAGGGACAGGGTGCGGACAGAGGGACAGCAGGGAGAGAGGGACAGGGACAGAGGGACAGGGCAGGAGGAGAGAGGGACAGTGTTCGGACAGAGGGACAGGGTAGGGACAGAGGGACAGGGCGGGGACAGAGGGACAGAGGGACTGGGTGGGGACAGAGTGGAGACAGAGGGACAGGGAAGAGAGAGAGGGATAGGGCAGGAGGACAGAGGGACAGGGTGGGGACAGGGACAGGGCGGGAGGACAGAGGGACAGGCTCTCCATGGCCACTGACAAGGGCTTCTGCAGGCAGTGCTGCCTCCACATCTGTGTGGGAGCCCAGCCCATTAGGATAAAAGCTGCACCTTCAGGGTGTAGCTCCAGGATTCCCTGGGGACGGGGTGTCCCTGTTCCGGTGTGTCTCCCCACCCGGTCTCCCCACCTGGTCTCCCCACCTGGTCTCCCCACCTGGTCTCCCCCGGTCTCCACTGTGCAGGTTCCAGGGAGGGCCCTGTGGGTGGGGCCAGGGGTGGGGATGCTGGCCTGGATAGGAATCTGGGTGGGGAGGGCAGCCTGCTGGGCAGAGATGACCACAGGGAGGGCCGGCCTCGCCCTCTGCCAAGTTCCACCTCCACATTCCTTCTCCTTGTTTTCTACTCCCAGTCCTGAGGTCTCAGCTTTCCAGGGAGAAGTGGCAGCCAGGAGAGGCCAGGAGCCGGGGCCGCAGCGAGGGCACAGCCAGATGGACTGAAGCGCCCAGGGAGTAAGGGGGTGGGGGAGGAGCTGGGTGTCATCCCGGGCACCTTGATAGCTTGGGGGGCCTGGTCTTCCTCTTCCGGAACTTGTCCGTGAAGCTAATGAGCTGAGGAATCTCCTTGATTGCAGACCAGGAGGCAGAAAGGTTCTCTAATAAACACCTGCGCTGTGCCCGGCCTCCACATTTGCAGGGGGTGGGGCTCTTCACCTCCCCGGGACAGCCAGGCTCGTCCTAGGGACAGGTGAGGCTGAGTCAGTGCATTATGCAGGGGACCTGGGGCCAGAAAGGGATGGCCTTCACCCAAATCTCTGTGCAGCTGCTGAGGTCCAAGATGATTACTTCCCGAGAAGTGCTCTTAACTCACCTAAGGGGTCACCAAGGCAGGAGGACTCAGGCACGGGTGAGAATCAGCCTGTGTGGATCAGCCCTGTGTTGAACCTTTGCATGTAGCTCGGCGGACTCTGCACTGACGCATGGAGAGTTGGCAGCTCCCTCTTCATCTGAAGGGCTGGGGAGACACAGTTGCACACCTCCCCGTGGTTACCTGCACCTCCAGGTGTCCAGGGATCTTCCCCCAGACCCCAAGCCCAAGGGGCAGAGCTTTGCCATGGAGCACACAGTGGAACCCGGGGAGATGAGATGTGACAAGCTGTCCAGTTGGGAGGATGAGGTGTGACAAGCTGTCTTCTGGTTGAGCAGCCGTGGGATATGCATCCTCCTGGGAGGACGGGCTTGAATGCCCCTGTGATGTGGAGCTCACTGCTCTGGAGGATTTCTGTTCCTTCCATGGTGGCAGTAACTATTTGAACATTTAAAAAAATATTGTTTCAAAAATATCTTTCCATTACTTCCATTCCTTGGATGACCTGCGCTTTCCCCATAGGACACACGGACACGTTTAAATCTGGAACACGGCTCTGGCTCATGGGCTTCCAGGGACCATCTTAGAGGTGTCGGTGCCCATTTCTCTGAGAAGAGCTCCCGTAGACATAACTGGGCTCTGGGTGACTCCTTGATCACAGGCTCGGGCCTGCGTAGAGGAGCAGCCTGAAGACAGGCACCCAACCCCTCAACCCGCAGCCGCCCACCCCCTCAGCCTGCCGATGGCCGCCCACGCCCCTCAAGAGTGGCCGTCCTCTCCTGTCTGCCACTGCTCTGGGCTGAAGCTCTCAGGCAGCCCCCACGGTCTCTCCTTGGGGCTCGGTTGGGCTCGGCTCCATCGGCCTGGGACTCCCGGCTCCTTCCTCAACTCCGGTCTAGTAGGAGATGACCATGGTCAAGGAGACACGTGCTCCCCAGGGTGGAGGGCTGGAGTCCCAAAGCAGGAATGCTATGTTTTGTTGTTTACTCTGAAGAACCCCGGAGATTCATTAGGAAACAGGGCATGTGCTCCCGGGACATTTGGAAAATCAAATTTGAAAATATATATATATATTCACTGGGCTGTGAGATTAAAACTTGGCGGCAAAAAATATAACCTAGGTTTAGCCTGGCAAAAAAAGAGTCAATCTGAGGCCAAAAATCACTCCTGGGGCATCCCTAGGCATTCTGCACCAAAGCCTGGACCAGAGGGTGAGGAGGCCAAGAGGAGGCTATGCCCAGGGTCCCGGGGTGGGAAGAGGTGCCCCCAAGGCGCTGAGTCAGATGGGGTCTGAGGTGCTGCTGATTCAGAGGTGAATGAGACAGGCACACTTGCAGCCGGCAGAGGTCAGCACCCGAGCAACCAAATAAATAAGTACAAATTATGGTAGACAGCGGCTCAGGTTTTTAAAGTTGACCTGCTTTTGAAGCCTTTCTGGCGCCTATGCTGAGCTCTGATGGATGGAAAAGGGGGTAGTTCTCTAGCACAGGCCCCGTGAAGGCTCGGAAGCTGGGAATACAGAAGCCTCTATTCCGGCCAGGGAGGTGTTTACAGACCAGGCTGGTTTTAGGAAAATGCTCCCATTCCTTAAGAAAATTTGGAGCAGATGATCTCAGGGAACTGTTGCTGGGCCCGGGAACGGGTTGTGTAGTGTTTTTTAACGGCCAGTACAGAAGACAGCAACAGGCAGGAGGAAGGCAGGACAGAGAGAGACGGAGCGAGGGGCCTATCTCCATTTGCGCAGCCGGGCATGCTCGGAAGGCACAGTCTGGGGTGGGCAGGGCTCAGCTGGGTGGCTCTGCGACTGCTCCTCTTGGTGCTGTTGGGGGAGGGAATAACCTCTAGAGTGAGACCACCCCTCAGGCAAGGAGACAGGAATTGTCCTGAAAGTGGGGGGAGATTTTCCACAGGAAATATTGGGAGAGGAGGCAAGGCACTCAGGCTTGGACCCCGGGGGTCCTGGGAGACCCCTGCATGGGGCTCAGGGTGGGCCTCACGCTTGTCCTGGGAGGAGTGACCAGGCTCGGGTTCTCTGCTCTCACCCACTAATTCTACACCTTCAGGAGGGTCTATGACATCCACGTTTGACCTCTGCTCATGGTCCTGGGGGATCCGGCGGGCAAGTGGTGAAGGAACCTGGCCAGCGGGTAGTGCTGGCTGAGACCCGGGGGCTGGGACTCCCGTGAGAGCTCAGCAGGGCAGCGCCCGCGGTGGGTCAGAGTGCGCTGTCGGGGACAGAGAGGGAGCGGGGGTCCCGGAGAATCCAGCCCGACTTGGAAGAAGGAAGCCTCACTCCCTCCCCAGGGGACCCAGTGTCTCCCAGACCTTCTGTGCACTCAGCCCGGGGCCTGGTCAGGACCAGGACACCAACCCAGCAGGCCTGGGTGAGTTCTCAGGGAGCAGCTGGTATGGAGCCCGCAGGGCAGGAAGGAGGGAAGCAGGGGACGCCCAGGGTGGAGCCAGGGCGCAGGAGTGGGACTTGGCACGTCGTTATCCTTGAGACCCTGACTGCTGTGCCATGAATGATGGGGTCCTTCCTAGCTGCCCCTGGAGCGCAACCCTGTGCAGCAGAGGGGAGCCTGTGAGCGCAGCGAGTCACGCCCCTCTAATCTGGGACCAACACACTTTCTTTTGAAGTTTTAAATGTTTTCTGAAGTTGGCTCACACATTTTCTGCCCATTGTGGATTCTGTTTGTTCATAGATTCATACAGATGGGATACCTCTAATCTTTTTTGGAAGAAAGGTGAGATATAAATAAAAATGTATTAAGGCTGTGTATCCATGATCGAAAGCATACTTCAAAGTGCAACATGCTACTCAAATCCATGAGAGATTATTGTGTAATTATTGTTGAATTGAGCCTGCTCTATTTGTAATGAATTGACTGAAAGTTTGTCTGTATAAATGGTGTAAGATAATAGGCTCTTCAAGCTGTCAGATAAGAAAGGCTTATTGAAATACCTCCGTGAGCCTCGCTTGTAAGCCACATTCTTTACTTGGATAAATGGCATGACTTTGGCTTATTTTATGAACAGGAGATTCATACCTGTTTACTCTGCCATATTGCGACTGTTTTTCTTTCCTTCTCTGCCTTCTCTGCGATTCTTTAGACCATTGTCTGTCATTACAGTCCCAGGCTTAGCACAGGGACTGGGGTGGAGGAGGGGCTGGAAGATGATTATTGAATGTTTGGTGAAAAACAAAGTGGGGAAATAAGCACATGAGTGAGTTGGGGGGCGAGGGGTGGCTGTGAGGGAGCACGACCTCCCCTCCCGGCACCTCCAGCGTCCAGGGACAGCCGCAGAAACAGAAGAGTGACCAGCGGGAGGGAGGGCACAACACAGGCCTCCGAACACGAAGACTGTGTGTCCACAGCGGGAGTGGAAACGGAGCATGTCTGTGCGTGTGGATGCGGTGCGGAGCAGCGGTGCCCTGGCTGGAGGCTGAGGGGGAGTGCGAGGGCTATGAGCGGCTTGGTGATTCTCTCCCACTCCTGCTGGCACAGGATGAGGCCACACAAGGTTTGACAACAGCGGTGTCTTCCAGCTGAAGAAACCCCTGGGTGGGCACACAGGCGTGATGGCCAGCCGAGTTCTGTGTCCGTTTTCTTTCCAGCAAACGCTGTTTACCCAGCTCAGCCTGTAGGGTGCCCATGGCCCACGAGGACGTAGAAGGGGAACCCGTCCTGTGTGTCAGGCATTTCACACCTGTGGTAATGCATGTGTAAGCTCTTATCTGGTTCTGTGGGTTCTGCTGGATTCTGCTTCAGTGGGGAGCTCTGCGGATGTGCAGAAGGAATCAGCTCTGGTTTCTCATCAAGCAGGAAATCCCAAGTTCTCACTTAAAGATGAAACTGGAAGATGGCTCAACTTTTATAGCCATACTCCAATTGCCAGATCTGGGACAAAAAAATGTGTAACAGAAAAATATATGACAAAATGACATTTCCTGTGTGTGTGTGTGTGTTTTTTTTTTTTTTTTTTTGTTAATCAGTCAGAAAAGTCCCCATGAGTGACAGAAGATTCCTAAGAAACAAGCTATCATATTTGGTGAAAAGGCTTCACTGATCTCCGAGTTTTGCAAACAGGAAAAAAAAATATGGCTGTTAGGAAGAACTTGGAAATCCCAGTCTGCGAGGACAGACTCCATCCTACAGGATGACGTGGCCAAGCTGATTGTGTTATTGCCTGTCTCAACGAGTGTTAAGAGTTAGTGACGGAAACTTTCTGGTTTTAATAAAGTGGATTCTGTGCTGAGATCTTATGGGTTTGCAGGGTTTGAAGGAGGAGATGGCTGAGGAGCGTTGGCCTCAGCCATTCTGGCAATCTCTTAATCTACCAGCTGGGAATTCCATTGTTGGGAACTGGCAGGGCAGCTTTGCTAAGAAGGAAGGCAGGTGGGAGAGAGAGAGCAGAAAATGGGGTATGAGAAAGTATAGTCTTCATGGTTTGCTAAATTCATGGAGAAGGCAGCAATGGAGTGAAAGTGTGGTTGTGAAACGGCTCTCGGTAAACCACAGGCTGCTTATTTGGATTTCTGTGAGAGCCGCTGCAGGAAGCCTCCTTCACTGTGGGAGGATCCATGGATTGCTGTGAGAGCCGCTGCAGGAAGCCTCCTTCACTGTGGGAGGATCCATGGATTGCTGTGAGGCCGCTGCAGGAAGCCCCCTTCACTGTGGGAAGCATCCATGGATTGCTGTGAGAGCCGCTGCAGGAAGCCCGCTTCACTGTGGGAGGATCCATGGATTGCTGTGAGGCCGCTGCAGGAAGCCCGCTTCACTGTGGGAGGATCCATGGATTGCTGTGAGAGTCGCTGCAGGAAGCCCGCTTCTCTGTGGGAAGCATCCATGGATTGCTGTGAGGCCACTGCAGGAAGCCCCCTTCACGGTGGGAAGGATCCATGGATTGTTGTGAGAGTCCCCGCAGGAAGCCTCCTTCACTGTGGGAAGGATCCATGGATTGTTGTGAGGCCACTGCAGGAAGCCCGCTTCACTGTGGGAGGATCCATGGATTGCTGTGAGAGTCGCTGCAGGAAGCCCCCTTCACTGTGGGAAGGATCCATGGATTGCTGTGAGGCCGTTGCAGGAAGCCCCCTTCACTGTGGGAAGGATCCATGGATTGCTGTGAGGCCGCTGCAGGAAGCCCCCTTCTCTGTGGGAGGGATCCATGGATTGCTGTGAGGCCGCTGCAGGAAGCCCCCTTCTCTGTGGGAAGGATCCATGGATTGCTGTGAGGCCGCTGCAGGAAGCCCGCTTCACTGTGGGAAGGATCCATGGATTGCTGTGAGGCCGCTGCAGGAAGCCCGCTTCACTGTGGGAAGGATCCATGGATTGCTGTGAGGCCGCTGCAGGAAGCCCCCTTCACTGTGGGAGGATCCATGGATTGCTGTGAGGCCGCTGCAGGAAGCCCCCTTCACTGTGGGAGGATCCATGGATTGCTGTGAGGCCGCTGCAGGAAGCCCCCTTCACTGTGGGAAGGATCCATGGATTGCTGTGAGGCCGCTGCAGGAAGCCCCCTTCACTGTGGGAGGATCCATGGATTGCTGTGAGGCCGCTGCAGGAAGCCCGCTTCACTGTGGGAAGGATCCATGGATTGCTGTGAGGCCGCTGCAGGAAGCCCGCTTCACTGTGGGAGGATCCATGGATTGCTGTGAGGCCGCTGCAGGAAGCCCCCTTCACTGTGGGAGGATCCATGGATTGCTGTGAGGCCGCTGCAGGAAGCCCCCTTCACGGTGGGAAGCATCCATGGATTGTTGTTAGGCCACTGCAGGAAGCCCCCTTCTCTGTGGGAAGAATCCATGGATTGCTGTGAGGCCGCTGCAGGAAGCCCCCTTCACTGTGGGAAGGATCCATGGATTGCTGTGAGGCCGTTGCAGGAAGCCCCCTTCACTGTGGGAGGATCCACAGCTGCCGCAGCACAGTCCCACCTCCAGGAATCTCATAGGATCCCTTGAGGAAAAGCCTAAAGCTGCCGCCATTAGAAATCCCCGAAAGAGCATGGCATTGTCAGGATTCTGGGGGTGAAATGGTTGTCACGAACCACCCAAGAGGAGAACTGGCCTCTGCTTGGTTTATTCATTCCCTCCGTTCGCTTTGATTTTAAACTTCTTTTGGAGAGATATTTATTGGGTTTCTTTTGTGAGAAAAGTTTGTTCCCGCTAAAAGAAGAGAATATTTTCAATGCTACAAACTCCAAAGCATAAGGACTTTGGGTGAACTTTCTGTTGAAGTACAGCATTTAGACAGCAAAGCCCGCAAATCTTAGCTTTTAGCCCAGTGGAGTTGGACAGTTTATTAACACCTTCAAGCAACAACCACTCAGTCAAGACAGAATGCTGGCTGCACATTCGTTACCACAGATTCATCTTGCCTCGTTTTATGAACTCCATGCAAATAAAATCAGACAGTACGTAGTTTTCTGTCTGTACCATTTCCCACTTAATATCCTGTCTGTGATTCATTCATGTGGTTTTGGGCATCTATGTTTTTTTTTTTTTTTTTTTTTTTTTTTTTTTTTTTGTCGTTGTGTCGTATTTCATGTTAAATATACCACAATTTATTTAACCAAGTACTGATGGATAGTTTTTGGTTTTAGGCTATTACGAGCAATGTGGATATGAACAAGTCTTTTGGTGCACATGTGAATGCATTGCAGGTGGGTACCTGCCTAGAAGTGGAGTTGCTGGGTGTGATAGAATTCCTGCATGCTCAGCTGTATAAGACACTGTCAAAATGTTTCCCTAATGGCTTTACTGATTTACATTCTCACCAGCGAAGGATCAGAGTTCCAGCTGGTCCAAGTCTTTTCCAGCATGTGATGTTGGCAGCGTTAAAGTGCAGGCATTCTGGCAGTGAGGAGTGGTGTTTCATGGTGGTTTTAATTTGCATTTGCTTGATGATTAATGAGGTCGAGCCCATTCAGATGTGCATATTGGTCATTTGAACATCTTTTGTGAAGTGCTTGCTTAAGTCTTTTTCTCACTTAAAATAAATTATCTTCAATTTGTTATTGATTTGTAATGTCTTATATTACCTATATATATCCTTATATATATATAAGAATATATACCCTTATATATATATAAGAATATATACCCTTATATTTTAGATATGAGTTATTTTATATATAGAGAGATATATTACATTTCTTCTCTCAATTTGTGCCTTTTATTCTCTTATTAATTGAACAGAAGTTCTTAATTTTTGTCAAGTCCTATTTGTCAATCTTTTTGTGTCCTGTTTAGGAAAGCTTAATCAACATTAAGATGTTTTCCTATGGGCCTGGCACGATGGCTCATGCCTGTAATCCCAGCACTTTGGGAGGCCAAGGCAGGTGGATCACGAGGTCAGGAGATTGAGAACATCCTGGCTAACACAGTGAAACCCCGTCTCTACTAAAAATACAAAAAAAATTAGCCGGGCATGGTGGCGGGCACCTGTAGTCCCAGCTACTCGGGAGGCTAAGGCAGGAGAATGGCGTGAACCCAGGAGGTGGAGCTTGCAGTGAGCCAAGATCGCGCCACTGCACTCCAGCCTGGGCGACTGAGCAAGACTCTGTCTCAAAAAAAAAAAAAAAAAAAAAAAAAACCAATGTTTTCCTATGTGATCTTCTAGAAATTTAATAATTTCACCTCTCATTTCCAGGTTCAATGGTCACTTGGAAATGATTTTTAAATATATCATATTGCAGGGATTCAGGTTAATGTTATGACTCATGCATAGCTGACCTGGTGATTGTCAGCTGAAGAATGAGGAGGTTCATACATTTGGAAAGGAGGGCTTTATTTCTTGTGAAGAGTGCAAGAGTGGCCATTTTTATAGGCTGGGAAGTGTAGCCTCCACTCAGAAGCTGGAAACAGGTACTACATGGGTGGAAAGAATAAGACAGAAATTTATTCAGAATGGGACAGCCAATATACATACTTAATAAGGTATAGGAATCATTAATATTTATGAAAAGATGGCATGCACACGTGCACCTGAGTTTCATGCTTCTCCATGGATCACATGTTCAAAACCTGGCGGTGTTAGTTTGATCTGAGGGTGGAGATTTTGGCTCTCTGACTTCAAAAGGTGAAGCAGAGGATATGAAAACCCTCCCTGCACATTCCCCGCAGAGTGGCCAGAGCCATTCCATGGCCAGTGGTCTCCTGTCAGGAAGGAATGCTGTTGGTTATTGAGTCAAGATCGTAAAAAGGGAGGGTCAGTGATGAGGTTGGTTGAATCAGCAGTGGAGCAAGTCTTCCAAAAGGGCTGGTTTCTCTTTAACCCTTAGGGAAGGAAGCCTAATGGTGGTGGTGAGAGAGGGGTGTCATGAGGGGCATCCCACCTCCCATCCCATCATGGCCAGGAAGTCAGTTCAGGTTTTTCTGGGGTCCCCGTGGCCAAGAGGAGGGCTGTTCAGTCAGTTCAGGGGCTGAGGATTTTGTGTTTTACTTTTCATGACATATAGTTGAAAGAGTGTCTTCTCCCCATGGCCCTGCACTCTCACCTTGGTTGTCATTGAGTGACTGTATATGTGAGTGTGTCTCTTTCTGGAATTTCTACTGTGATTTGCTGACCTTGCATCAACACTGTTTTAATTGCTATAGGCTGATAAACGTAGTCTTGATGTCTGGTAATATGAATGCCTCGGCTTAGTTGCTGTCTGTCAAGATGGTCTTCGCTGGTCTGGCCCCTGTGCCTTTCCATATGTATCTTAATATCCGCTTGTCAATTTCCACCAAAAACAAAACTAATGCCTGCAGGAGTTTTGATTGGTATTGTATTGAATCTATAAATCAATTTCGGCTCACTTGACAATTTTAACATTTAATCCTCCAGTTTGTGAACATGGTATATTCCTGTCTTTATGTACAACTTCTTTAATAAGTTTGAATAATTTTTTTTCAGTCTTTTATAAAAGTTTTGCACATTTTTGTTAGATTTATTTCTTGGTATTGATGTTCTTATGGTATTGTAATTTTTTAAAAATCTCACTTTCTAGATATGCAACCATATAGAAATGCAATTGAATTTTGGATGTTGACCTCATATTCAGCAATCTTAATAAATTAACTTATTAATTTAAATAGTTATAGTTGTTTTGAAGTTCTACATTCAAAATATTTTTGTTTGGATAAATAATGAAGGTTTTATTTGTCTACTTCTAACTCTAATTTTTAAATTTCCTTTTCTTACCTCATTGTCTCAGTTGGTACTTCTAGTACAATACTGAAGGAAATGGAGTTAGTGGAAATTCTTGTCTCATTTCCAATTTCCTTAGTTGTGTCTTCAGTATTCCATTATTGCATAGGTATACGCAGTTTTGTAAATATTCTGACATATTTGGGAAATATCCTTGTGCTTATGGTTAACTGAGGTTTCTTTTTAATTGCTTTTTGTCTGAATCATGAATAGATGTTGTTTTATTATATAATATTTCTGCAGTTATTGATATTCTCATATAGTTTTTATCTTTTACTCTGTTTTTATGTTGCTTTACTATGACTAATTTTAAATATAAAACCCATTTCCATTAGTAAAATAAATCCTACTAGGCTTAACATATTATTCCTTTTACATAGTGTTATAAATAATAATAATAACCTTTTATCTTTATGAAATATCCTTTTTTATCTTTAGTAATACTTCTTGCTTTAAAGCAGGGGTGTCCAATCTTTTGGCTTCCCTGAACCACATTGGAAGAAGAATTGTCTTGGTACACATAAAACACACTAACACCAGTGATAGCTGATAAGTTAAAAAAACCAAAATCACAAAAAAAAGCTCATAATGTTTTAAGAAAGTTTATGAATTTGTTTTGAGCTGCTTTCAAAGCCATCCTGGGCCGCATGCAGCCCATGGGCAGTGGGTTGGACAAACTTGCAAAGTCTGTCTTTTCTCTTCATTAGTTATATCAGTTTTTAAAGTTGGGTATGTTTGGTTTTGAACTTTGTGGTGTATCTTCTTCAATCCTTTTACCCTATTACTTCTTTGTGCTGAGGTTTAAAGTACATCTTCACTGGTCTGGCCCCTGTGTTGTAAGTAGCGTACCATGGGATCTTTTATTTTATCCAGAGAGATAATCTTTGTTTTTCAGTTAGCATGTTTAGTCCATTTACAGTTAATACTATTACTGTTGTATTTTATTTTAAATCCACCATCTATTATTTTCTATTTGCCCCATGTTCATTTTTCTCCTTCCTTGTGTTTTTTATGAACGAATCAAGATTTTTATTTCTCTATTTCTGCCTCTTAGCTTATAGTTAACATTTTTACTATTATTTCAATGGTTACTTTTTGCCAAAAATTCACCATTGACATAGTCTATCCTAAATTATTACTTTTACATTTTATGTATTTAAATTATTTCACTTTTTGGGCTTTGTCTTGCATTTTATCCCATGTTTCAAATGCATGAAACATTTTTATTATTGTCTTAAATATTAGATCTTTATGTAGGTTTACTTCAAATATTTACCCTTTTGTGTATTCTTTATTACTTTTAGCATTTCCACTCTTCCAAAAAAAAGTGTCCTGCCTCATGTTCATGAGTTTTGGTTGTCTGGGAACATCTTGATTTCCACCTTCATTTTGGAAAAGTATCCTTATTGGGCATGGATTGTTATATACGATCTGTAAACACTCCAAGGCCATCACTACATGCCTTTTGTTTTCTATCTGTTGAGAAGTCAACTGACACTCTAAAAGTGGCTCTTTGAAAGTGTCGTGTTATTTTTCTCTCGGTATTTTAAAGATTTATCTCTTTGTCTTTGGTTTTCAGAATTATTCTGATGTGTTTAGTGTCAAAAGCTAAAACTATAAAAAGTCTGAGGTTTTGCTCTCCCTGTTGCCTAAGTCCTAGGTGAGTGTGGCTGTGGGTTTGCATCACTGATAAGGAGCTTGAGTTCAGGGGATCTGGGTCCTACCATGGATTGTGAGACTGGCTGGCCTTTGCCCCGGAGGGACACATCATGACAGTGGATGCTGAGTGGACCTGCCTTTTCCTCTCCGGAGGGAAGCACTATCTGTGTCTCCCAAGGCTGCACACTAAGCAAACATACTTGAAAAGACAGTGGCGGGTCAGTGGGTCTCAGTGCCTCTGCCCACAGCCTGCACAGAGACCCCAGGGGCCCCGTGAGGAGCTGTCTCCACAACAGCCACCGTTGTTTCCACACTATGTTCACTTCTGGTGAATTTTCCCATGAGGATGTCCACAACTATGATTGATCTGACAGATAGGAACCATGTGCACGACTTTGACTGATCTGGACAGATAGGAACCACACCCACTCCATCTGTGTCTCGCAGCCTTGAATTCAGGCCACTGACCACAGGCCGCTAGTCCAAGGCAACTGTGCTGATGGTCGAGGGAACCCGCATGCATTTGGTCCCTTCCCATCATCGAGTGTCAGAGGTACCCTTTATCTCAGCCGACTTTCCTAAACTTTGTGACTTTTCTTTAACTATTGTCCTCCCTTCATTTTTATTTAAATTTTTTCCCTTCTAATTCCTTCACAAACTTTATCGACCCATGAGACCAAAGCCCCAGATAAACTGAAAAACTGTGTCCTGGAAGGATAAGCCTTCAAGTCTTCTAGGGAGATATGTGTATGAAACATTCAGACATCCTTTTATTCCAGAATCTTAGCTTCTTTGCCTGATTTTTATAATATTATTCCCTTCCAATTGTATTGTATCTAACTTAGAAAAGCCTCTCACATTGCTATGGTCTGAATGTTGGTGTCTCCCTCAAATTCATGTTGAAACCTAACCCTCAAGGTAGCAGTATGAAAAGTTGGGACCTCTGGGAGGTGATGGGGTCATGAGGGTGAAGCCCTCATAAATGGGGTTAGTACCCTTGTAGAAGGGACCCCGAGAGCTCCCTCACCTGCCCCATTGGTGAGGACACAGTGAGAAAGCACCATCTGTGAACTGGAAATGGAGCCCTCATCTCTCAGCAACCCTGGCAGCCCCTTGATCTTGGACTTCCAGCCTCCAGAACTGTGAACAATAAATGTCTGTTGTTTCTAGACGCCCTCGTCTAGGGCACTTTGTTACCACTGCCCACACAGATGAAGACCCATGTTTATCCAATATCACTCAACGGCTTTCCTCCTCCTGTCCATGAGACCTGCTCTAACATACCCCAGCGGATCGTGAACACTTGGCATTTCTGATGCATTTTGACGCTTATCTAACTCACCCTCATGCTGCAGTGTGTCGGGTATTCCAGATTCCCCTTCACAGAGGGTCCCCTGTCTCATCCTCCTCCACTGCCCTTCACCGCCTGTCTGCCCTGCTATCATCTCCCGTCTTGTCCGGCCTCCCCCAACCACACTCTCCCTTCACCTAGCAGAAGAGAGGACTCCACCTGCCTGGAGAATGCTCTGGGTCTGACCCCTGCCTGCTTTTTCATGTATTTGTTTTGTTGCTTTTTCCTACCAACTTTCGTTGGGGCTAAAGTGCCTTGTCCTCTGTCTTTGCCAATCTGGGCGGCTGCATCTGTGGTTCCCCTGGCTGGCTGCTTGGTAGTTTGAATTTATTTTCTGTCTTCCATAAGCCTGACTCCTCTTTACTTCTAGGTATTTGAATCCACCTTTCTGCTCCCAGAAATACTTTCCTGGTGTTTGTACCTTTCCACACTCTGCCCACTCTATCCACCTTTTCAGAGTCAGATCAGATATCACATTTTTCTGTCAGAACTTCTCCATTCCAACTGAAAATGATTGCCCCATTCTCTATCATCCTTTTCCAACTTATGCCACCTTTTATTGTATCTGAAATGTTCTGGTTTTGATAATTTGAAAAATGTTTTGTATGCTGGCATCTTACTTCCCCATTGTCTTGAGGAGGGGGAGCTTCCAACGTGTTTCTCGCTGAGCCGGGCTCACAGCTTGCCTTCTGCTTGGATAGGGTTGTTGCCTAAGGATATTTGTTGTTTCACTGAATATTTTTGAATCTAAATACAAAAAAACAAACTTGGGCTTTTTTCTGCTTCCTTATTATAACCCCTTTAAACATATTTTCTTTGCAATGTGTAATTGCACCAACTTATTGGGCAAATATCATGCTTTTGTGTATTTTAAGTTCACAGATAACCACTCATCATTTCTAGCTCTGTATGTGTAAGTCTGGACCCTAAGTGCAATTTCCATTGTGTTAATATTGACTGTCTTTGTAATGCCTGTGTTTAGTTTGAGCACATTGGTTAATTTCACTTATATGATAAGGCATCCTACACTTCTTAACCATACTTTCTTGCAAGACTGCTGTAACTATTTTAATCAATGCCTTTCAAGGTACCCAGGCTCTGGAGAGAAGAGTGGAAGTTGAGAGGATGAGGGGAACCAGCTTCCTGAGGAAGTGCCCCGTCCTTGGCACAGGGCTGGGAGGTCTCCTTTAACCTTATTTGGCGGTCCACACCATTCACTTTGGCAGTTGAATCTGTCTTGGGATAGTCAGTATTTCTCTTGGTGATCTCAAAGTGCAGATTGGCATGGAGAAGGGCAGCAAGTCGTGGGCCCTTCCTGGGCAGAGAATCTACCTCATAGTGTAGACATTCATGGGGGGTTCTGGACAGGGCACTCCCCGCATGCTTTTTACTTTGTTTTGTTTTACTTCTTAGCCTTGCCCTTCAGGAGGCAGAGGGCGGTTGAGTCACTGTGGTCGTCTAAGAACTAAGGACATCTAGTTACGTACAGAGTCTTCGCCATCCTCCTCCGACCTCCAATATCCAAGGAACAACTTGCAAAGTGGTCTGTTTTCCCAGCAGGAAAATCCACTGGGGCGGGGCGTGGGCCAGTGTGGGTGGAGGAATGACTCCTCTCCCAGGGGTGAGATTCTTGAAGCTTGAATTGTCCGAGCTGTTGTTTCCTCCCCTTCTTGGTCACTGCAAATGCAATTATGAAATAATTCTCGGGGAAGCATGAGCAACATACTCTGCAGTGACTCCAGACTGGACCTTCCAGCTTTGATCATTTGCAGGACTCAAGTCCACACAGGAGATTGAGAGAAGAAAAAAGGACTCAGAGGCAAAGACAGCTCTGAGCCCCTAAGGGAAAGCTCAAAGTCAGGGTGCTAGGAGGACTTGCCCAGCTGTGTAGACACAGCTGAGCTATGTCTACATTGAGGCCGAAAGTTAGAAAGACATTGACACTAACCCCTGAAAGTAATTAACATAACGATCATGTATTGTCTATTACAGATTGGCGTGATGACTAGCTGCAGGACGGTTTTGGTTTTCTAATTGTTCTCTGACATCCCCATTGAAGCAGGTTTTATCATCTGTGACCTTGTGTCCATCCCTGTGATGTTGTGTGCGTGTGTGTGCATACGGACACATACAACACACGTCTTTGGTTGTAAAGCACACCTGGGGGAAGGTCAGCTCACACACAATGTACTGTCAGGGAGCTCTTCCCCAGGCCTGGCAGCCTCACCCCACAGTGGCCACCACAGGCCCATCAGCCTCTGCCATCGTGGTCTGCCTGCAGTTGAGTTTGTTAATTGACATAATATATGTTGAAACTAATTTTCATTGGCGAAATCAGTGGCAATTCAGAAGTGTGGATTGCTGTAGAAATACTGTGCCCGTCCCCCATGTATGAATAAGGGTCTAAGAACCTTGTAGGTGGAATGCCCTAAGCCCCTGGTGGTGCGTCCCACACCTCCCAGAAGGACCTGCCACCTGGTCTCTGCAGGTGGTGGTCTGCTGCCACCCAAGTGTGACCCTGCCTGTCTCTCTTCTGAGATTGGTTCATAACTCGTCACCCCTACGACCTGCAGATTGCAAGTTTAAGAGAGGACGCTGGGAGGAGAGCCAGAAAGGGGAGGTCGGGACATGTGAAACCTTGCACGGTGGGTGGGGGCAGGACAGTGGGCGGCTCAGGTGTGGAGACAGCATCCTTAGGGTGTGGACTGGGGCTGCCAAGTGTGGACAGCTCTCTGTCTCTCCAGGGAGAGCCCATGGGACCCCAGCTTCTGCAGGACGTGTGCTGGGGCTGGGTGGCCTCACCCCTGCTGGCTCCTCTCCTGGGAGTGGGAAGGCAGGGGAGGGTTTTCTTTTCTTAGATTTCTAAGAAAAAATGTCTGTCCACTATAAACCGAACTGTCTCCCCAGAATCCACACATTGACATCCCAAACCCCAGGATGACTGCATTTGGGGAAAGGGTTCTAAGGAAGTAAATCAGGTCCAAGGGGGCCATGAGGGTGGGGCTTTGATCCAATAGGACTGGTGTCCTTAGAAGAAGGGGAGGAGATGGCAGGGCTGCACTCTCTCCACCACGTGAGGACACAGTGAGAAGGCACCGCTGTCGTCAAGCCAGGAATGGAGCCCCCACCAGACTTAGAATTGCCTCATACCTGGATCTTGGACCTCCAACCTCCAGACTCAGAGAAATGCATGTCTGCTGTTTAAGCCGCCCATCTGTGGTGTTTTGTTATTGCAGTTCGAGCTGGCTGAGATAACATAGAAGAAAATGCAGAGAGAACGTGGGGAGACACCACTGTAAATGCATGAAACTCTTGAGACTTCAGGCTACAGCTTAAAAAAATCCTTCTAACAATTGCAAAGATATGGCATCTACCTAAGTGCCCATCAACTGATGAGGGGATAAAGAGCTGCATGTACACCATGGAATACTACTCAGCCATGAAAAAGAATGAAACGATGTCTTCTGCAGCAACTTGGTTGAAGCTGGAGGCCATTATTCTAAGTGAAATAACTCAGGAATAAAAAACCCAGATGCCTTATGTTCTCACTTATAAGTGGGAACACAAGGCTACGGGCATGCAAAGGCATGCAGGGTGGTATAATGGGCACTGGAGACTCAGAGGCGGGGAGGGAGACGGGGTTGAGGGATGGAAAGTTATGCCTTGGGTATGATGTGCACTACTTGGGTGACAGGTGCACTAAGATCTTAGACTTCACCACTGTACCTTCATCTGTGCAACCAAAAACCTCTTGTACCCCTAAAGCTATTGACATTATACAATTAAAAAAAAAAATCCCTCCGGCCATCACAGTCCCTGAGACCAGTCCCTCTGCTTGGTCAAGCGTCCTGGGTGTGGTTGAGGCGATGCCCCCAGGGCCAGCTGCTTAGCAACCCCCACCTTGCCTCAAGCTTCAGGCAGAGCTGAGCTCTAGACCCCTGGGGAGGAGGCTCTAGGTATGCATAGGGAGCATGCATCCCCTCAGAGTTGGGGTTCCGGCAGATCCTCAGCCCCCAACATATATACTAGAGTTTTCATTCAGAGCCCTCAGGGCAGGAAGAGCCTCTCCTGTGCCCTCTCGTGTCCTCAGCTTCTGCCTGGGACCTGCTCCCAGCAGCTGCCCCACCACCTGTGCTCTCCCCATCTCACGCCAGAGTCAGGCAGTTGCACAGACCGGGTAGCAAAACTCTTCTGGAACTGCACACAGGTCACCCTTGCCTTAGGACAGCACCCTCTGCAGCCCTTTCCTTTTTGACCAACCCTCCCTTTGGGACCTTATTTCCCCCCTTGCTCTCTCCTAGGCATCTGCCTTGCCCCTTCCACGAGGCCACCACACAGATCCCGTCATGACCGTGGGTGTCACAGTGCTGGCCACCCTGCCCTGCATTGACTGCCTGGACACGCCTGCAGGAGGGGAAAGCCGTTGTCCTTTGGTGCCAGCTCTGGTTTGGGTCTTCTCACCACCTGCATTTCATGTCCTGTTGGTTTGTGGCCTCGGCTCCTTTATTAGGGCTTTATTAGGGCTTTCCAGATACATCTTTTTCCTGCATATCGGGATTCCTCCAACTCTTTTTTTTTTTTTTTTTATTTGACGGCGTCTCACTCTTATCTTCCAGGCTGGAGTGCAATGGTGCGATCTCGGCTCACTGCAACCTCCACCTCCTGGGTTTCAAGCAATTCTCCTGCCTCAGTCTCCCGAGTAGCTGGAATTACAGGCATGCACACCATGCCCAGCTAATTTTTGTATTTTTAGTAGAGACGAGGTTTCATTGTGTTGGCCAGGCTGGGCTCGAACTCCTGAGCTCAAGTGATCCGCCCATCTTGGCCTCCCAGTGTGCTAGGATTATAGGCGTGAGCCACCGTGCCTGGCTGCCTCCAACTCTTTACTCCTCATGGAAAATGTCACATTTAAAAGCCACAATTTTATTTCTATCGATTTGCATTTACATTGAGTCCATACTCGTATTCTAGTTTATAGTTCAGTGAGTAAGAAACTGACAAGGAGGTCACTTTTCAAAGTCACAGGAGGAAAGCTTCTGCTTGGAACCTGCTGCCTGGACGCACACGCTGATTATTCACTCCCTGCATCGCGGCCATCACGGCTGCCTCCAACGCTGGAACCCACGCCCCTGCATCGCGGCCATCACGGCTGCCTCCAACGCTGGAACCCACGCCCCCTGCATCGCGGCCATCACGGCTGCCTCCAACGCTGGAACCCACGCCCCTGCGTCGCGGCCGTCACTGGAACCCACGCCCCTGCGACGCGGCCGTCACTGGAACCCACGTCCCCTGCGTCGCGGCCGTCACTGGAACCCACGTCCCCTGCGTCGCGGCCGTCACTGGAACCCACGCCCCCTGCATCGCGGCCGTCACGGCTGCCTCCAACGCTGGAACCCACGCCCCTGCGTCGCGGCCGTCACTGGAACCCACGCCCCTGCGACGCGGCCGTCACTGGAACCCACGTCCCCTGCGTCGCGGCCGTCACTGGAACCCACGTCCCCTGCGTCGCGGCCGTCACTGGAACCCACGCCCCCTGCATCGCGGCCGTCACGGCTGCCTCCAACGCTGGAACCCACGCCCCTGCGTCGCGGCCGTCACTGGAACCCACGCCCCTGCGACGCGGCCGTCACTGGAACCCACGTCCCCTGCGTCGCGGCCGTCACTGGAACCCACGTCCCCTGCGTCGCGGCCGTCACTGGAACCCACGCCCCCTGCATCGCGGCCGTCACGGCTGCCTCCAATGCTGGAACCCACGTCCCCTGCGTCGCGGCCGTCACTGGAACCCACGCCCCCTGCGTCGCGGCCATCACGGCTGCCTCCAATGCTGGAACCCACGTCCCCTGCGTCGCGGCCGTCACTGGAACCCACGTCCCCTGCGTCGCGGCCGTCACTGGAACCCACGTCCCCTGTGTTGCGGCCATCGTGGCTGCCTCCAACGCTGGAACCCACGCCCCTTGCATCGCGGCCATCACGGCTGCCTCCAACGCTGGAACCCACGCCCCTGCGTCGCGGCCGTCACTGGAACCCACGTCCCCTGCGTCGCGGCTGTCACTGGAACCCACGTCCCCTGCGTCGCGGCCGTCACTGGAACCCACGCCCCCTGCATCGCGGCCGTCACGGCTGCCTCCAATGCTGGAACCCATGTCCCCTGCATCGCGCCCGTCACTGGAACCCACGTCCCCTGCGTCGCGGCCGTCACTGGAACCCACGTCCCCCGTGTCGTGGCCGTCGTGGCTGCCTCCAGCACTGGAAGCCACGTCCCCTGTGTTGCAAACATTTATTCCAGACCCACTGCACTGTCTTCAGTCTGAAATCTAACGACGTAAAAGAAAAGAGAGATCATTAGGTCACTAATCAACACAACATAATCAGGGCATTCAAAACTGTAGCTGCAATTTGAGAAATAAAATATGTCAAATATCCCTTTTCATTCTGTTGTAATGACGAGACTTGCAAGGTTAGCAAATCCCTGTCCGAAACCGCTGACCACATATTTTTCTTCAGTCCCCTCCCTCCTCAAGAATCCTCAATGGCTCTCTGTCACTACTGCATGGAGGAAAACTGGTGTCCTCTCCTCTGCCCAGCTGGGGACTGGAAGTGACCCAGGACCATGCCAGGCAGAGTTCTGGAAAGGCTCCGGGGACCAATGCAGCAGGTCCCTGACGACCCGGCGTCTGCTGCGAGGGGCTGGCTCTCTCTGGCTGCAGGGACCATGTCTGCTGCTTTGGAAGAGCTGGGTGCCAGTGTCCTGGCTGGTGGGCGGTCCCTGTGGTGGTCATTGGCATCATTGCCAGGTTACCAGTGTAATTGTTGGTTTACTGGTGAAACAGCTGGTTTATTCATAAAATAATTGGTTTACTGGTGTAGTGGTTGGTTTACTGATATAGTGACTGGTTTACTGGTGTGGTGGTTGGTTTACTGGTATAGTGGCTGGTTTACTCATATAGTGGTTGGTTTACCGGTATAGTGGTTCATTTACTTGTGTAGTAGTTGGTTTATCAGTATAGTGGTTGATTTACTGGTACAGTGTTTGGTTTACTGGTATAGTGGTTGTTTATTGCTGTAATGGGTGGTTTACCTGTGTAGTGGTTAGCATGGTGATTGGTTTACCAACGTAAGTGGGTGGTTTACTGGTGTAATGGATGCTTTACCAGTATAGTGGCTGATTTACTGGGTGTAGTGGCTAGTTTACCGATGTAGTGGTTGGATTACCAGTTTAGTGGGTGGTTTACCAGCATAGTGGCTGGTTTACTTGTGGAGTGGCTTGTTTACTGGTTTGGTGGCTGGTTTACCAATGCAGTGGTTGATTTATTGGTATTGTGGTTGGTTTAGCAGTATAGTGGCTGATTTACTGGTGTATTGGTTGATTTATCAGTGTAGTAGCTGGTTTACTGGTATGGTGGTTGGTTTACTGGTATAGTGGTTGGTTTACCAGTGAAGTGGTTGGTTTATTTGTGTAGTGGTTGATTTACCAGTGTAGTAGCTGGTTTACTGGTATGGTGGTTGGTTTACTGGTATAGTGGTTGCTTTACCAGTGTAGTGGTTGGTTTACTTGTGTAGTGGTTGATTTGCCAGTGTAGTAGCTGGTTTACTGGTGTGGTGGTTGGTTTACCAGTGTAGTAGCTGGTTTACTGGTATGGTGGTTGGTTTACTGGTATAGTGGTTGGTTTACCAGTGAAGTGGTTGGTTTATTTGTGTAGTGGTTGATTGACCAGTGTAGTAGCTGGTTTACTGGTATGGTGGTTGGTTTACTGGTATAGTGGTTGCTTTACCAGTGTAGTGGTTGGTTTACTTGTGTAGTGGTTGATTTGCCAGTGTAGTAGCTGGTTTACTGGTGTGGTGGTTGGTTTACCAATATTGTGGTTGGTTTACCGATGTAGTACTTGGTTTAGCAGTATAGTGGCTGGTTTACTGGTATAGTGGTTGGTTTACTGGTATAGTGGTAGATTTACCAGTGTAGTAGCTGGTTTACTGGTGTGATGGTTGGTTTACTGGTGTAATGGGTGATTTACCAGTGTAGTGGCTGGTATACTGGTGTAGTGGCTGGCTTACTGGTGTAGCGGCTGGCATACTGGTGTAGTGGCTGGCTTACTGGTGTAGTGGCTGGCTTACTGGTATAGTGGCTGGCATACTGGTGTAGTGGCTGGCTTACTGGTGTAGTGGCTGGCTTACTGATGTAATGAGTGGTTGGTTTACTGGTGTAGTGGCTGGCTTACTGGTGTAGTAGCTGGCTTACTGATGTAATGAGTGGTTGGTTTACTGGTGTAGTGGCTGGCTTACTGGTGTAGTGGCTGGCTTACTGGTGTAGTGGCTGGCATACTGGTGTAGTGGCTGGCTTACTGATGTAATGAGTGGTTGGTTTACTGGTGTAGTAGCTGGCTTACTGATGTAATGAGTGGTTGGTTTACTGGTGTAGTGGCTGGCTTACTGGTGTAGTGGCTGGCTTACTGGTGTAGTGGCTGGCTTACTGATGTAATGAGTGGTTGGTTTACTGGTGTAGTAGCTGGCTTACTGATGTAATGAGTGGTTGGTTTACTGGTGTAGTGGCTGGCTTACTGGTGTAGTGGCTGGCTTACTGGTGTAGTGGCTGGCATACTGGTGTAGTGGCTGGCTTACTGATGTAATGAGTGGTTGGTTTACTGGTGTAGCGGCTGGCTTACTGGTGTAGCGGCTGGTTTACTGGTGTAGTGGTTGGCATACTGGTGTAGCGGTTGGCTTACTGGTGTAGCGGCTGGCATACTGGTGTAGCGGCTGGTTTACTGGTATAGCGGCTGGCATACTGGTGTAGCGGCTGGCATACTGGTGTAGCGGCTGGCTTACTGGTATAGCGGCTGGTTTACTGGTGTAGCGGCTGGTTTACTGGTGTAGCGGGTGGCTTACTGTTGTAGCGGCTGGCTTATTGGTGTAGCGGCTGGTTTACTGGTGTAGCGGGTGGCTTACTGTTGTAGCGGCTGGCTTATTGGTGTAGCGGCTGGTTTACTGGTGTGGCCGCTGGTATACTGGTGTAGCAGCTGGTTTGCTGGTGTAGTGGCTGGTATGCTGGTGTAGCGGCTGGCATGCTGGTGTAGCGGCTGGCTTACTGGTGTAGCGGCTGGTTTACTGATGTAATGAGTGGTTGGTTTACCAGTATAGCAGTTGGTTTACTGGTGTAGCAGCTGGTTTACTGGTGTAGCGGCTGGTTTACTGGTATAGCGACTGGTTTACTGGTGTAGCAGGTGGTTTAGTATAGAGGGTGACTTGGTACAACGAGGGACCACGGCCTCCCAGGATTGTGTCAGGGACTCCCCTGGTTTACTGGTGTAGCGGCTGGTTTACCGGTGTAGTGGCTGGTTTACTGGTGTAGCAGGTGGTTTAGTGTAGAGGGTGACTTGGTACAATGAGGGACCACGGCCTCCCAGGATTGTGTCAGGGACTCCCCTGGTTTACTGGTGTAGCGGCTGGTTTACCGGTGTAGTGGCTGGTTTACTGGTGTAGCAGGTGGTTTAGTGTAGAGGGTGACTTGGTACAACGAGGGACCACGGCCTCCCAGGATTGTGTCGGGGACTCTCCTGTGGCCTGGGCATGGCCGCAGCTGCTTCAGCACACAGGGTTGTCCCCCAGGATGTGGCCTGACCGTGGGCTCAGGAATGCTGTGGGTGGGAGGGATAAGCAGGGCATTCAGGGGACCTGTGGCCCATGGGAGCCACCCAGCTTCCCCTTTCTTCTGGGAGCCAGTGTTTTGCTGAGATTCAATGGACCCAGAGATCTCAAGCCTGGGGACCCAACGCCCCAACCCACATCCTGCCTCAGGGAGAGAAGTCCACGCGTGGCCCAGGGCACAGGAAACCCCTCCCCGCAGGAAACCGCAGGCTCCAAGAAGGTTGTTCTCACCGACCACGGCGTCCAGAGCTCTTCCAAATGAAAATTGTTTTTCCATTTTGGGGGTTGAGGGAAGTGGATTTAAATGCTGCCAGCAAAAACCAGTTCACAAGGCAGTTTTGGACGCCTCTACCTTCTGCACAGGACGTTTTACAGCAGCGCCTGTGGGCCTGAATGAGTTTGTATTTGAGATTGAAGGCTTCTGTCATACTAAGAATGTGAAGTCCTTACAAGTCACCAGTGTACGGAATCCGCCCACGGGGAGCAAGATCACACTAGAACCCCCAAGCTTGTTATTATCATTATTGCACCTCCACGTGAACCCAGCAGTGGTTCGAAGTTGGAATGTCACAGACTCTGAAGCCCCATCAAAGGCCTCTTCGACCTCAGCAGAGACTCCCTTCTGAGGATGGGCTCCAGCAAACCTGCTCTGAGCCTTCCCTTCCCTTGTGCCCCTGCCTCATCACTGCCATGGCTACCTCTTGGGCCCGCGTGCAGACATGGACAGGCCCACCCTGCCCCATTCTCCCGGCTTTTGCTCCCCCCACCCCAAAGCCTGAAGAGTCCTTTGGAGACATCAGCCCAATTTCCTTCATTCTCATAACTTTCCAGAGGTTTCTGAATCATTTGGGAGGAAACACTGAGTCCTGCCCAAGCTTCGCAAGCTGCAGCCCTGGCTCCCAGGTCCCTGGGCCCTGGCCCAGCACACGAGGGCGTCCTGTCTCCAGAGGCTGCTGCCAGGTGCACGTGTCCTCTGTTGCTGGCGATTCGGGTCCACCACACTATACAGAGTTCCCCCGCAAACATCGGCTGCACATGGCATTGCTCCCAGGCCCTCTGACTTCATGCATCACCTGCGACGTCTGGACTGACTGTCTCTGCCGCAGCCTGTGCGTGAGCTCACAGAGAGTCCGGCACCCTGGGCCACACCCAACGCCTGGCATGGAAGAGACAGCCAAACGTTTGTTGGATGAATAATTTACGAAACACTCTCTGTGGGCCGAAGGTGCCTCTCCCTGGAGTGGAGCTTGGGTAGAAGTGAGGGGCGGGACTTGGTGAGACCAGGGGGTGCAGGTGCTCAGCCGGAGAAGGTGAGGAGGTGACGTGTGTGTTTGCAGAGTGCTTTACACTTAGAAAGCCCATCGTCTCTAAGACAATGTGAGGAGGTGTGCTTTATGCAGCCCTGCGTGTTCCTGGAGGACCTGGGCCTCTTTCAGGACATCACCAGCAAACACGGGCCAGGCTCTCATAGGTGCTGGCACAGCACTGCCCGGGAACATTCGTGGCATCCAGGAGGTGCCATGTGGACTCGGAAATGGGGGTGTCAGGGTGGTAAGTGAGCACGGGCTGAGGTTGATTGAAGGATGCTCCGCGGTGAGGCTTCTCGAGGGAAGCGTTCTCAAACATCCACCAACGGCTGCCCATTCAAATTCCATCATCGCACATCATTTTCCTCCTAAAATTTAATAACACAGAACCGGAAAATTTGATGACCCATTCAGACCCTTAATGGTTTTATAAAACAAAGCTAAAGTCACTTACGAAGCAATAAAAATAAATTCTGGCTGGAGCACACAATAAAAACTTTTCATAAATTGCTTTTTCTTGTTTCTGTCACTGATACGAGCTGTCACCAAACTTAGCATTCCACTCTCATATTTATGCAAAACATTTGTTTTCCTGGCTATAAATCACTGTTGTCTTAGCCCACTTCACCTTCTTTTAATTTTTGCGGTCAGTACTAGCCATCAACACAAATACTAACTTTCCCCCCTAACGATTAGCTAATGAAATGCACATGACTTAGATTTGTGCCTCAGCAAGATGATGGAGGAGGTCACTGTCTAATGTGAGAAATGGCCAACTTTAAAATGGTGCCTGCCCCTGTGGCTGGAGGGTGCTGGGCTGAGGACATGGAGGCACAGGTTGGGTGGGAGGGAGGGCTGGGGACCTGGCACTCGCAGGGGAAGTGGTCATTGTTTGAGGTTTGTGTGCCGCTGAAGATGGTCCAGGGTAAGGTCTGGGTGTGGCATTACTTGAGGAGGTATCTGCCCCTTCCTCGAGGCTGTGTCCCCAGGAGCCTCTCGTCTGCGACCAACGGGCACGCTGGCCTGTTTCCAGTGGAATTTGGGAGATTCTGGTCCCTGCGTACTTGGAAGGCCCCGACTTTTCTGCCCTGATCGTGTGGCTCCTGGTAGAGCAGCTGAAGTATGTCCCCTCCCTGCAGGGCGTCCAGCCCGGGAACCTCCGTGCCTCCTCTTGGAAGCTGCAAGAAGGCAGTCTCGCAGAGCCAGCCCAGGAATGAAACACCGCCTTTCTGGCATGTCCTGAAATGAGCTCCAGAAACTGGAAAAACTGATTTCCGTAGGTCTATGGAAAAATCTTGCGGCGCTTCCTCCACCCTCTAAAAAAATAGGCTTCCCAGCCTGTGTTTCTGTTTGATCGGCAGGGCCAATGTTTTAGAACGGTCTCTGGTTACCTACCAGGCTGGCCTGCGGTGCGTCTAAGGTAATAACATCAGTGCTGGTTAATGCTTTTTGAACATGCTGTCTATCAAGCTGGGCTGCAGACTGCACTTACACTGTTCTGAACCTCACGACAGCCCTGCCATTATGGATTATTGCCCGTACTTTGCAGACGAGAAACCTTGCTCAGAAGTGCCGAGTGTCCTGCGGGGCCCACAGAAGCGGCGGCGAGCGTCCCCCACCTGCTGTCAAGGTGGGGAGGAGTCCTGAGGTTTGGCATTAGCTGATTTCTGTGTTGTAAATTTTCCCTCTACCTATGACTGACTTCCAGCTACAAACCCATCAACCAGCTCACAAATTTTCGGAAAATCTAACAGTCAGTAAAATTTACAGAGCCAGCTCCAGCACTGCTGCCTCTGATCTTCCTGAGCCTGAAGCCCTTCGTTTTAGCTTTCCTATTATCTTGGCTTAGAGGGTGAAAGAAAAGTCATCAGACTCCTGAAGCCGGGTAGAGGGGGCAGCGCACTCATCGGCATGACCATGGCTTTCCTTCTGCGCTGTTTTCCCTTTTCTTCTCTTGCTTTTCCCACGTCTGCTGCACCGCCCACTCTGCACATCATGCTTCCTCTTCCCAGGCAAACCCGCTCTGCAGTCCCCACTTGTAGGTGCCGGCACTGTGGGAGGATGGACTGACAGCGGGTATCTTTACTGAGCGCAGGTACACCGTATTGTAGGCACACCGTCAGTCCCCAGCTCTCCACTTTAAAGGGGGATTCTGAAGGGTGCACAGTCCAGTTCCTCTCCTCCACTGACTCCCCACGGCCTGCTGTGTAGGGAAAGAGAGATCAGACTGTTACTGCGTCTATGTAGAAAAGGAAGACATAAGAAACTCCATTTTTGACCTGTACCCTGAACAATTGTTTTGCCCTGAGATGCTATTAATCTGTAACTTTGCCCCAACCTTGAGCTCACAGAAACATGTGTTGTATGGAATGAGGGTTTAAGGGATCTAGGGCTGTGCAGGGTGTGCCTTGTTAACAAAATGTTTACAGGCAGCATGCTTGGTAAAAGTCATCGCCATTCTCCATTCTCGATAAACCAGGGGCACAATGCACTGCGGAAAGCCGCAGGGACCTCTGCCCTGGAAAGCCAGGTATTGTCCAAGGTTTCTCCCCACTGAGATAGCCTGAGATATGGCCTCGTGGGATGGGAAAGACCTGACCGTCCCCCAGCCCGACCCCCGTGAGGGGTCTGTGCTGAGGAGGATTAGTAAAAGAGGAAGGCTTCTTGTGGTTGAGATAAGAGAAAGGCCTCTGTCTCCTGCCTGCCCCTGGGAACGGAATGTCTCGGTATAAAACCCGATTGTACATTTGTTCTATTCTGTGAAAGGAGAAAACTGCCCTGTGGTGGGAGACGAGAGATGCTGGTGGCAGTGATCCTCTGTTACTCTTTACTCCACTGAGATGCTTGGGTGGAGAGAAGCATAAATCTGGCCTGTGTGCACATCCAGGCGTAGCACCTTCCCTTGAACTTATTTGTGACACAAATCCCTTTGCTCACATGTTTTCTTGCTGACCTTCTCCCAACTATCACCCTGTTCTCCTGCCACATGCTCCTTGCTGAGATAGTGAAAATAGTAATCAGTAAACACTGAGGGAACTCAGAGACCGATGCCGGTGCGCGTCCTCCATATGCTGAGTGCCGGTCCCCTGGGACCACTGTTCTTTCTCTATACTTTGTGTCTGATTTCTTTTCTCAGTCTCTCATCCCACCTGACGAGAAATACCCACAGGTGTGGAGGGGCTAGCCCCCTTCACTGCTGAGCCCCAGAGCCAGAGGCCACACCCTGTTCCAGCCCCATGGATTTTCAGTAGCTTTGCAAGGAAGCGACTGCCGTGCACGCGTTCCCGTCGAGCACCAGCAATTTTACTCTCTGCAGGGTGGAATCCTTTCCTTTGCAAGGTGGGGGCACCACACAGAGCAGGAAAGTGAGCTCCTCAGCAGAGACCAGGCTGGGATGAGGACACCGCGGTGCAGAAGAAAATCTGCCTGGCCGTGGTGCCTAAAGCTGCCATGCTCGGCCAGAGGAAGCCCCCAGCTGCATGTTTCCACACCTAGCTGAGGGTGACCAGGCCATGGACATGGAGTCCAGACAGCCCGGGCACGGTCGCTTGCTTGCGTATTCAACTAGCCTGGCTGCACAGGAGCTGTCAGAGCCATCCCTGTGCTCTGTGCACCGGGTTATCTTCCATCCCTCTCTCCTGTGTGGTTGAGTCTCTGTTGGTCCCATCCACAATGGGCGGGACTGGTTTTACGGCAGAACCTTCTAGAACGAGGGCAGTGTGGGGAGCAGGGCCTCTGGCTGGCTGGGGTTTTGTTCTGTATTCACCACTCTGCAGCTCTATGATTTGGGGACGAGCACTAATTGCCCCGTGCCTCAGTTTCCTCACCTGTAAGATGGGGTAATACTGGCTCTTGCCTGTTTCTGCGCTCATTTATTGTCCTGAGAATGACATGACTTAGCAGATGTGAGGTACCAGGACAGCACCTGGGTACAAAGCTGCCTAGCCGCACTCATGGCCACAGTTGTCACTGTCACCACCGCACTCTCCAGGGTGGTGGGAGCTCTCTCTGTGGCTGAGGAGGAGGGGGTTCAGGAGATGAGGAAGGCAGGAGAGGTGGAACTTGGCCCAGGGGAGGCCAGGATAAGGGGCTGCCCCTGCCCTGGCATCCTGCAGGCTGGGGCGATTCAGCTTTCCCGGGTCCATTCCCAAAAGAGCCCACTGTGTGCCAGGGTGGGCTCAGAGGACCTGCTGGTGAGGGGCCCTGTGTGGGGTTCGGCAGGACAGCCCCACTGCCCGGACACTCATAGTGCAGGAAGGACCCCCCCTCAGTGTGCCTCACTGCTGTGATCAGGCCCTTTCCTCTGAGTTCTCCTTCTACGGATGATGAGCCACAAAATACCCCCTTATTTAGGGACAAAGTCCAGGCTTTTTCGAGCTGAAGAGAGAGTTTTTTCAAGCCCCGTGCATGGTCTCTGGCTAGAAGAACTGGCAAAACCCACTCATCATGTCCTTCCCGTCCCCTCCTCACCCTGCTCTTCCCGGGTTGGCCCAGTAGCTGGGCCAGTGGCTCCCTGCACAAAACCCTTCCACGTGGCCTTTCCTTTTTATTTTCTGGATGAAGCCATCAGGCTCTCAGAATTGCTGCCTTTGAGAAGGCGGGACAGATGCAGCTTGTGGTGGGGTAGGGTCCAGCTCTCCACCTGCCATGGGGGAAACCGCCCAGCTGCCAAGTTGAGCAAGCAGGATGAGGCCTCCACGATCTTCACCTGGAGACTCAAACTTGTTTAAGAAGATCAGAAGGAGGCAGGAGTGGGGAGAAGATCAGAAGGAGGCAGGAGTGGGGAGAAGATCAGAAGGAGGCAGGAGTGGGGAGAAGATCAGAAGGAGGCAAGAGTGGGGAGCCAGGACTCGCCTGGAAAAATGGAGAGCTTCAAACTTGTTTAAGAAGATCAGAAGGGGCCGGGCGCGGTGGCTCACGCCTGTAATCCCAGCACTTCGGGAGGCCGAGGTGGGGCGGATCACAAGGTCAGGAGATCGAGACCATCCTGGCTAACACGGTGAAACCCCATCTCTATTAAAAATTCCAAAAAATTAGCCGGGTGTGGTGGCAGGCACCTGTAGTTCCAGCTACTCAGGAGGCTGAGGCGGGAGAATGGCCTGAACCCGGGAGGCGGAGCTTGCAGTGAGCCGAGATAACGCCACTCCAGCCTGAGCGACAGTGCAAGGCTCTGTCTCAAAAAAAAAAAAAAAAGACCGGAAGGAGGCAGGAGTGGGGAGAAGACCGGAAGGAGGCAGGAGTGGGGAGAAGACCGGAAGGAGGCAGGAGTGGGGAGAAGACCGGAAGGAGGCAGGAGTGGGGAGAAGACCGGAAGGAGGCAGGAGTGGGGAGAAGACCGGAAGGAGGCAGGAGTGGGGAGAAGACCGGAAGGAGGCAGGAGTGGGGAGCCAGGACTCACTGGCCTGGGAAAATGGACCCGTGTGCCGGGGTTTCGGAGCAGCCACAGAATCCCAGCTACCTGAGGATCTTCAGTGTTTAGAAGAAAATGTCATCAAGCCATGGGCATGAGAGAGGAGAGCACGTCTTTCTTCTTCTCTTCCTTTAATTGTAAAAATTGAAGAAATTTGAGACAGGAAGGGGCCTTGGGGGATCTCACTCAGCTGTCCTGGCCTGCAGGAGGAGAGGCTGGGCCCAGGCGGCTGTGCTGAGTCCTGCGAGCACTTCACATTCCTCCCGTTCTTTCCTTCCCCGGGGTCGGCAGAGCCCCTCTGTGTCCCACACAGTCAGGGGGAGACCCGGGCCCGTCTGCAGGGTGGAGGTCAGCAGGAGAACATGTCTGCGGTGCATGGAGGGACACGATGGGGGCCAGGTGTGGCAGGGATGGGCACAGCCTCCCCCACCATCTGCCCGGAAGGGTCCCACGGGACTGAGTTCCAACAGGAAGCTCCACTGGCTCTCCAGGGAGAGAGTTTTGAGGCTGCTTATCTTCAGCCTGAATTGATCCGTTTGATGAAGCAAATCCTAAATTGAAGGCCTGGGGCTTCCTTGGCCCCACCCCACCCCCACGCAGGGCAGGGAGGCCCCCACAGCCTGAGTCCTGGCCACTCACTGCAGCTGCCTGGTGCCCCATCCAGGGTCACGTCCTGACCCAGAAGCCTCGTCCAGGCCTCCCCTGAGGAAGAGGCAGGCCGGGTCCTGCTGGCATCTGCCTGTGACTCTCAGCATGGGGACACTGAGGACCTCATCTGGGCTGAGGGTGTCTGTGAGGCTGGATGCCAGCTGTGGAGACAGCAGAGAACTCTGAGCATCCTGCAAGCAGGGGCCTTTGTGATGCCTTGGGCCCCACTGGGGATGGCCTCGCGGGTTACGTAAAGGCAGGCAGTGTTCACTGTGCTCCCTGCCTGCCTGGCCGACCCCACCTCATTCTCACCATTGGAGGCAGGTTATTCCCATTTTACAGGAGAGGAAATTTAGACTTGGACAGACCAGGGCTGAGTCAACCTGCGTTGCTCTGAGTGATGGGTCTGGCTGCCATGGAAACCAGCAGCATGTGAGTCACTGGGACCAGCCAAGGTCACGCTCTGAGCAGGGAGGACTTGGGAACACAATGTCATGGACCGCCTGCACCAGCCGAGAGCTTGATGACATGTTCCTGGGGCAAGAACTCCTCCACCTTGCCCTCTTTCAGATGACACACCAAGTTAGAAGGAAAGAAGGCAACAAGTCATGAAACGAGCTGCAAAATTTCCTTATGTTTTGCTTTTCATACTTAGAAATTAGACAAGCCTGGTAATTCATAGATTTAGTTTAATATATATTTTTTAAGAAGTAAGGTCTCACTCTGTTGTCCACGCTGGAGTGTGGTGGTACAATCATGGATCACTGCAGCTTCAAGCCACTGGGTCCAGGAGATCCCCCGCCTCAGATTCCCAAGTAGCTGGGACCACAGGCGTGTGCCATCGTGCCCGGCCTGGCACATTTTGCATTCCTGTTGGAAGTTAGAGGGAGCCTCCCCTCTGTGTCTCACGTAAGTAGAGACTCCTGTGCCGGTGGCACCTGATGGCTCTGAGAGACAATAGGGAGGTTCTGTTTGCAGACTCAGAGCGGCCTTTTCGTTCCTACCACCCTGAGACCTGTGGGCCAAGGGCTCTTCACCACTTGGACTTCTGAAGTAAGAGGCAGAAACTTCACCAGCAGAGGCTGAGAAATAGGGAATTAATATACAGTTCTTAGTATAGGATGATGTGAGGGGTTTTTGTGTACACAATGGGAGACTTTGTATACAGCTCTCAGTATAGGATGATATGACGGGTTCTTGCATACACAATGGGAGACTTTGTATACAGCTCTCAGTATAGGATGATATGAGGGGTTTTTGTGTACACAATGGGAGACTTTGTATACAGCTCTCAGTATAGGATGATATGACGGGTTCTTGCGTACAGAATGGGAGACTTTGTATACAGCTCTCAGTATAGGATGATATGACGGGTTCTTGCATACACAATAGGAGACTTTGTATACGGCTCTCAGTATAGGATGATGTGACGGGTTTTTGTGTACAGAATGGGAGACTTTGTATATGGCTCTCAGTATAGGATGATGTGACGGGTTTTTGTGTACAGAATGGGAGACTTTGTATACAGCTTTCAGTATAGGATGATATGAGGGGTTTTTGTGTACACAATGGGAGACTTTGTATACAGCTCTCAGTATAGGATGATATGATGGGTTTTTGTGTACAGAATGGGAGACTTTGTATACAGCTCTCAGTATAGGATGATATGACGGGTTTTTGCATACAGAATGGGAGACTTTGTATACAGCTCTCAGTATAGGATGATATGACGGGTTTTTGTGTACAGAATGGGGGACTTTGTATACAGCTCTCAGTATAGGATGATATGAGGGGTTTTTGTGTACACAATGGGAGACTTTGTATACAGCTCTCAGTATAGGATGATATGACGGGTTTTTGTGTACAGAATGGGGGACTTTGTATACAGCTCTCAGTATAGGATGATATGACGGGTTTTTGCGTACAGAATGGGAGACTTTGTATACAGCTCTCAGTATAGGATGATATGAGGGGTTTTTGTGTACACAATGGGAGACTTCGTATACAGCTCTCAGTATAGGATGATGTGTGAGGGGTTCTTGCGTACAGAATGGGAGACTTTGTATACGGCTCTCAGTATAGGATGATATGACAGGTTCTTGTGTACAGAATGGGAGACTTTGTTGGGTGACGCTGTCCATGGGCAGCTCTTTCCTGGAGTGCTGGCCCCTTCCCTCGCTGCAAAGAGAACGGAGTCCCCCTCGTCTCAGCTGCAATGTTCGGTTTAATTTCATGCTCTCAGGGCTGAGGAGAAATCCTTGTGGGTTTGAAACCTTCCTGTGAAATCGCTGCAAAATGTGGTTATTGTTCCGACCTCCTGCTTCTGCCTGGAGTGACTTCTAAACCCAAATCTTCACACAGACATCATACATGCACACCCATAGAACACACACATTCACCACACACCACACACACGCATCACACATACATATATATGCATACACATACAATGCGGCTTCTGCGAGGAAGAAGTGATGATATCCAGAAAGCCACCTGGCATGACCCCAGCTCCATGCCCAGGGCTCAGGGGAGGGTGTAAAACTTCAGCAAGCGTTGTTTGTGCAACCCCCAAACTTACCCCTCTTATTTCTATGTCTCTCATCACAGCTTATTCTGAGGCAAAGAGAGAGATACTCTCAGTGACTTACATTTTAGTGAGAATTTTAACACTAAGATTTTAAGCAAGACTTTCCACTGCCCTCTTCTAATATAGCAAGTCTTTTGTAATGCGGCTTGACCATGTAATGGGGAATTTATAGCTCATGTAACTTCCCTTTCCATATAGTTTAAAAATCAACATAATGCTGTAAGTAAGTGTAAGATAAAGGAAAAATAACATGAAAGTAATTTATAATCTATAACATGCACTTTAATATGACAATGATCACTGACAACTGCCTAGAAGGTTGGTTAAAGTTGCCTGATGCCTGCTAATGAAGATAAAAAAGAAGTAAAACAATTGTCAGTGGAACAGTCTCAATGCTTTTTACTTCCAGTTCCCATTGTGAATGCATGACTAAGACGTCCTGAGCAGGGTTTTGGAAGGTGTAGTGATCTTTGTGCAACGTGGAGAACCTTGGTATAAAGTCCCTGTGAAATGAAATAATTCAGATGTGAAGCTGTTGTAAGTTGAGATCATTTTGCACCTTGAGAGGAATGTGGCCGTGTGGCTTGAGTCACAAGGTGTGAAGCTGCAACTTCTTTGATTCTGGGTCAAATCTCTTCCTCATTCTTGTCCTGTAAATGATTAGAAAGGACTGACTGGTACCATAGATGAGGCCCCTCAAGACGATTACTCCTCCTTGTGGAAAGTTAAAGCGAGTTTCCTTGGAATGCAGCAAGCTGTGAGCAATCCAGTGAAATAGATTTAACCTGTGACCTCCTTGAAACAGGCTGTAGCCCTGTCATACTTCTGTCTCTGCTTATAAAATGAAACTTTAACTTCTCACTTTAAAAGCAGAGCCCATTCATCTAGAGTCTGTGTTTCCAAGGTGATGACCCTCAAGCTTTGCACTCAAATAAACTCTATACTGAATCATCTTTTCCAAATTTCATTATTGACGATTGGCATTTTGCTAACCACAAAGGGATGTGAAGTGGGCCTCCAGTGATCCCCATTACATCACCAACAGCCAGAGCCTTGCTGTCAGCACACATGGCTTGGGTTCACCGGACCTCGCTGGAGTCAACACGGACCTCTGGGAAGGATCTTCTCGGGTCCGAACCTCCCAGCTTGTTGAAGTTCTGACTTTTATTTGAGCCACACAAATTCCTAACTCGATAGGGCTGGAAGACCTACTGCAAGCTTGGAGTTTTGTTTGTTATTCTTCTGGGATTCTGCTGACCCCAGATTCAAGACTTTGATTTTTTTTTGAAGTTAAGGTTCTGTTTTGAATTATTCATTAGAGTTTCTAGAACCTTTTGTCCCATTTGAAATTTTGGTCAGGAAGAAAACAGTTTCTCTTTGAAAAGAGAAATTGAAGCTATGTGGATTGAGCAAAATTTGTAATGTTTGAAACTGGCCAGATTCTGAAGGCCAATTCAATAAGCAAATGTAAACTTCCTTCTCAAGTGACCAGAATTATAAAAGGTCCTCTAGGAGGACGAGGTAAGGCCCAGAAGGGAAGGACAGTGTACCTCCTAACTGAAAAAGGCCCTGAATGATAGCCACGTGTCATGTTAATAAACAATGAAGATGCTTTTATGAGAAAGGCTGCATTACAGGCTCGTATAGCCTTAGACAGACTCACTGCAGCCCCAGAGGGAACCTGCACCATCACAAAGACTGAACGTCATGTCCCTAACCCAGATGAATCAGATAATGTCCCTAAATTAATTACCGATATGAAAACCCAATAACAAAACTTTCAGATCCAAAACCTCTCCACACAGTTGGTTAAGCAGCTGGTTTAGGTCTTGGGGAACTTGGCAGAAGCAGCTGTTAATCAATCGTTGGTTGGGTTCTGGCCTGTTTTGTCTTCCCTGCTCTGGCATTGGTGTGCAATGGAGTCAGTTCACAACTGAAGATACTAAAATAATCGTCACTCACAGAATCCCATTAACGGACAATGCAGCTGTGTAGCCTGACCAAGGTCACCACGTCACTTCCTTCATGTGGCTCCAGGTTCGGCCTATGCCCCGTCAGTTCTGTACAGCTTGGCACATGGCCCTAGACATGGGAGACAACGTCCTAGGAGTGAACCTTCCTAAGTATCTGGGGCTAAGCCCCTAAACATACAGAGATTCCCAAACCATCTGCATTCAGCTACTAAGCTTTCTTCAAAAGGATCATGTTGATGTTGAAAAGGGGAGATGTGAAATTAATCCAAACTGAAAGCTGTTGGAACCGTACCTGATTTTGAGCCTTGAGAGGAACGTGGCTGTGGGGCCTGCGTCGCATGGTGTGAAGCTGCACCTTCTGCTTCTTTATTCTGGGTCAAATCTCTTCCTCATTCTTGTCCTGTAATGATTAGGAAAGACTGAATGGTACCAGAGGTGAGACCGCCTCAAGACCATTACCCTTCCTTATGGGATGTTAAAACAAGCTTCCTTAGTGTAGCGAGCTGTGACCAATCAAGTCAAATCGCTATAACCTATGTCTTGATCTTGTTGGAAAATGCTGCAACCTGTTAAACCTCTGCCTCTGACTATGTAAATGAGACTTTAACTTTCCATTTTGAGAGTCTGTGTTTCCTATGTGACTATCCTCCAACTTCGTGTTCAAATAAACTCCACACTTCATCATATTTTTGGATTCTAAGTATTTAAGCTTGAAAATTGCAAAGACACATTATCATGTTTATGCGCTGTCAGCATTCTATGGAAGTTTAGTGCAATTAAAATCGGGAAAAGGGTCAGGTGCAGTGGCTCACACCTGTAATCCCAGCACATTGGGAGGCCGAGGTGGGCAGATCACCTGAGGCCAGGAGTTAGAGACCAGCTTGGCCAACATGGTGAAACCTCATCTTACTAAAAATACAAAAATTAGCTGGTATGGTGACAGACACCTGTAATCCCAGCTACTAGGGAGGCTGAGGCAGGAGAATAGCTTGAACCTGGGAGGCAGAGGTTGCAGTGAGCCGAGATCGTGCCACTGTACTCCAGTCTGGGCGACAGAGTGAGACTCCATCTCAAAAAGAAAAAAAAATTGAAAAGACTTTTTTGTTTCAGTGTACATTACAACCACTCAAATTAGTTATGGGTATACTTTTCTTGCCTTTTTTTCACAGTTTCTGCAGGAGGTGGGCTGCCTTGTGCTGGTCAGGATGTCAAGCACCTTTGGGACTCTGCCCATTAAACCACAGGGGATTTCCTCATTATTGCGACAATTCCATCCCCAGAAATATCCCACGTGCCTGAGGTGGCGGCCATCTCTTCGTAGGGAGACTGTCGGAGCTTCCTTTTAAACAGACTCTGCCCTGTCTCTGTGAAGACGTTCAGGTGCTGAGCACACGGAGGGCGGTGGGTGGGGGGACATGAGACTGTAGGCAGCTCTCTAGAGCCCCTTTCACACGTGGGTCGTCACCCACCGACTTTCGGATCTCTGGGAGTGGGAACTGCACAGGCTGGGATGTTGTTTGGGGTCATTGCACCGAGAAGTGTTCCATGTGCAATGTGGTTAGAATCTTGTCACCCTAGGAATGGAAGGTCTTCAAGACCATGGTATCCAACCCCTCCATCATGCAGATAGGGGACCTCAGGCCCTCAGGGCGATAAGAAGGAATCAGGCTTTCGAAGGTTAAGGAAGTGTCAAGTGCAAAACTCGGTCTCTGGAGCCCTGAGGTGGAGCCTCACCCTCACCCTGGCCCCGGCGTCCTCAGCCTGTGGGCGCCCAACTGCTCTGACGCAGCAACTGGCACGACCACCAGCCCCAGGGAGCAGCAGCGAGTTTCCAGGGTTAGGAATCACCCGGGAGACAGTAATTCAGACTCCCAGGCTCCACAGAAACCTGCAGGGACCTCGGGGAAAGGGAGCTTCGTCCTAAGGCTCCGCTTTGGGGAGAGGCTGGGCGGCCACTAGGTGGCGCTGCGGAGCCGCGTCTTCGGCCGCAGGTGCCCGCGCTTGGGAGCGGGAAGCCAGGCTGGGTCATGCCGGTGCTGTCACTGCAGGAGGCAGAGACCCCACATCCCGCAAAGACGGAGGGGCTGGATTCCACCAGCAGCTGAGCCCATCTCTCCGCCCTTAAAAATCAAACCACATCTTAGGACAATATCAGGCTTGCGAACGAAGCGTCCAGGGGTGGCCCACGTGGGAAGGAGGGTGAGGCCGTGGGCCCCCTCGGTCCAACCTCACAGCCTCTCTGCTCTCCCCACTTTCGAGGCAGATTTCTGGGAATTTGGGAGTTCAGAGGGAGGAGAAATAAGTCGTTTGTCAGCAGCCTGCTCCCTGATCTCCAAGGTCCCTAGAAGGACAGGCGCTCCTCACACGGCCAAGCCTGGCCCGGTCCAGGTCTCTCCATCCAGCAGCCCTGCGCTCTGTCTCTCCCTGTACACTTTCCTCCCTGCCTCCCTCCCTCCATTTCTCCCTTCCTTCCTTCCCTCCCCGCACAGGATCTGCCATTCCTTAGCTGTGAAATGCGGGCACAGGGCCTGTGATTGATTGCACTCTGGGTGACAGCAGTAGCAGTACCCTCAGGCAGGTCAGTTGACTCAACAGAACCAGGTCAAAGTCCCCCAGCCCACGGGTCCAGCTCAGTCAGCCTCTGCTGGTCTACAGGAGCCCAGCCCTGGAGCAGGGACACCTTTGCACCAACAGTGCTGCATGAGATGGGCTGGGGTGAGCCCCCAAAGCCAGGGCCTGATGGAGGCCTGCAGACCCAGCAGGAGAAGCCCTGCTGTCAGCTGCAGAAGAGAAGAGGCAGGTGTCTGGAGAGGGGGCGGGCGGTGTCCTATGGCAGGTGGAACTTGTCCCTATTTACGTGGCTGGGGTGGGGCCACAGCACAAAATGGATGTCCTGAAAAATTCGAACCAATCTGGAAAATGTGCATCCACCTCTGCACTATGCCTGTTCTGCACCATATGCCTGTTCTCTGCCTCCCTCTGGGCCAAGGCTTACCTGCCCTGCAGCCTCAGGAATGTCAGTCTGGTTTCCGAGAGAGGGACCTAGAAGCCACTGAGTAACTGTGACTGGAGGGACCTAGAAGCCACTGAGTAACTGTTACTGGCAGGCACTGTACTCATCTTTCTCCTTGGATTATCTCATGAAACTTCTCAATGGGAGCCATCAAAGCTTGGCCCCTCTGCTTTTCTCCTTGGGGTGGTCACTTTTATGCTCTCCCTGGAGCGCCTGTTAAGTATGAATCACTGCTCTAGGAAAAGAGCTGCCAGGCAGAAGGGCAGACTTGCACAGCCACTGGCTGCAGCTGCTCCGGGATCCAGTTACTTACCAGGACTGAGGACTGGAGGTACTCTGCAGACAGGTGCTGGCCCCGGGGACTGGGCTCAGCCTGGGATGAAACTCGCTCCTGTAGAGACCAAGGGTGGGTGAGGGCAGGAGGGAGGGGTGTGGGGCCAGTCCATCCCGGAGACAGTTTCCTTCTCCTTACCCATTGCAAGGCTCGTGGTGGACACCCCTGCACCCAAAGTCACACTGACAGGAGGGCATGGCACATGTGTTTAGCCAAAGCCTTCCGCCACACATGAGGACCCAAGGCCCCGGGAAACGGAATTCTTCTGCTAAGCCTGAGGAAGGAAGCAGGAACCAGGGGGTTCTGGGAGTGGACAGAAAGGCGTGCCCTGGAGCTGGTGAGCCGGGAGCCTGGCCAGGCCCCTTGGCAGAATCCTTCCTGGGTCTGTGCTGGGATCGTCCCCTGGGTGCCCAGCAGGACACAGACACTCAACCTTCCGGGAGAAGCGGGGAGGCAGAGAGCTACCCTCCCAGGTTTTACGGCTTGCTTTCAGGGAGAAGAGCCCTAGTTTCCATTATGGCCTTTGTAGTGGGAAGAAGGGTGAAGGCCAGAGAGGACTTCTTGCTTCTGTTGACTTCCAGATCTCCCTCAGCTCAAAGCAGGCCATTCACCAAGGTGCTGCATTTGGGGTACTGCGTTTTGAACCCCGATGGGGGAGGTAGAAAATGCATCTGAAATTGCCTGCAAAAATGGCAGTCATGAAAAGTGCATTACATTTTTTTTTAATGGTAAAGCAAAGAGGCTCTGACCACTGTTTCATTCTTTAAAGATTTTTCTTTAAAGATTCCCAAGAGGCGAGTTCCCTCGGTTTATTTTAAACAAGCTATTTAATGCTGTCTTATGATTTCATTGAGTTTTTATGTACATAAGTTAAACACTGACTAAAAATATTTATCCTTAAATAGTCTGTCACTGACCAATGAAGTGTCATTTTTTTGTTGGTAGAGTTTTTTTTTTTTTTTTTTTTTTTTAGATGGAGTCTCACTCTGTCACCCACGCTGGAGTGCAGTGGTGCGATCTCCACCTACTGGGTTCGTGCCATTCTCCTGCCTTAGCCTCCTGAGTAGCTGAGACTACAGGTGCCCGCCAGCACGCCCGGCTAATTTTTTTTATATTTTTTTAGTAGAGACGGGGTTTCACCGTGTTAGCCAAGATGGTCTCGGTCTCCTGACCCGTGATCCGCCCGCCTCGGCCTCCCAAAGTGCTGGGATTACAGGCGTGAGCCACCGCGCCCGGTAGTTCTTAAGGGTTGATTCCCCTTCACTGATCGGGTGAAAGAAAGCCCTTCCATACTCCTAAACAGGAGTGGTGGTGTGATGTCTGTGTGTGCAGGTGTGGTATGTGGTGTGTCTGTGTGGTGTGTGTGCAGGTGTGGTGTGTGTGTGGTAGGAAGTGTGAGTGATTTTTGACTGTGGGGACGTGTATGTGGTGTGTGTGTATGGTGGGTGGTGTGAGTGGTTTTGGGGGTGTGTGTGTGTGTGGTGGGTGGTGTGAGTGATGTTTAGCTGTGTGTGTGTGTGTGTGTGGTGGGTGGTGTGAGTGATTTTTGGGTGTGTGTGTGTGGTGGGTGGTGTGAGTGATTTTTGGGTGTGTGTGTGCGGTGGGTGGTGTGAGTGATTTGTGGCTGTGTGTGTGTGTGGTGGGTGGTGTGAGGGGTTTTGGGTGTGTGTGCAGTGTGTGTTTCTGTCTTTCTTTGTGTAATGCTTATCGATATACTCACATGACGTACTTATTTCACTGATCACAGGATTTCAGTTTTTGAGAGGTGTCTCTTCTTGACAGTAAATATTGATTATTTAAATTGTGCAAATGCAGAGTTAGTTAGGATTTGAGGTTTTATTCCAGAAAGTTCATGGCGATGTGGAAGGCTGGAAACTGATTGCCTGAAAGATATCCGAGTCCCTGGAACCTGTGAACGAGACCTTACGTGGAGAAAGAAAAAGGATCTTTAGAGGGAAAAGATTAAGGGTCTGGAGAACAGGAGAGCTGCCTGGACCACCTGGGGGAGCCTGAGTGCCACAACCCAGGCCCATTCCAAAGGGAAGTGGAGGGGTTTTCCACAGACAGAGGGAAAGGAGACGTGGAGGCAGCGGAATTGGAATGGGGCAGCCCCGGTCAGGTTTGCCTGGAGCCCCCAGAACCTGGAAGAGACAAGGAAGGGCCCCGAAGAGCCTCCAGAGGGAGCGCGGCCCCACAGACACCTCCACCTGGGAGTGCTGGACTCTGCCACGGGGACAGTGTCCATTCCCTGTGTGGGGCCACCCTGTGTGTGGGAGTCCATGACGCAACCCCGGGAAACCAACACAGGCAGAGACGGAAACCTGCAGGGTCTGAACCCCAAACCCAAGACCTACTTGTCTCTCCCAGCCCCAGGTCAAGTGCTCCCTCCCCGCTCCACCAGGGGTCGTGCTCCCACTTTCCCCAGGCCTGGAGCTGCCCCCAACCCCAAGAACAGTGCTCCCTCCTTGACTCCCAGGGATAGTGCTCCCCCTAACCCTAGGGATAGTGTTCCTCCACGACCCCCAGTCCGGTGCCCTAACTGCAGATTGCATTCTTGGTTGCAGGAAGTCATGAGCGAAGAGACCGTGAGCCTCTCCCAAACCCCGCATGTGCTGACATCTCCACGTGTGCTGTGTCCTGGGTAGGCTTTCTTCATAGACCGTGCTTCCGTCTGTCTGGAGTTTCCGCTTCATCCATCTGTCCACAGGGAGGACGCACACCCCTGAGTCCGAGGCCACACCACGCATTCTGTAGAAACTCTCACTGCCCAGGGAGCACACTTTATTAGGAAAGCTCCAGGTTCACAGAGGCTCTGGGCTCTCTCTGGGCCCGACGCCCTTCACTGTTTGAACTCAGCAGCTGCCTGCAGGTGCGGAGGACATGCACCTTCCAGCCTTTGTCCTTTCCTGGCCTTCTCGTCAATCTTACCGTCTGTCGGCCCTAAGTGGATGCTCGGGTAAGTAAGTCCGTAAGCAATGAGCAGTTCCTGTCCTTAGCATGTCTGGGGTCTGTGGCTTTTGCGAAGGCATCTGCAAAGCTATTGCTGACATGGATGTCATGAGGTTCTCTCCCTTATTCCAGAGCTCAGTAAGCCCACAGGGCACAAGGCTCTTGACATTCACAGCTGAGTGAGAAAGTGGTGATGTTTAACTATAAGCATGAAAAACCCAAAAAGTACAATAATAAGGTTTCCATGTGCAACGCATGTATCCAGCGCCCTGGAACGAAACAGACACGTGTGCTCTTTGAGCGGAAGGAAGATGCAGGTCAGGAAAAATGGTGATTCTGCTGTTTCCCAAGTCACCCAGCAGGTGGGGGTGTCTGCTCATGGAAACCCGCATTTGCTAGGATACAATTTCCCTCTTTCTTTTTCACGAAGGAAAGGTCAATTCACTCAGAAATTACATCCTTAGTGAGATACCTATGACTTGTAGGGCCCCATACACTCAGAACCCCCGCTCCTGGGGGACTGCTGGGTGAACGTGGTCCAACATGTGTAATATTCATAAGGAATGGGTGTTACAAGCCCAGCAGGCTGTATGGCTTTCATTAATTTGGCCAGAGTCATTCACGAATAGCAGAATGTTTAATATGGAAGCAGCAGCCACCCAAATAGCAAACACAATTTGGTAGAGATGTGGGCTGTTAGCGCCGTGGCAGGGGTGAGGCAGTCTTACCAAGTGCTGATGGTGAAGTGTGTTGTCATCTCTTCCTGAACTTAAATTTGTTACGTGACTCTAAGCAATTCACTTCCAATGCCTGGGACTCAGCTATTTCCTCTCCAAAATCAAGGGGCTGTACAGAGTGACCTTGGGGTGTTCTCCAGGGCTAACACGGTACCAATTATCCCAGTAAGAGGCCAAAGCCGCGGCCAGTTTGCCTGAAATTCTCCTGTGAGTGGCCCAACAGAAATAATCAAAGTGAGTGGATGGTGTGACAGACACAGAAAGACCTGGGAAGGAAGCTGACCAACTCCCTGGATACTTAGCCAGGCACAATCTTCTCAGTTAGATCTTTAAATCGATTGAGATTTGGCAAAATTGTTACAAATCCTGGCAGCATATCAACCAAGATCATTATACCCATTAAGTAACTAATACTCTAAAACTCTTTGACCCCAAGGAGTGTCAGGATTGTAGCACTGTGAAGATGCTGCAGACGAATTAAGGCTGATCCCATCATCGGGGATTGTCAAGGTTGTGAGCCATCAGTGTGTAATCATCCAGGGACTCTTAAAATATGTGTATCACTATAGTCAGGGCTCTGCAGTGAGACAGAACCAATAGGCTACATAGGTAGGTAGCTATATAGATAGACAGGTGATAGATAGATAGATAATAATAGATAAACAGATAGCTAGCTAGATGGATGGAAAGAGGATATTCAGTAGGAGAATGGGCTCATGTGATGGTGGAGGTGAGAAGTCCCAGGACAGCCTGTCTTAGAGTAGATAGATAGATAGATAGATAGATAGACAAACAGATAGCTAACTAGGTGGATGGAAAGAGGATATTCAATAGGAGCACTGGCTCATGTGATGGTGGAGGTGAGAAGTCCCAGGACAGGCTGTCTTAGAGCTGGACACTCTGGGATGCCGGTCATGTGACTCAGGACCCGAGTTGCAAGGCCTCAGAGCCAGGGAAGACAATGGCATGACTCAGTCCAAGGCTGAAGGCCTGAGAGCCCAGGGCAGGGAGTGCTAGTGCAAGCCCAGAGTCTGAAGGCCAAGAGGCTAGAGTGCTGATGTCCAAGGGCAGGAGAAGAAGGGTGTCCCAGCTCTAGGAGACAGACACAGCTACCTTTTAGTTCTATCCGGGATTGGATGGTGCCTACCCTGCATTCAGGCAGGTCTTCCCCCTCAGTCTGCTGACTCACAGCCCAGTCTCCTCCAAAACAGCTCATCCTCTTATCCATCCATCTAGCTGAGGCTGAGACAAGATCTCACCGGCCAGCTGGGCCTCCCTCCAGCCAGCCAGGTTGAGGCCTGGTGTTAACCATCACTATATGGCACTACTCCTTCTGGCTAATCCCAGAGGGCAGAGGTCATGCAGGCACCGCATCAAGCCAGGGTTCCTTGTTTTGGTGTCAGCAAGAGGCTCCGAGGTGGAAGGGAAGACCGCTCCCCAGTCAGTGTGTTCCAGTGCATGGCAGGGCAGCAGCTGGAAGTAGGAGGCCTGTGTTCCCTTCGTGGAAATGATCCTGAGGTTGGGCGGCCACCTCCCTTCACTGCCCAGAGCGGGTGCTGATGTGTTGTGCGTTGCTGCGATTCCCTGCGTCTCTCCTCACCTGCTGATGGGAACTCTCAGCAGCTCCTCTGCAGAAGCTGGGTCCTGTCCCTTCCCTGGGTGTTGATATGGTTTGGTCTGTGTCCCACCCAGTCTCATGTGGAATTGTCACTCCCAGTGTTGGAGGAGGGGCCTGTTGGGAGGCGGTGGGATCACAGGGTGGGTTCTCAGGAAGGGTCCAGCACCACCCCTCTTGGTCCTGTGCAGTGAGTCCCCTGCCATCTGGTGGTCTCCATGTGTGGCTGCCCCTCTGCCTCCCGGCTCCTGGCTCCCAGCCTGTGATGGGCCTCCTACCCTGCCCCTTCCACCATGACTGTGTTTCCAGAGGCCTCCCCAGAAGCCGAGCAGATGGCAGCACCATGCGTCCTGCACCACCTGCGCAACCCAGAGCCAGTTAAAACTCTTTTCTTTCTAAATGACCCAGTCTCAGTGGTTCTTTATGGCAGTGTGAGAACGGGCTGCTTACCGGTGTGATAAGGGCAATTTGTGAAATTTGCCAGGATATTTTTAATATTGTTTTAATTATGAAATCATTCATGAGTTTTATTTTAATATTGTTTTAATTATGAAATCATGAGTTTTACATGAACAAAACTAAGAGTTTGGGAACACACAGAACAGGATGGCCTGGCACCTAGGGAAAACAACAGTCTGGTATTTTTGGGTCACAAAAGTTATAAAAAGCAAACCATGCTTTCTCTACATAACAGTAGAGCGAAATAAAACATCCTGAAGCAAAATGTTCATAGCCCTCCTGTGCCACTGTTGTCATTCGTGGGTGAGATCATTCAGTGCTGCCTCGATGGTCTGTTTTATCCATGAATTAGTTACCACTCTCTTCTCTTAGTGCAGGTAGAACTCCAGGTCAGATGTGTCTGAGTTTGCTTTCAATGCCGAAGGACTCCTAACTATTGCCTTGCGTGAGGCTGAGGGCTGCCTGGGCTGGGACCCAGCACTCTGGAATTCAGCTGCTTCACATGTGAAATGAGGACGGCAGCTTTACAGGGTCGCGTGGCTAACGGTGCCCCCGAGACTGCCTTGTTGAGTCAGGGAGGGAGTGAGTTTCCTCCGGGATCACTGGGCTGTGTTCCCCGTGAGTGAGGGTATAAGGAGGAGTAAGAGCAGTGTGCGGCAGGGCGGCTGCTGGAGGCAGAAGCCTGGGGTCTGAGGCTCATGTGTTGGTGAATCTCTGGAGGATGAGACAAGTCACTTTGCCTTGTTGGTCCTTAAGGCTCCAGCCTCTCCCTCAGAATCACTTTCCTCCTCCCACCGGCCCTGCAGGAAGCCAGGAGTGCTCTTCCCAGGAGAAGAGGGAAGCCAGATGTAGGCCCTGTGGACACCTGGTGATGGGCAGGGGGTGTGGAAAAACCAGTGCTGGAGGGACCGCCGGGGCAGAGTGCAGACGAGCACGGCATCAGAGATGCCAGAAGGTGGAGACAGGAGGATTGCAAGAGTGGTGTTTCCAGGGTTCACAAAATAAAGATGTGTAATCTGTAAATACATTTTAATGGCAAAGCCCCAGAAGGAACAAATCAGGCAATGTTTACAAGAAAAGGCCAGACAAATGCAGCTATAACATTTATTCATCCATGCCTGAGAGTAACTACGACATGGTACTAGATTTACCCGTGTTGGGAAAACAGTCGTCCTGCTGATTTCGGATTTGCCTGTGTTTGGAAAAGAGTCGTACGGTGATTTTGGGAACATGAAGCTGTTCTGCAGTGTCCTGCCACTTTGCCCTCAGAGGGCTCTCGGCAGCCTGTGAGTATCCCGGCCTTCCATCCCAGCACTCTCCTGCAAAAATGCAGAACAAACATTAATAACGTCTGAATTCTGACTGCTCCAGTAACAGCACACACTTGATACAAGACAGAAGGGCCTGGACAGGAGCTCTTTTCACAAAGGACCGCTGGCGAGATGAGCCATCCTTCTTGCTTGTCATGCTGGAGGGAAGTTTCTGGCTTCCGGACAAATGCTTGTTTGCAGGAGGCCACAGAGGATCCACGTGGCAAAGGTTCCTACTCACAGAGTGGGATCTGCAATCCGCAGGCAGGGTCCTTCAGGAAGAAGCCGTGCTGAGCACACAGGTCCCTGCGACCACAGATGAACAGAACGCCTGGCCTTGCCCCTGGTGTCAGTCAGACTAATTAGGGGCCCAGGGGACTTGCTGGCACTGCCCTTGCTGTGGCTGGAAAAGCTATTTAAATTCACAAAGAGCCTCACTTCCAGGCCAGGTCCTTTTGGTTCCATGCGTGGGAGCCAGGTGCAAAGACGAATGTGCTCTCAGCAGAACGACCCTGGGCTCTGCTTATCTCCGAGGACAGGATCTAATCTCACACTGAATTTCAGAAGGGAGACCGATCATGTTGGCAATGCCCCCCTCCTGTATGCAAGTAAGTGACTTTGTTTAAATTAAAATTTGTATTTTTAGTTGACAAATACTAACTGCATATATTTATGTTTTAAACATGGTTTTGATACCTTTACATTGTGGAGAGATTATATCAAATTAATTAACATATCACCTCACATCTTTTTTTGGCAGTTAGAACATTTAAAATCTATTATTTTAGTGGGTGGCTGTGGTCCCAGCACTTTGGGAGTTTCAGACTGGAGGATCTCTTGGGCCTAAGGGCTCAACACCAGCCTGGGCAGCATAGCGAGGCTGCATCTCTGTAAAAAATTTAAAAATTAGCCAGGCATGGTGGTGAGCGCCTGTAGACCCAGCCACGCAAGAGGCTGAGGCAAGAGGATTGCTTGAGCAGGAGGGTCGAAGCTGCAGTGAGCTATGTTTGTGCCACTGCACTCCAGTCTGGGCGACAGAGCAAGACTCTATCTCAAAAAAAAAAAAACCTATTGTTTTAGCAATTTTGAAACATGCGATCATTATGAGGAAGCGTGCGCCCCATGCCGTGCAGCAGACCTGAGGCGCCCTCCTCCTGCCTGAGACTTTGTGCCTGTGACCAGCACCTCCCCACTCCCCTCTGGAGGCCACTGTTCTGCTCTCTGCTTCTCTCAGTTCAAAAGTCAGACTTACACAAGTGAGTTTTTGATATGGCCTCCCTTGGGGTTCTGCATACAAGGTAAGGGGGTAAAACATAAACATACACATTTTTCCACACTGATTATAACTATTCCACTTAAAAATCAGAATTTAAAAGTCAGGGTTTTGCTTCAGCTTCTCCTTCCTCTCCTGTGCTTCCAGCCGATCCTCAGATTAAGTGGAAGCAAACGCCTGAAAGTGAGCCCTTAGTTTTGGAACCGGTTTGTACAAATGGAAGGCATCTTCATTCCTCTCACTAAGCAGGCTCACATTCTGGCTCACTGTCATTAGCTTGTAAATAAAACCTCCCGGAGGAAGGTGCAGAACGGACTAGGAAACACGGAGTAAACAGAAATATGCAGGGAGCCCCAGCAGAGCTGCTCCGACACCCAGATCCTGTCCAACCACTGCGGTGGCAGCTGGAAACATGCGGCATGGTGTGGCCCACCTGCTCCGAGTCCTGAGCTGCGGCCCGCTGCGGTGAGGTCCCTACGGCCTGGTGCTTTCCGCATCTCAGCTCGGGAGTTCCTCCGCCTGTCTCCGAGATGGGCAGTGTGGATTTAGTGCCAGTGCGTGTCCTGTGGGAGACACGTGTCCAGTTATCGGGAGAGGGTCCGGCACCGTGACTGTGGAGGGTAGAGAGCACGGCACGAGCGACGGCAAGGCAGCCGTGCTTGTCTTTGGCAGGAACACTCCAACCCACTTTCATTTCACACTTCAGTCAAGTCGATCATAATCTGATATATTTTGGAAAAAATTAGCACTGCTCTCTTCATAGGAAAAATGATTTTAGAATTTGCAGCCAAGAGGACCCTGTCTCCACGCAGCTGAGCTGGGGCTTTCTTACAACAATCATGCAAGGGACGCGGGCTGCAGTGAGGATTTCCCCCCAGTCACTGCCAAGAGACGCATCCAAATGACAGACAACGTTAGGCTTTTCCTGGGTCGGGCGCCATCCCTGTACAGGCAAAGGGCCCAACAGCATCTTCAACCTGAGCCTGAAGACCCCAGCCCCGACCTGGAGATGAGGGGGAGGAAGCGCCGTCCCAGAGGAGCAAGGGTGGAGGCCCCCTGGTCTCTGGGAGGCGTGGAGAGCTGGGGCCGGTGCAGGAAGGGAAGCTCTGGTGAGGCTGGGACCTTTTGAGGAGGGAAGAGCAAGTTACCCGGAAATACATCACAAATACTGTGGGATTTAACTGTAAGTACAAAACAGCTTTTCCATCAGAACTTAACAGCTACTATATTTTCCAGCTGTTTGTTTCCCTTGATTCTGCGTTTTTACCTGCCCCCGCCCCCATTCCCCAAATACTGAGCTGCTGGACTCCTTCCCTTGCCTTGGTGGTCATTCATCCCTGAACTCTGCATGGCACCATCATCACCGGTCCTGAGCATTCCCCGCCCCGCCTGCCTGAAGAGGACCACAGGCCCTGGAGGTGGCTTCCCGTGACCCTGTGTCAACGCGGCAACGTTAGACAATACTGTAATACCTACAAACAAACAACTCCCGAGGTCCTCCTGGGGAGCGCAGTCCCCGCACCACAGCGCCCTCCGCATAGCCATTCCAGCACCGCCAGCAAAGTCCAGTGCACCGTCACCGCCCCACCCTTGCGGACTCCGACCTAGGTGTACATGGAAGACAGCCCTCCTGTCAGTGGGGAGGGCCTGAGTCTGCCTCTCCTCTGTACAGGCCCAACGGTCCTTGGTGGCTTCAGTGCTTGTGACGGTGTCATTAGGAGCAAATGGCATTTAGTCATCGCTTCAGCCTGATCACCGAGGGGGGCTGGGGTGTCGCTTGAGTTTGACTTGGTGACCTCTCCGCATCTCAGTTTTCTCATTCGTAAAGTGGGATAAAATAGCAACTTCCTTCAGTGAGAATACACTGACATAAAGTCTGTAAGGAGTTAGCACCAATGCCAGCTTCTATTAAAATTCAGTGAAGGTCAGGTGTTCGTGCGATGTGAAAGCACATTAATTTCTCATTCACTGTCTGCTCATTACTGTAAACGGAACTGGATCTACTTGATAATCATTTCAAAGTCACATCCACCCAGAACTTGGGAATGTTACCTTGCCTGGAAGTAAGGTTTTTTTCAGATGTAATTAGTTAGGGTGAGTCTATACTGGGGTAGGGTGGAACCTGGAATCCAGCAGGACTGGTGCCCTTATAGGAATAGGGGCATTTGAATACAGACACGCAGGGGAGAAGGCCGGGTAAAGACAGAGGGAGAGGTTGGCGTGAGGAGTCTGTAGGCCAAGCAATGCCAGTGAACACCAGCAGGGCACCAAAGGCTGGATGTGCAAGGCGCATTCGTCCTTCCAACCTTCGGGGGGAGCAAAGCCCTGCCAACACCGTGACTTGCTCTTCTGGTCTCCAGAACTGTGAGAACATCAACGTCTGTTGCTTTAAGCCACCAAACGTGTGGTTCTTTGTTATGGCAGCCCTCGCCCTCCTCAGCCTGAACCATCACCACTCTGCCTTACCTCTCAATATCCCAAGTAAAAGCCACCTGAAGCAACCATGTCTTAACAGAGCATGTCTTGGAAATGTTGAAAAAAGACTTTCCCCATTTTATGAATTTGCTGCATAATAGAAATTTAAATTAAAATAATTGGCATTCACTGTTCACCATTGTTTTATAAGCACCATGCTTATTTCAATCTAGAGAGCTCTTATGTCTTTTTAAATTATTTTCTATATTCATTGAGGTTCTGAATTGCATAAAAGCATCAAAAACAATCCTTGTCAAATAATCCTGACTTTTCTATACAATTGCATATATGGATATTTCACCATTTGAATTCGATCTTCTTCATGAACACTTTAGAAACAAGGACAGGGTATGCCCGTGCCTCTGAATTCAACCCGCTTTCCTTTGTATCAGGTCGGAGCACCACCTTAAGATGAGAAATATTAACTGCACTCTTACTAATTGAGACATGCTTCTGGGCAAAGAAGGGAGGAGAGATTCACAGGGAGAAGCCACTCCCTGCAGGGGGGATTTGAGGAGGTTGTACACAGTATGGGGTATTTGAGAAGGTTGAACACAGTGCGGGGATTTGAGGAGGTTGCACACAGTGGGGAGGATTTGAGGAGGCTGCACACAGTGTGGGGGATTTGAGGAGGTTGCACACAGTGGGGGGACTTGAGGTGGCACACAGTAGAGGGATTTGGGGGGGTTGCACAGAGTGGGGGGATTTGAGAAGGTTGCACACACTACGGGGGATTTCGGGAGGTTGCAGAGTGGGGGAAATTGGGCAGGTTGCACAGAGTGGTGGGGATTTGAGGAGGTTGCACACAGTGGGGGGGATTTGAGATTGCACACAGTGGGGGGATTTGAGGAGGTTGCTCACAGTGGGGGGATTTGGGGACATTGCTCACAATGGGGGGATTTGGGGAGGTTGTACTCAGTGAGGGAGATGTGGGGAGTTTGCAGACAGTTGGGGGATTTGGGGAGGTCGCTCACAGTTGGGATTTGAGGAGGTTCCACAGAGTAGGGGGATTTGCGGAGGTTGCACACATTGGGGGGGATCTGGGGATGTTGCACACAGCGGGGTGATTTGAGGAGTTTGCACACAATGGGGGGATTTGGGGGTGTTGAACACAGTTGGGGGATTTCAGGAGGTTGCACACTGGGGGGGATAGGCGGAGGTTGCACAGAGTTGGGGGGATTTGGGGAGGCTGCACAGAGTGGAAGAATTTGAGGAGGTTGCACACAGTGGGGAGATTTGGGAGTTTGCACACAATGGGAGGGTTTGGGGAGGTTGCTCACAGTGGGGGGATTTGAGGGAGTTGCACACAGTAGGGCGATAGGCGGAGGTCGAACAGAGTGGAGGATTTGGGGAGGTTGGACAGAGTAGGTTTGGGGACGTTGCAGAGGGTGGGGGGGATTTGGGGAGGTTGCACACAGTGGGGGGATTTGAGGTGGTTCGAAACAGTTGGGGGATTTGGGGAGGTGGCACACAGTGGGGGGATTTGGGGAGGTTGCTACACAGTTGGGGAAATAGGGGGCACTTGCACAGAGTGGGGGTATTTGCGGAGGTTGCACATAGGGGGGATCTAGGGAGGTTGCACACAGTGGACGGATTTGGTGAGGTTGCACACAGTGGCAGGGATTTGGGGAGGTTGCACACAGTGGGGGTATTTGAGGACGTTGCACACAGTGGGGGGATTTGAGGTTGCACACAGTGGGGGAGATTGGGGGGTTGCACACAGGGGGATTTGAGAGGTTGCTCACATTGGGGGGGATTTGGGAGGTTGCAAACAGTTGGGATTTGGGGAGGTTGCACAGAGTGGTGGGTATTCGGGGAGGTTGAACACAGTGGCGGGATTTGGGGAGGTTGCACACAGTGGGGGGGATTTGGGGAGGTTGCACAGATTGCGGGGGATTTGGGGAGATTACACAGAGTGATGGGGATTTGGGGAGGTTGCACAGAGTGGTGGGGATTTGAGGAGGTTGCATACATTTGGTTGGATTTATGGAGGTTGCACAGAAAGGAGATCTGGGGAGGTTGCACACAGTGGGGGGGGGGATTTGGGGAGGTTTCACAAAGCTAGGGGCATTTGAGGAGAATGCACACAGTGGGGCGATTTGGGGACGTTGCACACACTGGGGGGGATTTGAGGAGGCTACTCAGAGTGGGGGAGGAATTTGAGGAAGTTGCACGCAGTGAGAGGGATTTCAGGAGGTTGCTCACAGTGGGGGGATTTGAGGAGGTGTCACATAGTGGGGGGATTTGGGGGGGTGCACAAACTGGAAGGGATGGGGGAGGTTTCACAGAGTGGCGGGGATTTGGGGAGGTTGCACAGAGTGGGGGGGATTTCGGGACGTTGCACACAGTGGGCATTTGGGGAGGTTGCACAAAGTTGGGGGGATTTCGGGAGGTTGCACACAGTGGGGGGATTTGAGGAGGTTCCAAACAGTTGGGGGGATTTGGGGAGGTTGCACACAGTGGGGGCGATTTCGGGAGGTTGCACACAGTGGGGGGATTTGGGGGGCTTGAACACATTGGGGGGAACGGGGAGGTTGCATAGATTGGGGGATTTGGGGAGGTTGCACATAATGGGGGGATTTGGGAAGGTTGCACACAGTGGGGGGATTTGGGAAGGTTGCACACAGTGGGGGGATTTGAGGAGGTTGCACACAGTGGGGGGATTTGAGGAGGTTGCGCAGAGTGGGGGGGATTTGGGGAGATTGTGCAGAGTGGGGGGATTTGAGGAGGTTGCACATAGTGTGGGGGATTTGGGGAGGTTGCACACGGGATTTGGGGGGGTTGCACACATTCGGGGACTTGAGGTTGCACAAAGTTGGGGGGATTCGGGGAGGTTGCACACAGTTTGGGGATTTGAGCAGGTTGCACACAGTGGGAGGGATGGCGGAGGTTGCACAGAGTTGGGGGGATTTCGGGAGGTTGCACAGAGTGGGGGGATTTGGGGAGGTTGCACACACTGGGTGGATTTCGGGAGGTTGCACACACTGGGGGCATGTGGGGAGGTTGCACAGAGTGGGGGGATTTGAGGAGGTTGCACACAGCGAGGGAGGATTTGAGGAGGTTGTACACTGCGGGGCAATTTGAGGAGGTCTTCGCAGTGGGGGGATTTGGGGAGGTTGCTCACAATGTGGTGATTTGGGGAAGTGGCACACGGGGATTTGGGGAGGTTGCACCCAGTGGGAGGGATAGGCGGAGGTTGCACGGAGTGGGGCTGATTTGGGGAGGTTGCACAGAGTGGGGGGGATTTGGGGAGGTTGCACACAGTAGGGGGATTTGGGGAGGTTGCTCACAGTGGGGAGATTTGAGGAGGTTGCACACAGTGGGGGGATTTGAGTAGGTTGCATACAGTGGGGGGGATTTGAGGAGGTTGCACACAGTACAGGGATTTGAGGAGGTTGCATACAGTATGGGGGATTTTGGGAGGTTGCACAGAGTGGGGTGGATTTGGGGAGGTTGCACAGAATGGGGGGAAATTGATGAGGTTGCACAAGTGGCGGGATTTGGTGTGGTTGCCCACAATGGGGGGGGGGGGGATTTGGGGAGGTTGCACAGAGTGGGGGGATGTGAGGAGGTTACACAGAGTTAGGTAGATTTGGGGAAGGTGCACAGAGTGGGGGAGATTTGGGGAGGTTGCACACAGTGGGGGGGATTTGGGGAGGTTGTACACACTTGCGGCGATTTAGGGAAATTGCACACACTGGGGGGATTTGAGGAGGTTGCTCACAGTGGCGGAGGATTTGAGGAGACTGCACACATTGGGGAGGGATTTGGGGAGGTTGCACACAGTGAACAGATTAGAGGAGGTTGTGCACAGTGGTGGGATTTGGGGGGGTTACACACAGTGGGGGACTTGAGGTTGCACACAGTGGGGGGGATTTGGGGAGGTTACCCACAGTGGGGATATTTGAGGAGGTTGCACACAGTGGGGGAGATTTGAGGAGGTTGCACACACTAGAGGGAATTGAGGAGGTTGCACACTGTGTGGGGGATTTTTGGAAGTTGCACAGAGTGGGGGGGGTATTTGGGGACATTGCACAGAGTGGGCGGGATTTGTGGAGGTTGCACACAGTGGCGCGATTTGGTGCGGTTGCACAGTGTGGGCGGATTTGGGGAAGTTGCACAGAGTGGTAGGGATTTGGGGAGGTTGCACAGAGTGGGAGGGATTTGGGGAAGTTGCACACTGCGTGGGGGGTTTGGGGAGTTTGCACAGAGTGGGAGGGATTTGAGATTGCACTGGGGGTAATTTTGTGAGGCTGCACAGGGTGGGGGCGGATTTGGGGAGGTTGCACACAGTTGGAGGGATTTGGGGAGGTTGAACACAGTTGGACGACTTAGGGAAGTTGCACACAGTGGGAAAATTTGATGAGGTTGCGCACAGCGAGGGGGATGTGAGGAGGTTGCTCATATTGGGGGGATTTGAGAAGGTTGCTCTGAGTGATGGGGGATTTGAGGAGGTTGCACACAGTGGGGGAGATTGGGGGGTTGCACACGGGGGATTTGGGAGGTTGCTCGCATTGGGGGGGATTTGGGAGGTTGCAAACAGTTGGGGGGATTTGGGGAGGTTGCACAGAGTGGGGGCGTTTTGGGGAGGTTGCACAGAGTGGTGGGTATTCGGGGAGGTTGAACACAGTGGTGGGATTTGGGGAGGTTGCACAGATTGGGGGGGATTTGGGGAGATTACACAGAGTGATGGGGATTTGGGGAGGTTGCACAGAGTGGTGGGGATTTGAGGAGGTTGCATACATTTGGTTGGATTTATGGAGGTTGCACAGAAAGGAGATCTGGGGAGGTTGCACACAGAGTGGGGGGGATTTGGGGAGGTTTCACAAAGCTAGGGGCATTTGAGGAGAATGCACACAGTGGGGCGATTTGGGGACGTTGCACACACTGGGGGGGATTTGAGGAGGCTACTCAGAGTGGGGGAGGAATTTGAGGAAGTTGCACGCAGTGAGAGGGATTTCAGGAGGTTGCTCACAGTGGGGGGATTTGAGGAGGTGTCACATAGTGGGGGGATTTGGGGGGGTGCACAAACTGGAAGGGATGGGGGAGGTTTCACAGAGTGGCGGGGATTTGGGGAGGTTGCACAGAGTGGGGGGGATTTCGGGACGTTGCACACAGTGGGCATTTGGGGAGGTTGCACAAAGTTGGGGGGATTTCGGGAGGTTGCACACAGTGGGGGGATTTGAGGAGGTTCCAAACAGTTGGGGGGATTTGGGGAGGTTGCACACAGTGGGGGCGATTTCGGGAGGTTGCACACATTTGGGGGGATTTGAGGAGGTTGCAAACAGTGTGGGGATTTGAGGAGGTTGCACACAGTGGGGGGATTTGGGAAGGTTGCACACAGTGGGGGGATTTGAGGAGGTTGCGCAGAGTGGGGGGGATTTGGGGAGATTGTGCAGAGTGGGGGGATTTGAGGAGGTTGCACATAGTGTGGGGGATTTGGGGAGGTTGCTCACAGTGGGGGGATATGGGGGGATATGGGGAGATTGCACACAGTGGGGGGATTTGGGAAGGTTGCTCACAGTGGGGGGATTTGGGGACGTTGCACACAGTGGGGGATTTGGGGAGGTTGCACACAGTGGAGAGATTTGAGGAGGTTGCTCGCAGTAGGGGGATTTGAGGAGGTTGCACACAGTGGGGGGATTTTTGGGGGGTGCACACAGTGGGGGACTAGAGGAGGTTGCACACAGTGGGAGGGATTTGGGGAGGCTGGACACAGTGGGGGGATTTGAGGAGGTTGCACATAGTGGGGGAGATTTTGCGAGGTTGCACATAGGGAGATTTTGGGAGGTTGCAAACTGGGGGTATTTGAGGAGGTTGCGCAGAGTGGGGGGGATTTGGGGAGATTGTGCAGAGTGGGGGGATTTGAGGAGGTTGCACATAGTGTGGGGGATTTGGGGAGGTTGCTCACAGTGGGGGGATATGGGGAGATTGCACACAGTGGGGGGATTTGGGAAGGTTGCTCACAGTGGGGGATTTGGGGAGGTTGCACAGAGTGGGTGGTTGTGAGGAAGTTGTACACAGTTGGGGGGGTTTGGGGAGGTTGTACAGAGTGGGGGGGGATTTGTGGAGATTGCACACTGTGGGGGGGATTTGGGGAGGTCGCACACAGTTGGGGGGATTTGAGGAGGTTGCTGACAGTGGGGTATTTGAGGAGGTTGCTCAGAGTGGCGGGGGTTTTGAGGAGGTTTTGCACTGTGGGGGGGATTTGAGGAGGTTGCACAGTGCGGGGCAATTGCAGGAGGTTACTCACAGTGGGGGGATTTGGGGAGGTTGCTCACAGTGGTGGGGGATTTGAGGAGGTTGCGCACTGTGGGGGGTATTTGTGGAGGTTGCACACAGGGGATTAGAGGAGGTTGCGCACAGTGGGAGTTTTGTGGGGGTTGCACACAGTGGGGGACTTGAGGAGGTTGCACACAGTGGGGGGATTTGAGGAGGTTGCAGGCAGTGGGGGGATTTGAGGAGGTTGCTCACAGTGGTGGGGGATTTGAGGAGGTTGCGCACTGTGGGGGGCATTTGTGTAGGTTGCACACAGTGAGGGGATTAGAGGAGGTTGCGCACAGTGGGGGGATTTGTGGGGGTTGCACACAGTGGGGGACTTGAGGAAGGTGCACACAGTGGGGGGTATTTGGGGAGGTTGCACACAGTGAGGGGATTTGAGGACGTTGCACACAATAGGGGAGATTTTGGGAGGTTGCACACAGTGGGGAGATTTGAGGAGGTTGCTCGCAGTGGGGGGATTTGAGGAGGTTGCACACAGTGGGGGTGATTTGAGGAGGTTGCACACAGTAGGGTGATTTGAGGAGGTTGCACACAGTGTGAGGGATTTGGGGAGGTTGCAGAGAGTGGGGGTGATTTGGGGAGGTTGCAGAGAGTGGGGGTGATTTGGGGAGGTTGCAGAGAGTGGGGGTGATTTGGGGAGGTTACAGAGAGTGGGGGTGATTTGGGGAGGTTGCAGAGAGTGGGGGGGATTTGGCGAGGTTGCAAAGAGTGGGCGGGATTTGGGGAGATTGCACACAGTGTCGTGATTGGGCGAGGTTGCACACATTGAGGGGTGTTTTGGGGAGGTTGCACAGAGTGGGGGGGATATGGGGCGGTTGCACAGAGTGTGGGGGTTTGGGGAGTTTGCACAGAGTGGGAGGGATTTGAGGAGGTTGCACACAGTGGGGGCAATTTTGGGAGGTTGCACAGAGTCGGGAGGATTTGGGGAGGCTGCACACAGTGGGAGGGATTTGGGGAGGTTGCTCACAGTGGGAGGGATTTGGGGAGGTTGAACACAGTGGGGGCAATTTTGGGAGGTTGCACAGAGTCGGGAGGATTTGGGGAGGCTGCACACAGTGGGAGGGATTTGGGGAGGTTGAACACAGTTGGGGGATTTAGGGAAGTTGCTGACATTAGGGGGGATTTGAGAAGGGTCCACACAGTGGGGGGAATATGAGGCGGTTGCACACAGTGGGGGCGATTTGGGGTGGTTGCAGACAGTGTGGGGATTTGGGGAGGTTGCTCACAGTGGGGGGGATTTGGGGAGGTTGCACACAGTGGGGGGTTTTGGGGAGGTTGCACACAGTGGGGGGATTTGGGGAGGTTGCACACAGTGGGGGGATTTGAGGAGGTTGCACATAGTGGGGGTATTTGGGGGGGTTGCACACAGTGGGAAAGATAGGGTGAGGTTGCACAGAGTGGAGGGATTTGAGGAGGTTGCACATACTGGGGGGATTTGAGGAGGTCGCACATAGTGGGGGGATTTGGGGAGGTCGCACAGAGTGGGGGGGATTTGGGGAGGTTGCACACAGTGGGGGGATTTGCGGAGGTTGCACACAGTGGGGGTATTTGGGGAGGTTGCACGCAGTGAAGGGATTTCAGGAGGTTGCACACAGTCGGGGGATTTGAGGACGTTGCCCCCCATGGGGGGATTTGAGGAGGTTGCACACAGTGGGGGGGATTTGAGGAGGTTGCACACAGTGGGGGGGATTTGAGGAGGTTGCACACAGTAGGGGGATTTGAGAAGGTTGCACACAGTGTGGGGGATTTGGGGAGGTTGCAGAGAGTCGGGGAGTTGGGGAGGTTGCACAGAGTGTGGGGGATTTGGGGAGGTTGCACACATCGTGGGATTTTGTGACGTTGCCCACAATGGGGGGGATTTGGGGGGGTTGCACAGAGTGGGGGAGATTTGGGGAGGTTGCACAGAGTGAGGGGGATTTGAGGATGTTGCACACAGTTGATGGGATTTCGGGAGGTTGCACACAGTGGTGGGGATTTGGAGAGGTTGAATACAGTTTAGGGGATTTAGGGAAGTTGCACACACTGGGGATATTTGGGGACGTTGCACACACTTGGGGGGATTTGAGGAGGTTTCTCACAGTGTGGGGATTTTAGGAGGTTGCTCACACTGGCGGGGGATTTGAGGAGGTTGCACACAGTGGGGGGATTTTTGGGGGGTGCACACAGTGGGGGACTAGAGGAGGTTGCACACAGTGGGAGGGATTTGGGGAGGTTGGACACAGTGGGGGGATTTGAGGAGGTTGCACATAGTGGGGGAGATTTTGCGAGGTTGCGCATAGGGAGATTTTGGGAGGTTGCAAACAGTGGGGGGATTTGAGGAGGTTGCACAGAGTGTGGGAGACTTGGGGAGGTTGCAGAGAGTGGGGGTGATTTGGGGAGGTTGCACACAGTGTCGTGATTGGGCGAGGTTGCACACAGTGAGGGGTGTTTTCGGGAGGTTGCACAGAGTTGGGGGGATATGGGGAGGCTGCAAGGGGGGGGTTTGGGGAGTTTGCACAGAGTGGGAGGGATTTGAGGAGGTTGCACACAGTGGGGGCAATTTTGGGAGGTTGCACAGCGTCGGGGGGATTTGGGGAGGCTGCACACAATGGGAGGGATTTGGGGAGGTTGCTCACAGTGGGGGGATTAGAGGAGGTTGCACACAGTGGGGGGATTTGAGGAGATTGCTCACAGTGGGGGGATTTGAGGAGGTTGCACGCAGTGGGGGGATTTGAGGAGGTTGCACACAGTGGGGGTGATAGGAGGTTGCACACAGTACGGGGATTTGAGGAGGTTGCTCACATTGGGGGGATTTGAGAAGGTTGCTCTGAGTGGTGGGGGATTTGAGGAGGTTGCACACGGTGGGGCATTTGGGGAGATTGCTCACAGTGGGGGGATTTGGGGAGGTTGCAACAAGTGGGATTTGGGGAGGTTGCTCACAGTGGGGGGATATGGGGAGATTGCACACAGTGGGGGGATTTGGGAAGGTTGCTCACAGTGGGGGCATTTGGGGATGTTGCAGACAGTGGGGGGATTTGGGGACGTTGCACATAGTGGGGGGATTTGGGGAGGTTGCACACAGTGGGGGAATTTGGGGACGTTGCACACAGTGGGGGGATTTGGGGAGGTTGCACACAGTGGGGGGATTTGAGGAGGTTGCACAGAGTGGGGGGATTTAGCACGGTTGCACACAGTGGGGGGGATTTGAGGAGGTTGCACAGAGTGGGGGGGATTTGGAGAGGCTGCACACAGTGGGGGGATTCAGGGAGGTTGCACACAGTGGGGGGATTCGGGGAGGTTGCACACAGTGGGGGGATTTGGAGAGGTTAAACACAGTTGGGGGGATTTAGGGAAGTTGCACACACTGGGGAGATTTGGGGAGGTTGCACAGAGTTGGGATTTGAGGAGGTTACTCACAGTGGGGGGATTTTAGGAGGTTACTCACAGTGGGGGGATTTTAGGAGGATGCGCACACTGGGAGGATTTGTGGGGGTTGCACACAGTGGGGGACGTGAGGAGGTTGCACACAGTGGAGAGGATTTGGGGAGGTTGCACACAGTGGGGGATTTGAGGAGGTTGCACACAGTAGGAGGATTTGGGGAGGTTGCTCACAGTGGGGGGATTGGAGGAGGTTGCACACAGTGGGGGGATTTGAGGAGGCTGCACACAGTGTGGGGGATTTGGGGAGGTTGCACAGAGTGGGTGGGATTTGGGGAGGTTGCACAAGGTAGGGGGGATTTGGGGAGGTTGCACACAGTGGTGGATGTGGTGAGGTTGCACACAGTGGGGGGGATTTGGGGAGGTTTCACAGACTGGGGTAGATTTGGGGCGGTTGCACAGAGTGGGGCGATTTGGGGAGTTTGCAAAGAGTGGGAGGGATTTGAGGAGGTTGTACACAGTTGGAATTTGGGGAAATTGCACAGAAGGGGGGATTTGAGGAGGTTGCACACAGTTGAGAGATTTGAGGAGGTTGCACACAGTGGGGGGATTTGAGCAGGTTGCACACCGGGTGATTTGAGGAGGTTGCACACAGTGGCGGGATTTGGGGTGGTTGCTCACAATGGGGGGACTTGGGGGGTTGCAGACTTGGGAGGATTTGTGGAGGTTGCACACAGTGGGGGAATTTGTGTTTTTGCTCACTGTGGGGGAGATTTGGGGGGTTGCCTACATTGGGGGGATTTGGGGAGGTTTCACACAGTGGGGGGATTGGAGGAGGTTGCACACAGTGGGGGGATGTGGGGGTTTGCTCACAGTGGGTGAGATTTGGTTGGGTTGCACACAGTGCGGGGATTTGAGGAATGTTGCACACAGTGGGGGATTTGTGCTTTTGCTCACAGTGGGGGAGATCTGGGGGGGTTGCACACAGTGGGGAGATTTGAGGAGGTTGCACATAGTGGGAGGATTTGAGGAGGTTCCTCACATTGGGGGGATTTGAGGAGGTTGCACGCAGTGGGGTATTTGAGGAGGTTGCACGCAGTGGGGGGATTTGAGGAGGTTGCTCACATTGGGGGGATTTGAGGAGGTTGCACGCAGTGGGGGGATTTGAGGAGGTTGAACACAGTGGGGGGGATTTGAGGAGGTTGCACACAGTATGGGGATTTGAGGAGGTTGCATACAGTGTGTGGGATTTTGGGAGGTTGCACAGAGTGGGGGGGATTTGGGGAGGTTGCCCAGAGTGGGAGAAATTTGGTGAGGTTGCACACAGTGGCGGGATTTTGTGTGGTTGCCCACAATTGGGTGGGATTTGGGGAGGTTGCACAGATTGGGGGGGGATTTGGGGAGTCTGCAGAGAGTAGGGGTGACTTGGAGAGGTTGCACAGAGTGGTGGGGATGTGAGGAGGTTGCACACAGTTGGTATTTGGGGAAGCTGAACACAGTTGGAGGGATTTAGGGAAGTTGCACACACTGGGAGGATTTGGGGAGGTCGCACACAGATGGGGGGATTTGAGGAGGTTGCACACAGTGGGGTATTTGAGGAGGTTGCTCACAGTGGCGGAGGATTTGAGGAGGTTGCACACAGTGGGGGGGATTTGGGGTGGTTGCACACAGTGCGGGGATTTGGGGAGGTTGCTCACGGGGGGTATTTTGGGAGGTTACACAGTGAGGGGATTTGGGGAGGTTACACAGTGAGGGGATTTGGGGAGGTTGCTCACAGTGGGGGTTTTGGGGAGGTTGCACACAGTGGGGGGATTTGAGTAGGTTGCATATAGTTGGGGGATTTGGGGCGGTTGCACACAGTGGGAGGGATAGGGGAGGTTGCACAGAGTGGGGGGATTTGAGGAGGTTGCACACAGTGGGGGTATTTGCGGAGGTTGCAGAAAGTGGGGGGATTTGGGGAGGTGGCACACAGTGAGGGGATTTGAGGAGGTTGCTCACAGTGGGGGGATTTGAGGAGGTTGCACACAGTGGGGGGGATTTGAGGAGGTTGCACACAGTGTGGGGATTTGAGTAGGTTGCACAGAGTGTGGGGGATTTGTGGAGGTTGCACAGAGTGGAGGGGATTTGGGGAGGTTGCACACACCGGGGGATTTTGTGACATTGCCCACAAAGCAGGGGATTTGGGGAGGTTGCACAGAGTGGGGAGGATTTGGGGAGGTTGCATAGATTGGGGGGGATTTGGGGAGGTTGCATAGATTGGGGGGGATTTGGGGAGGTTGCACAGAGTGGTGGGGATTTGAGGATGTTGCACACATTAGGTGGGATTTGGGGAGGTTGCATACAGTGGGGGGGGGATTTGGGGAGGATGAACACAGTTTGGGGGATTTAGGGAAGTTGCACACACTGGGGAGATTTGGGGAGGTTGCACAGAGTTGGGGGGATTTGTGGAGGTTGCTCACAGTGGCGTGGGATTTGAGAAGGTTGCACACAGTGAGAGGATTTGAGGAGGTTGCGAACACTGGGAGGATTTGCGGGGGTTGCACACAGTGGCGGACTTGAGGTTGCACACAGTGGAGGGGATTTGGGGAGGTTGCACACAGTTGGGGGATTTGAGGTTTCACACAGCATGTTGATTTGGGGGGGTTGCTCACATTGGGGGGCATTTGGGGGGTTGCACACAGTGGGGGGAATTGAGGTTGCACACACTGGGGGGATTTGTGGTTTTGCTCACAGTGGGGGAGATGTGGGGTGTTTGCACACTGTGGGGGGACTGGGGTGGTTGCTCACAGTGGGGGGGACTTGGGGGTGTTGCACACATCGGGGGGATTTGAGGAGGTTGCACACAGTGGGGGGATTTGAGGAGGTTGCACACAGTGGGGGGATTTGGAGGTTTGCACATGGAGGGATGGGGGAGGTTGCACAGAGTCGGGGGGATTTGGGGAGGTTGCGCACAGTGGGAGGATTTGGGGAGGTTGCGCACAGTGGGGGGATTTGGGGAGGTTGCACACAGTGGGCGGATTTGGGGAGGTTGCACACAGTGGGGGATTTGGGGAGGTTGCTCACAGTGGGGAGATTTGGGAAGGTTGTAAACAGTCGGGGGATATGAGGAGGTTGCGCACAGTGGGGGGATTTGAGGAGGTTGCACACAGTATTGGGATTTGAGGAGTTTGCACACATTGTGGGGGATTTTGGGAGGTTGCACAGAGTGGGGGGCATTTGGGTAGGTTGCACACGGGGAAATTTGGTGAGGTTGCACACAGTGGCGGGATTTAGTGTGGTTGCCCACAGTGGGGTGAGATTTGGGGAGTTTGCAGAGTGGGGGTGATTTGGGGAGTTTGCACAGAGTCGGGGGGATTTGGGGGAGGTTGCACATAGTGGGTGGGATTTTGGGGCTTGCACACATTGGGGGGATTTGAGGAGGTTGCACACAGTGGGGGGATTTGTGGTTTTGGTCATAGGGAGATTTGGGGGGTTTGCACACAGTGGGGGGATTTTGGGAGGTTACACACAGTGGGGGGATTTGAGGAGGTTGTACCCAGTGGGGGTTTTGGGGGTTTGCTCACAGTGGGGGAAATTTGGGGGTGTTGCAAACAGTGGGGGGTTTTGGGGAGGTTGCACACAGTGGGGGGATTTGAGGAAGTTGCACACATTGGGGGGATTTGTGGTTTTGCTCACAGTGGGGGAGATTTGGTGGAGTTGCACATAGTGAGGGGATTTGAGGAGGCACACAGTGGGGGGGATTTGAGGAGGTTCCACAGAGTAGGGGATTTGAGGAGGTTGCACCCAGTGTGAGGGATTTGGGGAGGTTGCACACAGTGAGGGGATTTGAGCAGGTTGCACAGTGGGGGGACTTGGGCGGATTGCACACAGTGGGGGACTTGAGGAGGTTGC